>NC_000006.12:28847878-29150909 GCF_000001405.40 Homo sapiens
AAATCAATAGCCCTTACATTGTAAGACACTGAAAAAAGACGAGCAAACTAAAGCTAACGCAACAGGAAGGAAAGAAATAAAGATTAGAGTGGAAACTAATGAAATAGAAAAACAATAAATAAATAAATAAAATAAAATATTTATTTCTTAAAAAGGTAAACAAAATTGTCAAACCCTAAACTAGATTGACCAAGATAAGGGAGAGATGATTCAAGTCACTAAAATCAGAATTGAAATGGAAACATTACTGTGGGGCGCAGTGGCTCACACCTGAAATCCCAGCACTTTCGGAGACCGAGGTGTGTGCATCACGAGGTCAGGAGTTTGGGACCAGCCTGGCCAACATGGTGAAACCCCATTTCTACTAAAAATACAAAAATTAGGTAGGTATGGTGGTACCCACCTGTAGTCCCAACTACTCAGGAAGCTGAGGCAGAAGAATCACTTGAACCTGGGAGCCGAGATTGTGCCACTGCACTCCAGCCTGAGGGACAGAGTGAGACTGCATCTCGGAAAAAAAAACAAAAAACAAAAAAGAAATCCCCTGTTAGAAGAGAATAAAATAGAGTGAAAACAAGATGGCCAAATAGGAACAGCTCTGGTCTGCAGCTCCCAGCGTGATTGCCACAGAAGATAGGTGATTTCTGCATTTCCAACTAAGGTAACTGGTTCATCTCACTGGGACTGGTTGGACAGTGGGTACAGCCCATGGAGGGTGAGCTGAAGCAGGGCGGAGCATCGCCTCACCTGGGAAGTGCAAGGTTCAGGGGATTTCCCTTTCCCAGCCAAGGGAAACTGTGACAGAGTGTACCTGGAAAATCGGGACACTCCTGCCCTAATACTGCACTTTTCCAATGGTCTTAGCAAATGGCACACCAGGAGATTATACCCAGAGCCTGGCTCAGAGGGTCCTACGCCCACGGAGCCTTGCTCACTGCTAGAGCAGCAGTCCGAGATCGAACAGCGAGGTGGCAGCCTGGCTGGGGGAGGGGGTCCTCCATTGCTGAGGCTTGAGTAGGCAAACAAAGTGGCCCAGAAGCTCTTATTGGGTGGAGTCCACCACAGCTCAAGGAGGCCTGCCTGCCTTTGTAGACTCCACCTCTGGGGGGCAGGGCATAGCTGAACAAAAGGCAGCAGAAACTTCTGCAGACTTAAACGTCCCTGTCTGACAGCTCTGAAGAGAGCAGTGGTTCTCCCAGCACGGAGTTTGAGTCCTAAGAAGGGACAGACTGCCTCCTCAAGTGGGTCCCTGACCCCTGTGTAGCCTAACTGGGAGACACCTCCCAGTAGGGGCCGACTAACACCTCATACAGCCAGGTGCCCCTCTGAGACGAAGCTTCCAGAAGAAGGATCAGGCAGTAATATTTGCTGTTCTGCAATATCTGCTGTTCTGCAGCCTCTGCTGGTGATACCCAGGCAAACAGGGTCTGGAGTGGACCTCTAGCAAACTCCAACAGACCTGCAGCTCAGAGACCTGTTAGGAGGAAAACTAACAAACAGAAAGAAATAGCATCAACATCAACAACAAGGACATCCACACCAAAAGCCCATCTGTAGGTCACCATCATCAAAGACCAAAGGCAGATAAAACCACAAAGATGGAGAGAAACCAGAGCAGAAAAGCTGAAAATCCTAAACACCAGAACACCTCTTCTCCTCCAAAGGATCGCAGCTCCTCACCAGCAATGGAACAAAGCTGGATGGAGAATCACTTTGATGAATTGACAGAAGTAGGCTTCAGAAGGTCAGTAATAACAAACTTCTCCGAGCTAAAGGAGGCGGTTTGAACCCATCATAAGGAAGCTAAAAACCTTGAAAAAAGATTAGACAAATGGCTAACTAGAATAAACAGTGTAGAGAAGACCTCAAAGGACCTGATGGAGCTGAAAACCATGGCACGAGAACTACGTGACACATGTAAAAGCTTCAGTAGCCGATTCCATCAAGTGGAAGAAAGGGTATCAGTGATTGAAGATCAAATTAATGAAACGAAGCAAGAAGAGAATTTAGAGAAAAAAGGGTAAAAAGAAGCCGGGCGCGGTGGCTCACGCCTGTAATCCCAGCATTTTGGGAGGCCGAGGCGGGCGGATCACAACGTCAGGAGATCGAGACCATCCTGGCTAACACGGTGAAACCCCGTCTCTACTAAAAATACAAAACATTAGCTGGGCATGGTGGCGGGCGCCTGTAGTCCCAGCCACTCGGGAGGCTGAGGCAGGAGAATGGCGTGAACCCGGGAGGTGGAGCTTGCAGTGAGCCAAGATGGCACCACTGCCCTCCAGCCTCGGTGACACAGTGAGACTCTGTCTCAAAAAAAAATAAATAAATAAAAGAAAAAAGGCTAAAAAGAAACAAACAAAGCCTCCAAGAAATATGGGACTATGTGAAAAGACCAAATCTACGTCTGATTGGTGTACCTGACACTGACAGGGAGAATGGAACCAAGTTGGAAAACACTCTTCAGGATATTATCCAGGAGAACTTCCCCAACCTAGTAAGGCAGGCCAACATTCAAATTCAGGAAATACAGAGAACACCACAAAGATACTCCTCGAGAAAAACAATCCCAAGACACATAATTGTCAGATTCACCAAGGTTGAAATGAAGGAAAAAATGTTAAGGGCAGCCAGAGAGAAAGGTCGGGTTACCCGCAAAGGGAATCCCATCAGACTAACAGCAGATCTCTTGGCAGAAACTCTACAAGCCAGAAGAGAGTGGGGGCCAATATTTATCATTCTTAAAGAAAAGAATTTTCAACCTAGAATTTCATATCCAGCCAAACTAAGCTTCATAATTGAAGGAGAAATAAAATCCTTTGCAGACAAGCAAATGCTGAGAGATTTTGTCACCACCAGGCCTGCCTTACAAGAGCTCCTGAAGGAAGCGCTAAACATGGAAAGGAACAACTGGTACCAGCCACTGCAAAATCATGCCAAATTGTAAAGACCATCGATGCTAGGAAGAAACTGCATCAACTAATGGGCAAAATAACCAGCTAACATCATGACAGGATCAAATTCACACATAACAATATTAACCTTAAATGTAAATGGGCTAAATGCCCCAATTAAATTAGACACAGACTGGCAAATTGGATAAAGAGTCAAGACCCATCAAGTGTGCTGTATTCAGGAGACCAATCTCACATGCAGAGACGCACACAGGCTCAAAATAAAGGGATGGAGGAAGATCTACCAAGCAAATGTAAAGCAAAAAAAAAAGCAGCAGTTGCAATCCTAGTCTCTGATAAAACAGACTTTAAACCAACAAAGATCAACAAAGACAAAGAAGGCCATTACATAATGGTAAAGGGGTCAATTCAACAAGAAGAGCTAACTATCCTAAATATATATGCACCCAATACAGGAGCACCCAGATTCATAAAGCAAGTCCTTAGAGACCTACAAAGAGACTTAGACTCCCACACAATAATAATGGGAGACTTTAACACCCCACTGTCAATATTAGACAGATCAATGAGACAGAAGGTTAACAAGGATATTCAGGACTTGAACTCAGCTCTGGACCAAGCAGACCTAATAGACATCTACAGAACTCTCCACCCCAAATAAACAGAATATACATTCTTCTCAGCACCACATCACACTTATTCCAAAATTGACCACAAAGTTGGAAGTAAAGCACTCCTCAGCAAATGTAAAAGAACAGAAATCACAACAAACTGTCTCTCAGACCACAGTGCAATCAAATTAGAACTCAGGATTAAGAACCTCATTCAAAACTGCACAACTACATGGAAACTGAACAACTTACTCCTGAATGACTACTGGGTAAATAACAAAATGAAGGCAGAAATAAAGATGTTCTTTGAAACCAATGAGAACAAAGACACAACATACCAGAATCTCTGGGACGCATTTAAAGCAGTGTGTAGAGGGAAATTTATAGCACTAAATGCCCACAAGGGAAAGCAGGAAAGATCTAAAATCGACATCCTAACATCACAATGAAAAGAACTAGAGAAGCAAGAGCAAACACATTCAAAAGCTAGCAGAAGGCAAGAAATAACTAAGATCAGAGCAGAACTGAAGGAGACAGAAACACAAAAAACCATTCAAAAAATCAATGAATCCAGGCGCTGGCTTTTTTGAAAAGATCAACAAAATTGATACATCACCAGCAAGACTAATAAAGAAGAAAATAGAGACTAATCAAACAGATGCAATGAAAAATGATAAAGGGGATATCACCACCGATCCCACAGAAATGCAAACTACCATCAGAGAATACTATAAACACCTCTATGCAAATAAACTAGAAAATCTAGAAGAAATGGATAAATTCCTGGACACATACACTCTCCTAAGATTAAACTGGGAAGAAGTTGAATCCCTGAATAGACCAATAACAGGCTCTGAAATTGAGGCAATAATTAATAGCCTACCAACCAAAAAAAGTCCAGGACCAGACGGATTCACAGCAGAATTCTACCACAGGTACAAAGAGGAGCTAGTCCGATTTCTTCTGAAACTATTCCAAACAATAGAAAAAGAGGGACTCATCCCTAACTCATTTTATGAGGCAAGCATTATCCTGATACCAAAGCCTGGCAGAGACATGACAAAAAAAGAGAATTTTAGACCAATATCCCTGATGAACATCGATGCGAAAATCCTCAATAAAATACAGGCAAACCAAATCGAGCAGCACATCAAAAAGCTTATCCACCAAGAACAAGTTGGCTTCATCCCTGGGATACAAGGCTTGTTCAACATATGAAAATCAATAAATGTAATCCATCACATAAACAGAACCAAAGCCAAAAACCATGTGATTATCTCAATAGATGCAGAAAAGGCCTTCGACAAAATTCAACAGCCCTTCATGCTAAAAACTCTCAATAAACTAGGTATTGATGGGACGTATCTCAAAATAATAAGAGCTGTTTATGCCAAACCCACAGCCAATATCATATTGAATGGGCAAAAACTGGAAGCATTCCCTTTTAAAGCTGGCACAAGACAGGGATGCCCTCTCTCACCACTTCTATTCAACATAGTGTTGGAAGTTCTGGCCAGGGCAATCAGGCAAGAGAAACAAATAAAGGGTATTCAATTAGGAAAAGAGGAAGTCAAATTGTCCCTGCTTGCAGATGACATGATTGTATATTTAGAAAACCCCATCGTCTCAGTCCAAAATCTCCTTAAGCTGATAAGCAACTTCAGCAAAGTCTCAGGATACAAAATCAATGTGCAAAAATCACAAGCATTCCTATACATCAGTAACAGACAGAGAGCCAAATCATGAGGGAACTCCCATTCACAATTGCTACAAAGAGAATAAAATACCTAGGAATCCAACTTACAAGGGATGTGAAGGACCTCCTCAAGAAGAACTACAAACCACTGCTCAACAAAATAAAAGAGGACACAAACAAATGGAAGAACATTCCATGCTCATGGATAGGAAGAATCAATATCATGAAAATGGCCCTACTGCCCAAGGTAATTTATAGATTCAATGCCATCTCCCTCAAGCTACCAATGACTTTCTTCACAGAATTGGAAAAGACTACTTTAAAGTTCATATGGAACCAAAAAAGAGCCTGCATTGCCAAGACAATCCTAAGCCAAAAGAACAAAGCTGGAGGCATCACGCTACCTGACTTCAAACTATACTACGTGGTTACAGTAACCAAAACAGATGGTACTGGTACCAAAATAGATATATAGACCAATGGAACAGAATAGAGCCCTCAGAAATAATACCACACGTCTACAACCATTTGATCTTTGACAAACCTGACAAAAACAAGAAATGGGGAAAGGATTCCCTATTTAATAAATGGTGCTGAGAAAACTGGCTAGCCATATGTAGAAAGCTGAAACTGGATCCCTCCCTTAAACCTTATACAAAAATTAATTCAAGATGGATGAAAGACTTAAATGTTAGACCTAAAACCATAAAAACCCTAGAACAAAACCTAGGCAATACCATTCAGGACATAGGTATGGACAAGGACTTCATGACTAAAACACCAAAAGCAATGACAACAAAAGCCAAAATAAACAAATGGGATCTAATTAAACTAAAGAGCTTCTGCACAGCAAAAGAAACTACCATCAGAGTGAACAGGCAACCTACAGAATGGGAGTAAATTTTTGCAATCTACCCATCTGACAAAGGGCTAATATCCAGAATCTACAAAGAACTCAAACAAATTTACAAGAAAAAATCAAACAACCCCATCAAAAAGTGGGCAAAGGATATGAACAGACACTTCTCAAAAGAAGACATTTATGCAGCCAAAAGACACATGAAAAAATGCTCATCATCACTGGCCATCAGAGAAATGCAAATCAAAACCACAATGAGATACCATCTCACACCAGTTAGAATGGTGATCATTAAAAAGTCAGGAAACAACAGGTGCTGGAGAGGATGTGGAGAAATAGGAATGCTTTTACACTGTTGGTGGGACTGTAAACTAGTTCAGCCATCGTGGAAGACAGTGTGATAATTCCTCAAGGATCTAGAACTAGAAATACTATTTGACTCAGCAATCCCATTACTGGGTATATACCCAAAGGATTATAAATTATGCTACTATAAAGACACATGCACACATATGTTTATTGCGGCACTATTCACAATAGCAAAGACTTGGAACAACCCAAATATCCATCAATGATAGACTGGATTAGGAAAATGTGGCACATATACACCATGGAATACTATGCAGCCATAAAAAAGGATGAGTTCATGTCCTTTGTAGGGACATGGATGAAGCTGGAAACCATCATTCTCAGCAAACCATAACAAGGACAGAAAACAAAACACCTCATGTTCTCACTCATGGGGGGAATTGAACAATAAGAACACTTGGACACAGGAAGGGGAATGTCACACACCAGGGCCTGTCGTGGAGTGGGTTAGTGGGGAGGGATAGCATTAGGAGAAATACCTAATGTAAATAACAAGTTAATGGGTGCAGGATACCAACATGGCACGTGTATACATATGTAACAAACCTGCACATTGTGCACATGTACCCTAGAACTTAAAGTACAAAAAATAAGAGAATAAAATATTTCCCCCCTTAGACCTGAGCCCTGATAGTATTTATTTATATTTCTGACCCCCTACTACAGCTTCTTACTTTTGACAATTGTCCTTTTTTTTTTTTTGAGATTGAGGCTCGCTCTGTCACCCAGGCTGGATTGCAACAGCGCAATCTCAGCTCACTGCAACCTCCACCTCCCAGGTTCCAGTGATTATCCTGTCTCAGACTCTCAAGTAGCTGGGATTACAGGCGGCTGTCACTATGCCTGGCTAATTTTTTGTATTTTTAGTAGAGAAGGGGTTTTGCCATATTGGCCAGGCTGGTCTCAAACTCCTGACCTCAAGTGATCCTCCCACCTCGGCCTCCCAAAGTGCTGGGATTACAGGCATGAGCCACCATGCCCAGCCAATTGTCCTTTTTCTAACACAAAATACTTCCATGGTCTGAGCACCGTGAATGAGGCTGTCAAACTGGAAAAGTGAGTTAAGCTGAGATGCAGACCTGCCAAAGTCTCAACCAACACCATAGGGAGCACTGGATTACATATGGCCTATACTCCTGTGGTGCCAAAACGACAAATCTTTTTACTCCACTGCAATCAATTGTTGAAGGTGCATCATCCCAGGAAGGGTGTGCTTTTGGGAGAATCAACTCTCTGCACCTGAGATAAACCCTAGAACATTGGCAGCACTCCAAACAACTAAGGGAAATGAGTCCTTCTTTGAGAGGGAATGTAGGTGGCATTTCTCCATGTCTTATATATCTCAGTTATTATTTATTCAAATATTGCCTCTGCTCTATTGTCTTTCATCCATTAAAAATTCTAATTAAATATATATTAGATCTCCTTATCCTCTCTTCTATTAATACCATTATTTTGCATCTCCATACTTTGTTCTGAATAATTACTTTTTGTTTTTTTATGAGACAGAGTATCGCTCTGTTGCCCAGGCTGGAGTAAAGTGGCACAATCTCGGCTCACTGCAAGCTCCGCTTTCTGGGTTCATGCCATTTTCCTGCCTCAGACTCCCAAGTAGCTGGGACTACAGGTGCCTGCCACCACACCTGGCTAATTTTTTGTATTTTTAGTAGAGATGGGGTTTCACCGAGTTATCATGATGGTCTCGATCTCCTGACCTCGTGAACCACCTGCCTCAGCCTCCCAAAGTGCTGGGTTTACAGATGTGAGCCACCACGCCCAGCGTGTTCTGAATAATTTCTTCTAAATTATTTTCCACTTTACTAATACTCTTTTCAGTTGTGTCAAGTTTGTTGTTAATTTATCCTTCAAGTTCTTAATTTTGGTTATTATATATTTCAATTACAAATAAATTTTGGTTTTTATTTTTAAATCTACTTCGTCAGTTTTTATATTTTTCAATTTGCTCCTTAAATTTTTTAGATTAGCTTTTGTTTCTTTGAATATAGTAAGCAGTTTTGTTACACCCTTATCTGATAATTTCCAAATCTGAAGTTTAGTAGATTCTATTTCTGGTATCTGTCATTTCTTTTTCTTTCTTTCCTTTCTTTTCTCTTTTTCTTTTTTCTTTCTTTCTCTCTTTCTTTCTCTCTCTTTTCTTTCTTTTCTTTTTTTGAGTCTGTTGTTTCTGTTGATTTTCACGGAGACTTGTTTGTTCATGTGTATGCACGTTTGTATGCTGGGTTTTGTATTTGAAAAAAATATTTCTAGAAATAATGTGAAGTCTAGGTTAAAGTTTTATTCCTTCAGAGAGGATTTTCTTTTGCTTCTTCAGAAACCTAGATGTGCTGAAATACAGCCCACCTTAAACCAGTGTCAAGGTTTGGGGTCTTATGGGCTACCAGATGATGGTAAGCCAAGCTGCAGTTTATGGGTGAGCAGGTTTACTTACAGTTCCCCTTTACTCCTAGAAAGCAGCCTCAGGGGGAGTGCATGATCACCAATGTCGCCACTTTGGGCAGCCCTAGGTTTCTGTTTTTGTTCCTCTAACCCTATGAGGCTATCAGAAACATAGATAAGTCTCTTGGCTTCTACATCCAGATTACAAATGTTGCCAGGGCAAAAGGGGTCCCAACTGCTAGATTCACTTCTCTGGGTTTGTTTCTTTTACTGACACTCAGCAGGTAATTGATTACTAGTTTATTATATTTTTAATGCTTTAAGAAAGAATTATTTTTATATATCACCCGGCTTTATTGTTGTCTTTACCAGGGGGATTATCTGAATTACCTAGACATCCATTATCTGGAACAGAGTTCTGTCTCTCTTCACTTGTCTTAATTGAAAACTAGAGTCAGCACCCCTGAATATCAGCGGAATCCACTGCACCATAATCTGTGGATTATGCTGTTAAAGCAAACTAAATATGGCCTGAGAAAGATTCCATACTTTTATATTTGGGTCCTTGTGGAGGAATTGCAACCTAGTTTAATGGGTAGACAAGATTGAAAACCTAACTTAGGAATATGTGCCTATAACAATAGCTGAGTCTTGGCCAATCCCAGTGGCTGTAATTCAACCATTCATACACTGCTGAGTGTTCAAATTGTGTTCAAATAAGGCAAAAACTGAGCTGTAACCCATCCAGCCATTCTGTACCTCACTTCCAATTTCCATATGTCATTCCTTTTTTTTTTTTTTTTAAGAAGGAGTTTTGCTGTTTTGCTCTGTTGCCCAGGCTGGAGTGCAGTGGCTCGATCTCAGCTCACTGAAACCTCTGCCTCCCGGGTTCAAGCAATTCTCCTGGCTCAGCCTCCTGAGTAGCTGGGATTACAGGAGCATGCCACCACAGCCGGCTAATTTTTTTGTATTTTTAGTAGAGACGGGGTTTCACCATGTTGGTCAGGCTTGTCTTGAACTCCTGACCTCGTGAGCCACACACCTCGGCCTCCCAAAGTGCTGGGACTATAGGCGTGGGCCACTGCGCTCGGCCCTCCCTTTTTTTTTTTTTTTTTTTTTGGTCTATAAATCTTCTTCCACCATGTGACTGCGCTGAGTCTCTGTGAATCTGTTGTGATTCTGGGGGCTGCCCGATTCGCAAACCGTTCATTGCTCAATTAAACTCCTTTAAATTTAATTCAGCTGAATTTTTTCTTTCATCAATGCCCATATTCTGAAGGTGTGAGTGAGCCTATACCAACAAGGTCAGGCTCAAACCTAGCCATTTTCTTCCAAAGTGTTAACCACAGTATTAAATAGCACCAAGGTTTTTAAAATAACTGAGACATTTACACACAAATATATTTTTAAAAAATAGAGATGGCCGGGCACGGTGGCTCAGGCCTGTAATCCCAGCACTTGGTAGGCTGAGGCAGGCGGATCACCTGAGGTCGGGAGTTTGAGACAAGCCTGACCAACATGGAGAAACCCCGTCTCTACTAAAAATACAAAATTAGCCATGCATGGTGGCGCATGCCTGTAATCCCAGGTACTTGGGAGGCTGAGGCAGGAGTATTGCTTGAACCTGGGAGGCGGAGGTTGCAGTGAGCCGAGATCGCGACATTGCACTCCAGCCTGGGCAACAAGAGTGAAACTCCATCTCAAAAAAAAAAAAAAAAAGAGATATAATCCAGTACCTTATATCTGTGCTACACCCTCATACTGTAGACTTTGTATGACTGTACGATGCTCTTCTTTGCATGACTATACAAGGCCCTTCAAAACCCGAGAAAAGTGTTCCTATTCTCATGTCAAAACTTCCTAGCACTATTAATGGAATGAACTGTTGGGGGAAAATGAAATAAAAAAGCAATGTTATTTCCCCTAAATCTTTAGCAAGCACTTGTTGGATTAGTGAATCTTTGCCCTTGCGTGCAAGTCAGAGGATGGCAGCTCAAACTCACTAGAATCCATCTGGTTGTCTCCTCTTTTCTTTTGTCTCACATGCTTTGTTATGTGTCAGTTTAACTATACATATTTTAAAATAAGGACTTTCAGGGCAAAACATCTTACCATATACTATCACCGTAACTTGATGTAAACTTGAACTTAGTATACAGTAAGGCTGAGCTTATAAAATGTTCATTCAGGCTTACGTCAAGTTATGGTGGTAGAATATGGTAAATGAACTTATGTGATCTTATAAACTTAAAAACTGCTTATAAACTGCTCTAAAACTTTTTTTAAAAATTAAAAATAAAACAAATTCAAGGTATGCTCTTCTACTGGATATGCCATCTTAATTTTCTGTAACGGAAACTATCCTTTTGCCAACATCTACTCAGATGACTGGACTAATACAGTCATGCCTAGATCAACCTCAGGGATATGATCTGAAAAATTAGTCATTAGGGCATTTCATCACTGTGCAAACATTTTAGAGAGTATTTAACACAAACCTAGATGGTATAGCCTACTCCACACCTAGGTTATACGGTGTAGTCCATTGCTGCTGGGCTACAAACCACTACAGCATGTTACTGTATTGAATACTGTAGGGCAATGGAACACACAGATACGTATTTGTGTACTTAAACACAGGAAAGATACAGTAAAAATATGGTATTATAGTCTTATAAAACCATGGTCGTACATGTAGTCAGTCATTGACGGAAAGGTCTTTGTGTGAAGCACAAATGTAGTTCCAATTTGAGCATGACATCTTGTTGAAGGTTTAAGAATTAACCTGTATACTGAGAGTACATGTGGCTTCAGGTTGTTCACATACATATATTTTCAGGTTGTTCATACATATTATATGCTATTATAAGGTATTTTAAACTACCATGAACACCACAATAAAACATGGGAAAATGTTAATGATTTATTAGAGGAAAATAACTCAGTTATGAATATTGAAGCCCATTCTAAAGATAGAATTTTTGAAGCTAAAGAATATGCCCTAGATAACTACTATAGGTATTGTAAAAACAATTTGTTTTGAAAACCCAGAGGGCATATTCAAAAACAAGAATCTACCATACAGAAAGGTAGTCGCCATCTCAAAACTCTCATATATAGCAAAGGACTTTGGTCTTCCCAAGATAGCCATTTGGTTGTGCCTAAGTCATTCCCCAGAACTTTGATGTGCCTCGCACATGAAAGCACCCATAAATAATGGCAAGAACAAATTCACTACAAATTTTCAAAATTATTGTTAGAAAATTTTTCTCAAGAAGCTCTATGGGTAGATGAATCTTTTCTTCTCTGTGTTGATCATAACCCTCCAAAAAACTAAAACTATAGCAAGGCTTCAGTTTTCCACCTCCAGTACCATTTGCGCATTTACAAATGGATTTCATTCAGTTTTCCAAAATTTTAAAAAATTGAACGTTGTTTCAACAATATTTTCAAAAGTAAAATTGTGTAATTTGGGTTGGACTGAAGCTTTCTCTTCTAAAAGATTAATACTTTAAGTTAGTGTTGTCAAATAGGGCTTTTTACAATGATGAAAATGTTCTATATCTGTGCTGTCCACCTGGTAGGTATGACATGCCACGTGTGGCTATTGAGCATTGAAATGGGAATAGTACAACAGCTGTTACCAAAACCTAATAACAAGTATCATTCAAAGCTTGCAGATTTTGTTTTTCCAACTGGGAAATACAAAACATTTAGCACTGTTAATGGACAGAGAAATCCACTTCAGTAGTGAAATTCTTAAGATTCTCCCATTAAAACATACACTTTTTGTCCTTATTCTCAAAATCTGAGAAAGCAACACAAATTTATGGTCTTCTTTAAATCAACATTTGAAAACACCATCGCAAAATTACAACTGAGACAGTGAGAGATCTAACCTAACCAATTCCATCTTGCTTCTAACCTCCAAGCTGTCCTTGTTCATTCCTGGTCGTAGGCTGACCTAACTTTGGGAGGAACTTAGTTTATAGTTTAGCTTTGAAACAAAGACAATAGCAGCCCTTTCCAAAACAAACCCGCTTCCTGCCTGGGGACTAGACTGCTTTCGCAGGACTAACAAATTAGCCACAAGATTATAAATTATGGTTTAGGAGTCATGCAGCTGGAGGCTGCAAGATTCTAAACCTCCCCCAATTGCTCCTCAGGATAACATCACTATTGTAAAACCGAAGATCAGTTCTTGAGATATTTTGCAGCCCCTGTACTCTATGGATCAGCTAGCACCACCCATAACGATAAACTGGCTCATCTGGTCTTGTGGCCCCCATCCAGAAATTAAGCCAACACAAGAGGACAGCTTCGACTCCCTCTGATTTCATCTCCGACCCGACTAATCAACTTTCCCAACTCACTGGTCCCCTACCCACCAAATTATCCTTAAAAACTGCAATCCACTTGGGGAGACTGATTTGAATAATAATAAAACGGGTCTCCCACACAGCCGGCTTTGCATGCCCGTCTTGATAAATGGTTCTGTCTAGGCAGTGGGCAAGCTGAACTCATTGGGTGGTTACACATTTTCAAATTTTCAGAGCTTTCCTTAGACTAAAACTTTACCATCAGTCCTAAGGTAGTATGATCCATGCTACAAAACTCGCCATAAAACCTTACTATGTAACACTGCTATAGAAATCTATAAAGTGTTTCCTTCGTAGGAGGGCCGTAGGCAGCCATGGCGCCCAGCAGGAATGGCATGATGTTGAAGCCCCACTTCCACAAGGACTGGCAGCAGCGTGTGGCCACGTGGTTCAACCAGAAGATCCGCAGAATCAAGGCCCGGCAAGCCAAAGGGCGCTGCATCGCCCCGCGCCCGGAGAGTCGGGACCCATCTGGCCCATTGTGCTGTGCCCTGCTGTGCGTTATCACATCAAGGTGCGCGCCGGCAGAGGCTTCAGCCTGGAGCTCAGGGTGGCGGGCATTCACAAGAAGGTGACCCGGACCACTGGCATCTCTGTGGATCCGAGGAGGCAGAACAAGTCCACCGATTCCCTGCAGGCCAATGTGCAGCGTCTGAATGAGTATTGCTCCAAACTCATCCTCTTCCCCAGAAAGCCCTCGGCCCCCAAGAAGGGAGACAGTTCTGCTGAAGAACAGAAATTGGCCACCCAGCTGACAGGACCGGTCATGCCCATCAAGAATGTAAGGAGAAAGCCCGAGTCATCACTGAGAAGTAGAGGAATTGCAAAGCTTTCGCTAGTCTCCGCATGGCCGGTGCCAATGCTTGGCGGCAATGCTCGGCTCTTCGGCATATGGGCAAAAAGAGCCAAGGAAGCTGAAAAACAGGATGTGTGAAAGCAAAAATAAAGCCCTCTTGGGGACTTGTAATAAATACGTTTTAAAAGAAATCTATAAAGTTTAAACTGATTCTTCCTCTGACAGAGAAAGGCAGTTTCTTAACAGATAGAAAACACGTGAAACTGGTGGTCGGTCACTTCCCAATAAGATCTCAGGAGTGGGGAGAAATAACACAAGATTTAGGAACTATGCCAACGTTTACGACCCCAGGTCTAGAGGTCAAGCCGTGCACTTGGTCTCTCAAGTCGCCTGCTTGGCCCTCTTCCAAGTGTACTTTCCTTCATTAGTGCTCTAAATATTTTCAATAATTTTTCACCCCTGCTCTAAGACTTGCCTCGGTCTCTCCTTCGGCATTATGCTCCTCAATCGAATTCTTTCCTTCTCCTGAGGAGGCAAGAATTAATGTTGCTGCAGACTCCTTACAGATAACTGCCACCGCTAATATGTTGAGATGTTCACACATGCATGTGTGAGGCCCTTCAAAATGTGAGCTGCGGTTAGAATTGGGAAGAGAAGGGAGTGGGGATATGTATCTTTGTTTTCTGATTGCCTTCCATATCTTTTAAAACTAGCTAAGTGCTGCTTCAAGTCAGCCAGATACGAAGGCTTCAATTTATTTAACACAATAAAGAACTTCTATTTGGATCCAAAGCTTACATTATGCTTTAATAAAAGTTACCCTAATAAAGTCAGAAACAATAACAATGAGTCAAAGAAATGCATACAAAGTAGGCCAGGCGTGGTGGCTCACGCCTGGAATCCCGGCACTTTAGGAGGCAGAGGCGGGTGGATCGTGGATCACTTGAGTTCAGGAGTTCGAGACCAGCCTGGCCAACATGGTGAAACCCCCGTTTCCACTAAAAAAAAAAAAATTAGCCGGGCATGGTGGTGCATCATGCCTGTAATTCCAGCTACTCGGGAGGCTAAGGCAGGAGAATCACTTGCATCTGGGAGGCACAGCTTGCACGTGAACCGAGATGGTGCCATTGCACTCTGCACTCCAGCCTGGGAGACAGAGTGAGACTCTTGTCTCCAAAAAAAAAAAAAAAAAAAGCCTACAAAAAGCTTACAAAGTCTAAAATCGGACGAACAAGAGGACACCTGATGGGGGAAAAGAAAAGAGATTGCGATGGGAAGAGAGTGGTGGGGAAATCCGTGGGACAGTTTTCCTATTTTCTGGGTCTGTCCCTTGACCAAGGAACAGCTCAAAAAAGAAAGGATCTAAAATAAATTGTAAAAAATTACCTGTGGTTTCGCATTTGTTTTCTGTCTTTTTCTTTCTTGCTTGATCTTCGATAATACTGGGAAATGTAACCAATGTGATTGGGCTTGTTAATTTGGTGCCTTGCTTGTTTTTCGGGTTTTGGAATTCTGCCAGTCTGTGCTTCCGCGGCCTCTTTCATTTTGTCTTTCATCTCTTGACACAGCCACCCAGGGTGGTGTCAAAGCCTTAGAGCAGAAATGCATCAATATTGAAAGCAAAACGGAGCTTGTTTTCCTTGGTTTCCATGTGAATTTGAAGAATTGAGAGAGAATGAAAGTGCCACAAAAACAAAAGAAAAAAAATTGAGGCGAGTCGTGGACATGATAGACATGATTTTGCAAACAAGGCACATCTAGGAGAAAAGGCGGGAGAAAAATGAAGCTGGAGGTGCCGGGGATTGAACCCGGGGCCTCGTGCATGCTAAGCACGCGCTCTACCACTGAGCTACACCCCCCAACGCTCAACGTGGGCCAAAATATTTCTATGACCTGTTACTATTATCGGTCGTGCCAAGAAGCATATTTTGTCGAACTTAATTTTGAATTCGCTATACTGGATATTGTTTCCTGACTGCGCTGAGAGAAGGAAAACTGAATGTTATATCGAAAGTCCCGTGCTGGGCCTGGGATCTCCCGCTGCAGGTCACCCTCTCGGACGGCCGCTCGACAACCACCTATCGGGGTTTATAAGGGAGCCGTCCTGCCTGGCCGCCCCCCAGAGAAAGGTCTGTGATGGGGTGATTCTGCTTGGAAAGGTTGCCAGGAAACCGCGAGCATAACGCAGAAAGATAAAACGAAAGCCCTAAACGCCGCCGTGGGAATTTAAGTCCAAGGGGCAGAGAAAACAGGAGGGGAATTGCAGATCGGCTTGTCCCGGTCGTAGTTACTGCCCCTGCAGGTTCCCGCGCCCAGCCTCGGGATGGAGAACCTGGCACGCTACGTTTCGCGGGCTCTGAGACTCGGGTGGTGAGAGTCGCCGAGATGCGCACTGGGAAGAGAAAAGAGCCAGGACGCACCTGCATTTATGGCGCCATCGCCCGGGCGGAATCCTCCACGGAATAAAAAGTATGCAGAAGCAAGGCGATTTATGACTGCATAAACCCTCCGTGCTCCTGGAGAGTTCTTAGACCTCTCCACTCCTTGGCACAACTGACCTCTCCACTCTTCGACAAACTGGCAAGCGCTTGCCGCCGTTCGCCAAACCTTGGTACGACAGTCAATCCAGAAATGAGCTTCTGGAACAAATCCTAAATCCTTTTTTGTCTGTCTTCTTCTGATTCGCTCTCATCCTTAAGGGACCTGTTTCTCCTTCAAAACCTGAAAACATCTAACCTATAGTACCAACCCCAGATCCAGGCCTGGCCTTCCTGACCAGTCAAAGCCAGTTGGACTGTGCGCCTAGAAGTGGACAGACATGCGAAATGCCATACTGTATACGTACAATGCATAGGCCAAAGGCGACCCTATGACCCAGAGATTAGAAAGACTCGGACGTCTTTTGACTGGGTTCAGGTCACACTACTCCCAAAATACGACACCTCGGCATTTGAGAAAACAGCAGAAGCAGAAACGTTTTTCTCTGGGCCCTTGTTCCGTGAAGCGGGCCATGAAAGCTACCTGATCTTCCAATTAAAGTAGGTGATAAGACCGTCAATTCAGAGGGGAGAAAATGTACTTGGAGGAAATAAACGAAGACACAGAGATGCCAAAGAGAACCTGAATAAACAGGCTTTGCTAAGTTCACCCCAGTTTATAACCATTAGATCATACCCCCTTTTATCCAATTATACTGCTATGGGACTATCCACTTCATCAAACCTAAGCATAAAAATATAGGAAGTCCTCACTTATTGTCAGTTGGTTTTTGGAAACTATTACTTTAAGCAAAATAAAACTAATTCTACCATAGACTAGACTAATTGATTTAAGAGTTAATTTTCTTGGCAAATGTCTGATCACAAAAACACCAAATTTCTAAATAAGGACTCCAAACACTTCTAACACTAAATATTGAAAAAAATATGAGCTGCACCTCAAGTTAAGATCAGCAAAAACGACATGATTGATTTATTTTTGGTGAATCAGTGACTGCAATTCTAGTGGTGGCAGGTTATATCAAGGAATAAATGTTTGTGAAATAGCAGTTGTAAGGAGCAACTCCTACTAACACACAATTCGTAAAACATTGTGTCCGGAATTGGCGGGTTCTTGATCTCACTGATTTCAAGAAAGCCACAAGTCCTCCGGATGAGTGTTACAATCGTTAGATGCGGTGTAGCCAGAGTTCATTCCCTCTGACGTTCGGATGTGTTATAGAGTTTCTTCCTTCTGGTGGTTTGGTCTTCTACTGGCTCAGGAGTGAAACTGCAAACCTTGGCAGTCAGTGTTACATCTTCTAAGGCGGCGCCTCCGGAGTTGTTTGTTCTTGCCCGAGAATTCATGTTTTTCCTAACTTCAAAAGATAAGCTGCAGACCATCAACAAATTACAGCTCATAAACGTAGTGTAAACCCAAAGAACAATCAAGATCCATCGCAGAGAGCGAAAAATCACTTCCGCACCGTGGGAAAAAGCCCGAACACGTTGTCGCAGTTGGTTCCGGCAGCCTGCTTTTATTATCTTGTCTGGCCCCACCCACATCCTGCTGATTGGTCCATTTTACAGAGAACTGACTGGTCTGTTTTACAGAGAGCTGATTGGTCCATCTTCACAGAGTGCTCATTGGCGCGTTTACAATCCCTGAGCTAGACACAAAAGTTCTCCAAGTCCCCACCAGAGTAGCTAGATACAGAGTGTCCATTAGTGAATTCACAAACCCTGAGCTAGACACAGGGTGCTGATTGGTGTGTTTACAAACCTTGAGCTAGATACAGAGTGCCGATTGGTGTATTTACAATCCCTTCGCTAGACATAAAGGTTCTCCAAGTCCCCACCAGAGTAGCTAAATACAGAGTGTCCATTGGTGCATTCACAAACCCTGAGCTAGACACAGGGTGCCGATTGGTGTGTTTACAAACCTTGAGCTAGATACAGAGTGCCGATTGGTGTATTTATAATCCCTTAGGTAGACGTAAACGTTCTCCAAGTCCCTACCAGACTCAGGAGCCCAGCTGGCTTCACCCAGTGGATTTTCCACCGGTGCCGCAGGTGGAGCTGCCTGCCAGTCCCGTGCTTTGCGCCCGCACTTCTCAGCCGTTGGGTGGCCGATGGGATTGGGCGCCGTGGAGCAGGGGGCGGCGCTCGTCGGGGAGGCTCGGGCCGCGCAGGAGCCCATGGCGGGGAGGGGCGTCTCAGGCATGGCGGGCTGTAGGTCCCGAGCCTTACCCCGCGGGGAGACAGCTAAGGCCCGGCGAGAAGTCGAGAACAGCAGCTGCTGGCACAGGTGCTAAGCCTCTTACTGCTCGGGGCTTGCGGATTAGGGGGCCGCTCCGAGTGCGGAGCCCGCCGAGCCCACGCCCACCCGGAACTCGCGCTGGGCCCGCAAGCGCCGCGCGCAGCCTCGGTTCCCGCCTGCGCTTCTCCCTCCACACATCCCTGCAAGCTGAGGGAGCCGGCTCCGGCCTTGGCCAGCCCAGCAAGGGGCTCCCACAGTGCAGCGGCGGGCTGAAGTTCTCCTCAAGCGCGGCCAGAGTGGGCGCCAAGGCCGAGGAGGCGCCTAGAGCAAGCGAAGGCTGTGAGGGCTGCCAGCAAGCTGTCACCTCTCAGTATGGCGGCTGGCTGTTTTAGCACCATGTCGTTTATTGTCATGCATTTGTAGGATTATGAAATGCTTCCTGAATTTTGCTTTTACAGTAACTTGTATTCATTCATGCATTTTTCAACCTGCTCACTCCAGTTCAAGGTCTTTGGTGGCTGAAGCCTAATTCAACTCCTCATAGTGTCAGGAGGGAACCCACCGTGGACAGGTGGCCATTCCATCACAGGGCGGGCTCATACACACACACACACACTCACACATATGCTCGCGTGCTCTTTCACTCAGACTGATGACGCTAGACTCAGACTAGATATGCTAATGAACCTAATGTGCACATTTTTGGGATGTGGGAGGAAACTCAGACAGTGGCTTCCAGGAGAAATAGACTTTTTTCTCATCAACATTATAACAAAATGATGTTGAATGAAACAACGTTATTCAAGGGTCTGCTGTACGCAGATTTTCCTATTTCTTTAGGTCTTCATTTTTGAAGGCTCTTGTGTCAATAAAATTTGTTTGATTTGTATGCTTTTCCTTTTTTTTTTTTTTTTTTTTTGTTGTTGAGACAGAATTTCACTTTTGTTGCCCAGGCTAGAGTGTAATGGCGCGATCTTGGCTCACCACAACCTCCGCCTCCCGGGTTCAAGCGATTCTTCTGCTTCAGCCTCCCGAGTAGCTGGGATTACAGGCGTGTGCCACTATGCCCAGCTAATTTCGTATTTTTAGTGGAAATGGGGGTTTCTCCATGTTGGCCAGGCTGGTCTCAAACTCCTGACCTCAGGTGATCCACCAGCTTCAGCCCCCCAAAGTGCTGGGATTACAGGCATGAGCCACCCCACCCGGCCTGCTTTTCCCTTGTTAATCTATCTTTTATTATGAAGTGTCAGCCATGAACCTGGCACTGGGTGGGAAAAGATGTTTTTCTGCCCTAGACCTTCCTATAAGTGCTTTTGGGACAACACTGCAGGAGTCCCCAAAGGTGAAAATTTACCTGCGGGAGTTAATAAAAACAGGAATCCCCAGGCCTTACCCCAGAGACTGAGATGCTGAGTGCTTTCAGAGTCTCCAGAAAAGGGCCCAGGAATTATTATGGGGTGACAGATGTCACAGCTAGATCGTCCTCACATCTATGGAATATTGTGTTATTTAATATTTCCCAGTTGAATTTGATATTCAGGCAAGTTTGAAAACCACTGGGCCTGAAAATCTAGCCACAACAGAAACTGAAACTAGGATCTGGGGAAAGTTAACAAGGGGAGGAGAAAGATTGGAAAGTATTACAAGAAAAACTTGGGATTGTAACGTTCCCCCCAAACTGGGAAGGTCCCGGAAGACCAAAGACAGTCCAGCTTAATAAGCAGGTGAGTTTAGTAGGACTTAGATACAGGGTACTCCTGGGTGCAGCAGGATAGCTCTAGAGATCCATGCCGCCTCCTGTCTTTAAACTGTTTCTAAGTTAATTTTCTGGCTTTTTGCCTACTGTGTTTGAGCAATGAGACTGTTTTTCTTGGTAGGTTCTCAGATACTCTCTGGGATGTTTGTGTTCTCAAGGACACCTGCTCCTCTGCTGGGCATCGTGGCCTTGGCTCACCACTGGGCCTTCAGGGTTCAGGCAGTAGACATACACTCTTAAGTGACATGGTGGGTGATCTGTCATGCTGCAATCCACCCTGCCTCCCATTTCTTACATTCTTTCTGCCAATCTTGTGTGAGACTCCTTGAGTAGGGTGGAAGGAAAGAACTATACAGGTCTATAACGTCTAGCCATGGCTTGCGCATACAGGTCACATCTACAGTATACGTAGGAGCACAAAAAGCAGAAGTTAACTACAATTATAATGTCTATTAGCAAAACCTAATTCCCATGACTAGAGAAGCTGTGTAACCAATTTGAGAATGAGTAAAAGAAACCTAATTAGGTTATATCATGGATCTGAGTTGACAAATGGTTTAAAGTACCTCTGACATTACTCTCTTCATCAGGGAAATAGGTGCAACAGTTAGCACCTAGAAAGGCACATTTTGGGTCTTTGTCACGTTGGTGATTGAGCCTCTAGGTGGAGGCAATCCTTAGTGAGCCCGGGTTGCATTATCAGTGCTATTGTACAAGTCACTCCAGTTCTGTCAGGAGAAAGGCAGAGTATTTTAAGGCATATCATTATTATTTTATAGGGAGAGGTATCTGACTGGTTGTTGACTGCTTCTGGAGTTGCAGCTCAGTCTAGAAAGACATTACCAGCTGCCATGAGTAGCAGGAACAACCTATGGGTATAAACACAGGTGGTTAGTAGGAACTCTCACAGGCGTATTCACTCCTTGCAACATTTTTTTTTTTAATTTTTTTGAGACAGAGTCTTGCTCTGTTGCCCAGGCTGGAGTGCAGTGGCACGATCTCGGCTCACTGCAAGTTCCGCCTCCTGGGTTCACGCCATTCTCCTGCCTCAGCTTCCTGAGTAGCTGGGACTACAGGCGCCCGCCACCACATCTGGCTAATTTTTTGTATTTTTAGTGGAGACGGGGTTTCACCGTGTTAGCCAGGATGGTCTCGATCTCCTGGCCTCATACTCCACCCGCCTTGGCCTCCCAAAGTGTTGGGATTACAGGCGTGAGCCACCGCGCCTGGCCACACCTTGCAACATTATTATCATTGTGTTTTCTCCCACTGGCACTATTAGGGATGCCACTGTGGGCTTCAGGCCTGGATTACAAAACCACCCATGTCTTCTTTTCCTAGAAGCAGCCACAATAGCCAATTGATAAGTTTCCAGCCTTGCCCATGCTATCCATACTATAATTATTCCAGCAGGTATGGGTGCTGCCATCTGTTGATAAAGTAAGTCTCTCGGAACTCTATCAAGGAGCACAGCTGGGACCACTGCCCCTATGGCAGTTATCATGGCACCACCCTCCAGTACTATAAAACTAATCCAGTATGGAGGCATATTCCAGCTCAGCTTCAGGTCCCTGTAGCCATCACTGCTTGGCAGATCCACTGGTGTTCTCAGGAGCATGTCTCACCATCTGCCTCAGGAGCATGGCTCAGTGTCTTTGAGGTAACCCCGAGAGTTTGTGGGACATGTCTTACAGGCCTTGCCAACCATTTATAAGGAGTGATGCCATGTGTGCTAGTGGGTGACTCATTTAAAGTTTGTATGGCTTTATGGAGATTCTTAGTCCAGGAACTTAAAGAGCCAACCTGAAACAGTGCACACATCTGGGTCTTTAACAGGCCATTATTTCTTTCTGTAAGTCCTGCCTCTGTTGGATTGTGGTGGTAAGTGGAACCTCCAGTCTATATTTTCTTCTTTTTTATTTTGAGACAGAGTCTCGCTCTGTTGCCCAGGCTGGAATGCAATGGTGCGATCTCGGCTCACTGCAACCTCCGCCTCCCGGATTAAAGCAATTCTCCCACCTCAGTCTCCCAAGTAGCTGGGACTACACGCATGCGCCACCACGCCTGGCTAATTTTTGTATTTTTAGTAGAGATGGGGTTTCACCATGTTGGCCAGACTGCTCTCAAACTCCTGACCTCAAGTGATCTGCCTGTCTCAGCCTCCCAAAGTGCTGGGATTACAGGCATGACCCACCGCACCTGGTCCAGTCTATATTTTCTTCTGATGCCCAGTGTTGGATATCTTTGCTATGCCCATCAATGTACCAGGGCCTAGCAGATATTGGCGGGGTACCCTTATATATGGTGGTTGGCCTGATGGGTGGCTCCACTGCCATGTTGGCTCCCTCCCATAACTGAGACCAAAACCCTATAGGTACCATTCCCATTAGTTGCTTTTGCCCCAAACCTAAATTCATCCCTGTGACATCTCTGGTGATTACTAATACAGCAGTAGAGTCTGTATGCTTGGGCTTGTTTCACCAATATTTTTGTTTTGTCAAATGCCTCTTGTTCTATTTATGTCATCTCATTTTTTACCTGTCTTTATTAGGGTGTATAATGGGTGGAGTATTTGTGCCAGATGAGGAATGAATATCCTCCAGTAGCCCAGTAAACCTAGGAAAACCTGGAGTTGCTCTACTGTCTGGAGAGTAGACTACTATGCTATCTTATCAATGACGGCTTTGGGTATGTTTCACATCTTACCCAACCAGGTAACTCTCAGGAATTTGACAGGCATGCCAAGCCTCTGTATATTTTTGGGGTTGATTTTCTATCCCTCCTTCAGGCTGTCCAAAACAGTTTGTAGGATAGTCTCCAAATCTGTAAGAGACTCTAGGGTAGCATGTTATCATTAATATAGTGAAACAGGGAGACCAAGGCAGGCAAAGAGATTATAGACAGCTCCTGTGTAACCATACTGTGAGAGATGGCGGGGCTTTGCAGATGCCCCTGTGGTGACACCTGGAAAGTCCATTCTTGGTCCTCCTAAGTGTAGACCAACTGGTCTTGTGAATCTTCAGCTGAAAGAATACTGGAAAAGGTATTAATGCAGTCAGTCACAGAATGGATACTTCCCAGCTTCGGTACTGCTTGCTCTAGCAGTTGAGCAATATTGGATACAGCTGCATGTACAGGGCGTACCACTTTGTTCAGCTAGCGGTAATCCACCATCATCTTCCAGGCATCACCTGGCTTCTTCACAGGCCAAACAAGGCTGCTGTAGGGGCTCTGGGCCAGTCTGACTATTTGTACCTTATGTACTTTCTGGATTGTTTGGGTGATTTCAGAGTGCCCCCCCAATAGCAGGAAGTATTGTTTCATGTTCATTACCTGCAAGGATACAGGTGCATATTTGGCCTATCCCCTTTTTGCTTTCTCTGTGGACCTGATCGTTATTTTTATCCAGCTCACTGAGGTCTGCCAATGCTTCCCCCCATCACAGATTTCATTTCCCACTAAGAGGCTCAGAAGTGTTGTCTGAAATTGGTGGGTTCTATGGTCTCACTGACTTCAACAATGAAACCGCAAACCCTCACAGAGAGTGTCACAGCTCTAAAGTTCGCGGGCGTGGAGTCTGTCCCTTCTGATGTTCAGATGTGTCCGCAGTTTCTTTTTTCTGGTGGGGTCGTGGTCTTGCTAGCTCAGGAGTGAAGCTGCAAACCTTTGCAGTGAGTGTTATACCTCATAAAAACAGCGTGGACCCAAAGAATGACCAGTTGGAAAATTTATTGCGCATAGTGAAAAAAACAACGCTTTCACAGTGCAGAAGAGACAACCCAGCGGGTTGCTAATGCTGGTTCGGGCAGCCTGCTTTTATTCTTTTATCTGGCCCCACCCACATCCTGCTGATTGGTAGAGCCGAGTGGCCTGTTTTGTCAGGGCGCTGACTGGTGCGTTTACAATCCCTGGGCTAGATACAAAGGTTCTCCTCGTCCCCATTAGATTAGTTAGATACAGAGTTTCCACATACAGGTTCTCCAAGGCCCCACCAGAGCAGCTAGATACAGAGTGTCGATTGGTGCACTCACAAACCTTGAGCTAAACACAGGGTGCTGATTGGTGTGTTTACAATCCCTGAGCTAGATAAAAAGACTCTCCACGTCCCCACCAGACTCAGGAGCCCAGCTGGCTTCACCTAGTGGATTCCGCACTGGGGCTGCAGGTGGAGCTGCCTGCCAGTCCTGCGCCCTGCACTCGCATTCCTCAGCCCTTAGGTGGTCGATGGGACTGGGTGCCGTGGAGCAGGGGGTGGCGCTCGTCCGGGAGGCTCGGGCCGCACAGGAGCCCACGGAGGGGGGTGGGAGGCTCAGGCATGGCGGGCTGCAGGTCCCGAGCCCTGCCCCGTGGGAAGGCAGCCAAGGCCCGGCGAGAAATCGAGCACAGCGCGGGTGGGCCGGCACTGCTGGGGGACCCAGTACACCCTTCGCAGCCACTGGCCCGGGTGCTAAGTCCCCCATTGCCCGGGGCCAGCAGGGCTGGCTGGCTGCTCCGAGTGCGGGGCCCACCAAGCCCACGCCCACCCGGAACTCCAGCTGGCCCGCAAGTGCGGCACACAGCCCTGGTTCCCGCTCGTGTCTCTCCCTCCACACCTCCCTGCAAGCTGAAGGAGTGGGCTCCGGCCTTGGCCAGCCCAGAAAGGGGCTCCCACAGTGCAGTGGGGGACTGAAGGGCTCCTCAAATGCCACCAAAGTGGGAGCCCAGGCAGCGGAGGTGCTGAGAGCAAGCGAGGGCTCTGAGGACTGCCAGCACGCTGTCACCTCAGTGTGACCAATGCCCTATATTATAAATGCCATTTTTTGAATTGGAAATGATCCAGACATTCAACAAGTACTTAAAACAATTTTAAGGTTTTAAACTACACAAAAAGTTCACCCGTAAGCATTTATCTCTTACATTTACTCAATTTATTCATTTTTAGCAGTTTACCTAGATTACTCATTGGAACGAAGACATTAGACAAAGTTACTCATCATTCTGAATTATTTTTTCTGTTAAACTGTGAATGTCAGGTGTTCACCTAGGCAAGAACTTTAAAGTTAAACACATGGGCATTTTTGCCAATAACTCAGGAATTTTAGCTGTTTTCACTGACCTAACAATATTAAATTAGTCATACTTACCAAAAAATCACACAAATAAAGATCATTCTGTTTTTGGCTGGGTTTACAGACTTATGATCTTTAGGTCAAACCCTGACACCTTAAAATATCTAGCAGAGGCAAATGTAAAACTAATTGGTAAACTGAGACAAAAACGTATGCTGACAATTCAAGGACATTTCTATTTTTATTTTACCAATAATTTTAAAGCCAGATTATTTATTAAAGATTACTAAATTCATATGAACTTGAAAAGCATTTGGACTTTATGAGTACTCATTTATGTATAAGCCATTTGGTAGTATGCTAGGCATAACACATAATATATATACATACACATAAACACATTTAAGCATGTATCTATACACACAAACCAATATCCAACAGCTTTTACTTGGAACTCTAGCCATGAGACAACATCATAAATTTACTATTTTACAAAAGATAGTTGGATCAGGCCGGGTGCAGTGGCTCAAACCTGTAATCCCAGCACTTTGGGAGGCCGAGGCAGGAGGATCACCTGAGTTCAGGAGTTGGAGACCAGGCTGGCTAACATGGTGAAACCCCGTTTCTACTAAAAATACAAAAAAGTAGCTGGGAGTGGTGGCGCACCCCTGTAATCCCAGCTTCTCAAGAGGCTCAGGCAGGAGAATCACTTGAACTTGGGAGATGGAGGTTGCACTGAGCCGAGATCTCACCGTTGCACTCCAGCTTGGGCAACAAGAGTGAAACTCCATCTCAAAAAAAAAAAAAAGGAAAAAAAAAAAAGAAAAGCTAGATCCAAATTATTTTTCACAAAATTGAGACCTGTCCACAAGACTAGACTTTGTTTGCACTGATAGGTAATCCAATAAAGACTGTGGAACACAATTTTGGGTAAAGCAGTTTCTATACCAGTTTGATTTTTAAAATCCTCATTTATCCACATCCCCTTTTTTCTGTGCTTCAAATGAGTTTCATTGTTTACATTTTAGTAAGAACTGGCTGTACTGTAGAGAAAAGTAAAATCTCCGAGTGGCTTTGAATTAGTGAGTTTTATTTCAACACCAATAGCTTAATAATGGCATATTTGAGTGTTGGGGTGATCAGACCCAACACCAGGTCGTGGGGGCGACAAAGTCCTGCAGAGTCACAGAAATGAGAAAAAGACAGTTTGAGAGAGAAAGTGGGACTAAGTGGCCATCACGAGTGTGGAGGCTGCGAAGGCCCTGAGCTCTGGGAGCCCACGCTATTTATTGGTGCTCAAACAAACAGGTAGTGAAGATGTGGGGGTTGAAAGGAAATGGTGTATCAAGTGAAAGAGAAACATATGGCTACTTTAGATAATGGGAGTGCTAAAAGCAAGGAGCCAGCAAGTCTAGCAGACATACAAGTCCTGTTGTCTCCCAACACTCAGCTTCTCTCCCAACATTCGAGGCTGGGCGCAGTGGCTCACACCTGTAATCTCAGCACTTTGGGAGGCCGAGGTGGGTGGATCACAAGGTCAGGAGTTCGAGACCAGCCTGGCCAATATGGTGAAACCCCATCTCTACTAAAAATACCTGGGCGTGGTGGTGGGTTCCTGTAATCCCAGCTACTCGGGAGGCTGAGGCAGGAAAAGAGCTTGAACCCGGGAGGCGGAGGCTGTAGTGAGCTGCACTCCAGCCTGGGTGACAGAGTGAGAATCTGTCTCTAAATAAATAAATAGCATATTCAAAATAAGCAGAAACAAAAATAAAGAGAGAAATAGCTTTAGGAGACTCTACTTAACTCTATAGTTGCAGCTTAACCATTTAAAATCCGCATTTTTTTTGTTGTAATTTCCCCATCAGTTAAAAAATGTGCACAAGAAAGGGCCATACATAATAGGTAACCAGCTGGAGTCCTAAAAAAGCTGGCATGCTTTGAACTTCTGCAGGTGTTTCTATCCTTTCTCTGTTTCCTGCTCTAATGATTTCTCAGGGGCCAGCCTTATTGCAACAATAGCACATTTGCTATCCTTATCCTACTTTGATATCTTAGCCTCTTGCAATATGCGCTTAGTCCCCGCCACATTTTCTGAATATCCCTATACTTCCTCAGCAGTCCACAAAGGTTGAGCGATGGAGCAATTCCACCCCACCTGCATGTTGCCGACCACCCCAGGATTCCCCCTGCAGATGCCCTTTCCTGACTCATTGTTTGGTCTCTCAGATCCTGTTTGTGATGCCAATTGTTATGAGCAAAACTTGGGACTGTAACGTCCCCCTAAATTGGGAAGCAGCCAACAGACCAAAGAATGACTTGGACACGTACAGCTTGACAAGTAAGATGAATTTATTAGGACTTACACACAGGGTACTCCTGGATGTAGCAGGACAGCTCCAGAGATCCATGCAGCCTCCTGTCTCTAAATGGCTTTTTTTTTTTTTTTTTTTTACCAAGTCTCGCTCTGTCTCCTAGGCTCGAGTATAGTGCTGCCATCTCGGCTCACTGCAGCCTCCGCCTCCTGGGTTCAAGTGATTCTCCTGCCTCAGCCTCCCGGGTAGCTGGGATTACAGGCACCCGCCACCCCATCCTGCTAATATTTGTATTTTTAGAAGAGACTGGGTTTCACTATGTTGGCCAGGCTGGTCTCGAACTCCTGGGCTCAAGCAATCCACCCACCTCGGCCTCCCAGAGTGTGGGATTACAGGCATGTGCCACCGCACCCAGCCTCTAAACTGCTTTTAAGCTTATTTTCTGGCTATTTGTCTACTGTGTTTGAGTGATGAGACTGTTTTTCTTAGTAGGTTCCTAGATACTCTCCCGGATGTTTGGGTTCTTAGGGACACCTACTCTTTGGCTGGGCACCATGGCCTTGGCTCACCACCTGGCTTTCAGGATTCAGGCAGTGGACATACATCCTTACCTAATCTGGTGGGGGATTCATCACACTACGGAAGGGAAAAGAGGAAACCCATGAGGTGAGAGGCAGCGTGCTGGGTAGTGGAGCCTCAAGGATGCTCAGGATTTGGATGCTCAGATCTGGATGTGTCCCAGGTCCCCAATGCATCTGTGCTTCCTCCAGGTACTAGAGAAGAATGAATGCCCCTTACTCTAAAGTGAGGCAACAGAAGGTGTCAATCCTTCGAGTTCAGTTGTTCACAAAGCATAGGTCCATCAGAATCATCTGGATGACTTGTTGAAACATATTGGAACATCCTTTGGGAATTTCTGATTTAGTGGACCTGGGGTAGGGCCCAAGAATTTGCAGTTCTAACAGGTTTCCAGATTATACTGATGGTGATCCATGGACCAAATTCCAGAACCTCTTACAAGAGACCCAGCTTGTCTTGTCTGAGACTTTTGTGACTCACTGAGTCTCTGAATGGGCTCAGCATTTTCTCAGGTGCATCTCTTAAACTGTATGTTTGAAGTTCGTTAGTCACATACAGCTGCTCTTTGAAACTGTCATAAGGAAGCCAACCCATCTGGTTGTCAGAGAGCAGTGTTAAATGCTCACACAAGAGGCAAGGCTGCATAGGGTTGGGCAGCTCCAGTTGCAGAAGGAAACACCAATTTAGCATGTTTGCTTTCTTGCTTTTTTTGCCTGCTTATTTTTAGCATATCTAGTTGAGAATCCAAAACAACAACAAAAAAAGACAAGACAGACCACAGACAAATGTGTACACTTTACAAGATTCTCAAGACAACAACAGCAACAAAGTTTCTGAGTTTATGAATCTAAGTAGCATTTTACTCCCAGGATCTGAAGTTCAAGTTCTGATCCCTGTGCACCCAAATTACGTCTTTCTCCTCCAGGTAGAAAGCTATCAAAATCCAGCTTTTTCCTGGGCACGCTCTTTATAGCATATGCAGCTGACTCTTCTGCTACTGGCACACTGCTATTGGATAAAAAGAAGTCTTGGCTGGGCACAGTGGCTCACACCTGTAATCCCAGCATTTTGGGAGACCAAGGCAGGTGGATCTCCTGAGGTCAGGAGTTGGAGACCAGCCTGGCCAACATGGTGAAACCCTGTCTCTACTAAAAATACAAAAATTAGCCTCGTGTGGTGTGGCAGGCGCCTGTAATCCCAGCTGCTAGGGAGGCTGAGGCAGGAGAATCGCTTGAACCTGGGAGATGGAGGTTGCTGTGAGCCGAGATTGCACCATTGCACTCCAGCCTCAGCGATAAGAGCTAGACTCCAAAGAGCGAAACTCCGTCTTTAAAAAAAAAAAAAAAAAAAAAAAAAGTCTCAAGCGCAGAACCGTGAAAAAGCTAAAGTTGTTATACAATTGGAGAGCGAATGATTCAACATTTTGTTAATCATTGACCTTATTCTCTGTCCTACTCTAAGGAGGGCATAATGTGTGTCTCCTGCAATCGGTCATAGGAATAATGCTTAAGGTCTAAACTAGCAGAGACTTGAGTGACAAAAAACAAAGAAGGAACCTATTTGAACTGGAGAAAGAAGGTGGATGCTGCAGGATTGAGAGACTTTATGGATTTTAAAAGAAACAAAGATGGAGAGTGTCCTCAGGAAACACACACACACACACACACAGGTAGTGTAAGAGATGGATGTTGCCTTTCACCAAACTATTAAGTAGAGAAGGAGAAGCAGGAATTATGCTTGTTTGTTTGTTTTTATTTGTGGGAAGTAGGATGGTATCCAGAAGGGGATGAAGCTGTTTGGTTTTGGACAAGAATTTAAAATACTTAAAGGCAACTTCATGGAAATGTCTGATAAACATGATCTGTGGATCGGCCATTGCACTCCAGCCTTGGTGACAGAGCGAGACTCCGTCTCAAAAAAACAAACAAAAAAATAAGTTGGTAAGGATATATTTTTTTGTCCATGTTCTGTTTCAACTTATGTAGATTATTATAAATTGATGTAACCCACGTGAGAGGAAAATGTGAATATAAAAATGCAAAGCCCTAACATTTACTCACACACATACACACACATACACAAATCTTCTGAAATTTCATTATTTTCCCCTTTTCTCCCATTAAAGACAGACCTATTATTATCCAGGGACAGTGAAAATGAGAAAAGGAGAATAAAAGGGAACAAAATGGAAGAGAGGAAGCTAAGCACATATTTCTGGGTATATTTTGCAGAAGACACAGGATGCAAAGTACAAGTGGAAGAGAAAGTGGGGATGGAGCCAAAGTTGAGACAAAAAAGGGGGCAGAAATAAAAGAAGGAAAATGGAGCCAGTCAGAAATTGCCCTTCTCTGAGCAAAAGAAACTGTAGAGAATAGTTCTGAATGATAACCAGGTAAAGGAGATCAGAAATAGAGTGGGAAGCAGGTTAGGAGGCTTAACATTTTCAGGTTAGCAAGGTGAGATTTAAAAGGAGAGGAAAAAACATCTCCATGAACTCTCAGTACTTATTTTTATTTTAGAATTAGAACCCTGTGAGAAAGCTGACAATTGTATTTTAGCTCACAAAGATCTCAAACCCTAATATTGTCACTATCCAGGATCTAAACCTTTTAGCTCTGTTGTGGCCTCTCTGGAGGAAGGATTAGGACCATGAATCATGGTATCATCCACATCTGTCCTTGGGCAGTTCTAGAAGATGTCCTAAGCCCCAGGTGACCTGATTCCAATTCATTAAAAAGGTGAGCCACATATATTCTTTCAACAGTAAGTGTCCCAATGCTGATGATGAAGATGAGAAAATATCTTCCAGTAGCTTAACTTTTTTTCAGTTTCAATACTTTCAATATATCCAGTTTCAATAGTTGCATATAACTTCAAATATTTGGCTTTAATTGAAAATGTTCACCAAACTTTGAAAATGGGGAGAGAGAGTTGCACATATTATACACAATATGTATGTGTATTGCATCAAACACTTATAATGTGTCTTGTACAGGTTCCAGTTTCCAGTTATTTAAAGGGATTAAGAACTTCAAGACTGAATCTGAGTGGAGACTCTGACATATAAATACAGACTTATCCAATTGGGATCATACTGCATATGTTTTTATTATTTGCTTTATTCTCAACATTGTATTCAGAACATCTTCCCATGTTATCAAAAATTATTTTAGAACAGAGAATCCTCTTCAGTTTTTACATTTGTCCTTGTACTTGTTCATCATGGCGATATTATGTTTTGTTAATGGTTGCTGCATAGATAGGGCGCAGTGGCTGGCTCTTGTAATCCCAGCACTTTGGAAGAGACGGGTGGGTCTCTTGAGTCCAGGAGTTCCAGAGCAGCTTGGGCAGCATGGCGAGACCCCAGCTATACAAATACAAAAAAATTAGCTGGGCGTGGTGGCGCGCGCCTGTAGTCCCAGCTACTCAGGAGGCTGAGGTGGGAGGATCCCTTTAGCCCAGGAGGTCGAGGCTGCAGTGAGCCGTTATAGCGTCACTGCACTCCAGCCTGGGTGACAGAGTGAGACCCTGTCTCAAAAATAATAATAGGCTGGGCGCAGTGGCTCACGCGGTAATCCCAGCACTTTGGGAAGCCGAGGAGGGCGGATCACTTGCAGTCAGGAGTTCCAGACCAGCCATGGCCCAACATGGTGAAATCCCGTCTTTACTAAAAATGCAAAAATTAGCCGGGTGTGGTGGCGCATGCCTGTAGTCTCAGCCATTCGTGAGGTTGAGGCAAGAGAATTGCTTCCTGGAGGCGGAGGTTGCAGTGAGCCCAGATCGTGCCACTGTGCACTCCAGCTTGGGTGACAGAGCAAGACTCTGTCTCAAAAACAAAACAACAACAACAACAAAATAATAATAATAATTGCTGTATCTTTAGGCAATCTTTGCAGTTTTTGCAGTAGATGTTAAGCTACCTTTCTAAAATGCAGTGGGACATTTTGTTGTTTTTGTGTTCTGCAACAGTTTATGTAAACCTGTATTGGAATGACAAGAAGTACGATATTATTCCAAATCTTGTACTCATGCTAGTTCATATCCTATGCCACTCTGTGGTCTCTTCCTCATCAATGTCCCTTCCTCATCGATGTCCCTGGGTTCCTGAGCAAAGCCTAAAGTAAGACACTCTAAAAATTTTGACTGAATATTCGGCAATAATTTGAGCTTGGTCTTAACCCCAAAGAAAATACTATAGAAGAAAACACTAGGAAAAATAGAAGTTGATGGGATTCTTTGTTGACGAGTGTAGTGTTCAGGAAGGGAGAGATTTTGCTCGGATTTCATTGTGTTAGAATAACATGTCATTTTCAAGGAACCAAAATCATACTGTGTAATGGACAGACCGGTGTTATAGTTCTACTTAAGGGTTGGACGTTTCACATCTTTCCTATCCCATCCACACTTTTGGTGACTGTGGGGTTCCCCCCAAACACCCTATTGTTCTGTGCATTAATCCACAGCGAGCTGGTGACGCGTTTTTGTCAAGACCAAATCAAACTTGGGAAGTCTTCAAGTCAGGAATGGAAGTCACTAAGCTCCATGTAAATAAACAGTATATGTGAACTGAATAACCTACTTTGTTCCGGCCTTACGCCAACCCTGCACTTCCAACAGAACCATCTTTGAAGTTTCCTGGCCATCACTGCCCCGCTTCCAGCGTCGCCATCATTCCTTTCACACACCCCACTTGCCGAAAGTACGTTCTGTGCGCTCTCTCACCCTCCTCTTGATTGTTTTCCCTAAGGGGTGCAGCATCAGTTCAGAACTGAAAATCTCCCTATCCCACTTCTCGAAGCCATTAATCAGAGATTTCAACAGGGTTCACCGCTGATGACCCATCTAACTGCTCGTCCTCTCACAGTTTCTGACAACTGTGTATTAGTATTTGCAAGTTTTGGAAGGTGTTGTAAATAGTTTTTAACTGTTAGTGAATTTTAATTTCAAACGAGGAACTTTTTATTAAGCTGGATCTTTGAAGTCAGCACTTAAAAAGCCCCCTTCCCCACCATGTTACATTCCCTTTGTGTGCTATATAAGCATCTGTCTTTGGCGGTTGGCCGCGTGGCCTAATGGATAAGGCGTCTGATTCCGGATCAGAAGATTGAGGGTTCGAGTCCCTTCGTGGTCGTCGTTTTGCGTTCTCTGGTTCGAAAGATATTTGTTGATTCAGAGCATTTTCCCTTTTCTTGCTCCGGTCTGGCTGCCAATTAACAACTAAAGGTAGAAGTCTTATTTAACGAGTATATACGGTGTGCCTGCCCTGTGACAACTGCTTTATAAAAGAACAAAGCAGAAATAGCACTTGGCCTCAAAGAGCTTACTTTCTACTGGATCTAACAGTTGAAATCAAGCAAACGCTGGGAAGAAAAAAAAATTGTTTCCACTCCTGTGAAAAAAAGAAGTACGAGGATAAAATAAAAAAATAAGGGATGGGGACTTCTTTAGGAAGCATCCACCCTCCTGGAGGTCCTGAAGAAATGCTATTTAGCTGAAAAATGAGTATTTTTCAGGCAGAAGGAATAGCATTTGTTAATTCACTGAGAATCTGAAATCACTAAGTATTTTCAAAGTTCAGGTTGCTGAACTCTTGTGTGTATGTGTTTGGAGCTGGGGGTGGGTGGGGGCGGGGGAAGGAGTGGAAATCACTACAGAGAAAAATCAACAAAAAGGGATAAAGGGAGTTAAATTTCTGGGAACAAGATCTCTCACAGAGATTCTCTATGGCTGAGACTCTGAACATGGTTTAAAATTAGTGTTCTCCAGATTTTCACTAACTACCAAAAAAGGTAACTGTCATCACCTGGCAAATCGTCATCACTTAAGCCTAAAGGCAGAAACCACCAAAAGCTTTAATCCAAACTGAGCTGTCCTCTAGTGCAACCTGTATTAGAGTAGTCATGATAGGTTGAATTTTTGCAAGTGGGCCAATGCCATAAATTGATCTGAACATTACTGCAAAGAAAGCACAGTGAGAGCAGGATCAAGCAAGTTTTCATCATTTTTAATTGAGCTCCAGTCGCTTCTTGAGGAAAAGAAAGCTAAAATTGATTCTCAAGAACATTTGTTTCTGTGAGAATATGTGGTAACTGAATAAGAATTCTTTAAAAAGAAACAACGCAATTCCCAGATTTAACACCAACGCCAGTTAACATTTACCGAATGCATACACTGTAGCTGCACTATTCCAACTATGAGAAATATATTAATAGTCTTCTTTTACAGATGTAGAAACTGACACCTAAAAGGGTATAACACATTGCCCAACACAACTAATAAAGGGTAAAGCTGGAAACTTAACCAAAATATTAAGTTATTTCTGGAGCACAAGTCTCAATGTTTAGAACAAATTTTTATTGTTTAATGGCACGATGCAGTGTGGTAAAATATATATAACATAAAATGTCACTTTAACTTTTTTTTTTTTTTTGAGACAGAGTTTTGCTTTGTCGCCAGGCTGGAGTGCAGTGGCGCGATCTGGGCTATCTCGGCTCATTGCAACCTCTGCCTCCCGGGTTCAAGCGATTCTCCTGCCTCAGTCTCCCGAGTAGCTGCGAGTACAGGCGCATGCCACCACGCCCAGCTAATTTTTTCTACTTTTAGTAGAGACGGGGTTTCACTGTGTTAGCCAGGATGGTCTCCATCTCCTGACCTCGTGATCCACCCGCCTCGGCCTCCCAAAGTGCTGGGATTACAGGCGTGAGCCACCGCACCCAGCCCTTGTTTTGGCATTTTAAAGAGACAGGGTCTCATTCTCACTGCAGTCTTGAACTCCTGGGCTCAAAGAATCCTCCTGCCTCAGCCTCCCGTGTAACTTAAACTACAGTCATGTGTCACAACACCTGGCTAATTTTTAATTTTTTGTAGAGATGTGGGGGGCAGCATGGACTCACCATGTTACTCAAGCTGGTTTTGAACTCCTGGTCTCAAGCAATCCTCCCGCCTTGACTTCCCAAAGTCCTTGGATTACAGGCATGAGCCTCAGCCCCTCACCTTTTGTCTTTTTGAAATCGCCTATTCTAGATATTTCATATAAGTGGAGTTATACAGTACTTGTGTCCTTTCATACCTAGCCTATTTCATCACTAAGCAAAATGTTTTCAAGTTTCATCCATCTCACAGCATATACCAGCATATATCCCATATTGTATGTATATTCATTTTTTAAAATTTCTTATATTTTGATGCCTATTCTGCTTACGCAGTTTTATTTTTGTTATTTTGCTTATCTGCTCATCTGTTGATGGCTGGATTCTCCTTTTAGCTATTATGAATGATGCTGCAAAGAACATTGGATTACAAGGATCTGTTTGAGTCTCTGCTTTCAATTCTTTTGGGTATACACCTAGAATTGCTAAGTCATATGCTACACCCATGTTTAGCTTTTTAAGGGAACCACCAAACCGGTTTCCACAGTGGCTTTATCATTTTACATTCTCACCAACAATGCATGAAAGTTCCAGTTTATCCACATCTTCACCAACACTTTTTCATTGGCCATTTTCCTGATTATAGCCATCCAAGAAAGTTTGAAATGGTACCCTACTTTGGTTTTGATTTGCATTTCCCCTAGTGAATAAAGACAGAGTACTTTCCAAGTGCTTATTGCCTATTTACATATTTTGTTTGGAGAGGTGTCTATTTGAGTTCTTTGTGCATTTAAACTGAGTTGCCTTGTTGATTTTCAGTTCTAAGGTTTGGTTTTTGTTTTTTTGGATATATCTGGATGTTAGACCCTTATCAAACATGTAATTTCCAAGACATTTTCACCAATTCTATGTGCTCTTTTAACACTGCCTAATGTCCTTTGATGCACAAAAGTTTCTTTTGATTAAATTCCATTTATCATCTATTTGTTGTCTTTCAGATGGAGCTGTCACCCAGGCTGGAATGCAGTGGCATGATCTAAGCTCACTGCAGCCTCTACCTCCAGGTTCAAATAATTTTTCTGCCTCAGCCTGGTGTCCAGAATTGGTGGGTTCTTGGTTTCACTGACTTCAAACATGAAGCTGCAGACCCTCGTGATGTTATTTTTTAAAGACAGTGTGGCTGGAGTTTGTTCTTTCTGATGTTCACCCATGTTCTGAGTTTCTTCCCGCTGGTGGGTTCCTGGTCTGGCTGGCTTACAAGGAGCGAAACATGCAGACCTTCAGCATAAGTGTTGCAACTCTTAAGATGGTATGTCTGAAGTTGTTCATTTCTCCTGATGCGCTCATGGTTCTTGCCGGTCTCAGGAGTGAAACCGCAAATCTTCACAGTAAGTGTTACAGCTCACACAGGAAATACAAACCTCAAAAAGCAAGCAGCAGTAAAATTTATTACAAAGAACATAAAGAACAAGGTTTCCACAACAGAGAGATCGACTCCGAGTAGGTTATCGTGGCTGCTCCGCGCAGCCTGCTTTTATTGCCTTATCTGGCCCCACCCACATTCTGCTGATTGGTCCATTTTACAGAGAGCTGATTGGTCTGTTTTACAAAGAACTGATTAGTCTGTTTTGACAGGGTGCTGATTGGTGTGTTTACAGTCCCTGAGCTAGACACAGAGTGCTGATTGGTGCATTTACAATCCTTTAGCTAGACATAAAGGTCCCCACTAGAGTTGCTAGATTCAGAGTGCTGATTGGTGTATCCACAAACCCAGAGCTAGACACAGAGTGCTGACTGGCACATATACAATCCTCTAGCTAGCCATAAAAGTTGTCCAAGTCCGCACCCGCCTCAAGAGCCCAGCTGGCTTTGCCTAGTGGATCCCGCACTGGGGCCACGGGCGGAGCTGCCCGCCAGTCCCGTGCCACGCACCTGCACTCCTCAGCCCTTGGGCGGTCGATGGGACCGGGCGCCGCGGAGCAGGGGGCGGCGCCCATCAGGGAGACTTGGACCGCAAGGGAGCCCACGGGTGGGAGGGTCGGGGGCGGGCTGGGGCATGGCGAACTGCAGGTCCCGTGCCCTGCCCCATGAGGAGGCGGCTGAGGCCCGGCGAGAATTCGACCGCAGCGCGGGCGGACGGGCAGTGCTGGGGGACCTGGCGCCCCCTCCGCAGCTGCTGGCCCAGATGATAAGCTCCTCACTACCCGCGCTCAAGACACCAATCCGCACTAGCTCATGGTTTGTGGATGCACCAATCAGCACTCTATCTAGCTAACCTGGTGGGGACTTGGAGAATCTTTAGGTAAGGAGTGTGAATACACCAATCGGCACTCTGTATCTAGCTAACCTGGTGGGGACTTGGAGAATCTTTATGTCTTGTAGCTAAGGGTTTGTGAATGCACCTAATCAGCACTCTGTATCTAGCTCAAGGTTTGTAAACACACCAATCAGCACCTTGTGTCTAGTTCAGGGTTTATGAATGCACCAGTCAGCACTCTGTAACTAGTTAACCTGGTGGGGACTTGGAGAATGTTTATGTCTAGCTAAGGGATTGTAAATACACCAGTCAGTACCCTGTATTTAGCTCAAGGTTTGTAAATACACTTTGCGTCTAGCTCAGGGTTTGTAAATACACCAATCACACTCTGTATCTAGCTAATCTAGTGGGGACTTGGAGAACTTCTGCGTCTCGCTCAGGGATTGTAAACGCACCAATCAGTACCCTGCCAAAACGGACCAATCAGCTCTCTGTAAAATGGACCAATCAGCAGGATGTGGGTGGGGCCAGATAAGAGTATAAAAGCAGGCTGCCTGAACGGTGGTGGCTGTTTGGTTAATGCTTTCTCCACATTGTGGAAGGTTTGTTTTTTTTGCTGTTTGCAATGATTCCTGCTGCTGCTCGGTTTTTGCATGCGCATTGCCTTTGTGGGCTGTGATAATTGCTGTGAAAGTCTGCAGTTTCATTCCTGAAGCCAAGGAGACCATAAACTCACTGAGAGGAACCAATGACTCCAGACACACCGTCTTAAGAGCTGTAACAGTTACTGCCAAGATTGGTAGCTTTCCCGAGTCAGCGAAACCACGAACCCACCTGAATGGAATGAAACTCTGAACATATGCAAACATCAGAATGAACAAATTCCCCACACACTGCTCTTCAGAACTGCCACACTCACGGCCAGGGTCCATGGCTTCATTCTTGAAGTCAGTGAGATCAAGAACCCACCAATTCCTTGGCACATTAGGATCACAGGTGTTGAGCCACGGTTCCTGGATGCGTGGAGATTTCTAATAGTTGTACCTGTTGTATTTATGCTACATACTACAACATATATGTATACTATAATGTTTATAATGCCTGAACCCCACCCATAAAAATGAACATGCCATAACCTGGTCATTGTGAGAACCATAAGTGTACCCAAATACATCGTAGTAGGTAGCAATGCCCTGGCTAAAGACTACTGCGTGTTAGTACAGGTAAAGAATTAGCACAGATAAATTTTATTCAGTGCCCAAATAAAGTATTTTAAGGCTCAAGTGGGGCCAGGCACGGTAGCTAACACCTGTAATCCCAGCACTTTAGGAGGCCGAGGCGGGTGGATCACGGGGCCAGGAGATCATGACTATCCTGGCTAACACGGTGAAACCCCATCTCTACTAAAAATAAAAAAATTAACTGGGTGTAGTGGTGGGCGCCTGTAGTCCCAGTCCCAGCTGCTTGGGAGACTGAGGCAGGGAGGGGAAGGTTGCAATGAGCTGAAATCTCGCCATTGCACTCCAGCCTGGGCAACAGTGAGACTCCATCTCAAAAAAAAAAAAAAAAAAAAACTCAAGTGTTGTACTCCATAGTTTCCCTTTAATGAAAAGCTGATTGCTTTTTTGAAGAGAACTTCGTATTTTTTATCTCAGAGTTTCCTTTTAAAAGAAGCAGGCCAGGCGCGGTGGCTCACGCCTGTAATCCCAGCACTTAGAGGCTGAGGCAGGTGGATCACGAGGTCAGGAGTTCAAGACCAGCCTGGCCAAGATGGTGAAACCCCGTCTCTACTAAAAATACAAAAAATTAGCCTGGCATGGTGGCACGCGCCTGTAATCCCAGCTACTCCAGAGGCGGAGAATTGCTTAAACCTGGAGGGGCGGAGCTTGCAGTGAGCCGAGATCGCACCACTGCACTCCAGCCTGGGTGACAGAGCGAAACTCCGTCGCAAAATAAATAAATAAATAAAAAAGAAGCATATGTTAGTTTGTTTCCACAGTAAGTGAAGACAGGCCATGTCACAAAAAGACGGGGAACAACACTGGACTGTAGCTCGTAGACAAAGGAAACCTTGAGAAGTTTAACACTGTATCATAGTTTTAGACAGAACACAATAATTACATTGTTAGAACAAAGTACTTAAAGAACTGATGTTACTTTTTTTTTCTTTATTTAAGAGCATAACTTAACAATAGTCCCACTTGGTCAGGCCTATGATCCCCCCAGTCTATTACTGTATGATTCTGAAGCTGTGGGAGGAAGCAATGCCCTCCTACATATCAACTCATGAATTACATATACATCTTCAAAAGATCAGAGATTTCCATTTTAGCCATCTCGTCAATATTTCTACATAAGTTTAAAATACTTTTGTTTTCACTTTATGCCACTTCTTAAAACTGAATTTCAGCAAGTACACTATATAAGTCCAGGATTTAATTCTATTTATTTTAATTTAACTCATTTCAATAAACATTTATGGAATGCAAATGCCAATCACTATGCCAGCTACATGCATACAAAGATGAGGAAGAACCATCTGGTTCCCTTTCTCTCAATTTGTACCAACATCACTAGATCTGTGTGACAGTCTGGGAATAGGACTACACATAGTGGTCCAGGTTTTGAACAGAGACAAGAAAACAATTTATTTCTTTTTTAATTTTTATTTTAGTTTTAGTTTTAGTTTTTTGAGGAGGGGTCTCACTCTGTTGCCCAGGCTGGAGTGCAGTGGCATGAACACAGCTCACTGCAACCTATTCCTCCTGGGCTCAAGTGATTCTCCCACCTCAGCCTCCCAAGTAGCCAGGATTACAGGCCTGCACCACCACGCCTAGCTAATTTATTTTTTGTAGAGACAAGGGTCTCACTATGTTGCCCAGGCTGGTCTCGAACTCTTCGACTCAAGTGATCCTCCTGCCTCAGCCTCTCAAAATGCTGTGATTACAGGTGTGAACCACTGCACCCAGCCGACAATTGATGTCTTAATACCTTTCAACTGATACCCAGTATTTTATAAGCTTTATTGGATATAGTGAGCATCTTTTCCTGAAAGAGAGAGCAGGGAATCACAAATATTACAAAGCTCTGTTTTCACAAAGGAAGTCTCAGGAGTGAGTGACCATTTCGCCTACCCTCTGAATATCAAAGTTTTCAAACATCTACAGGCTCACACAAAATACTCTTCATTTCCCATCTAAGAGTCGGGAACTTAGAACTGGTCACTGGGTGAGACTGACCCTTTCCTTAAGGAGGATAATGACTGAAAACACATTTATTTCTGCTAAAACAAGTTCTAGCCAACCCATTTCCTGGGCATGCTCTTGACAAATTTACTAAAGTTAAGTGAGGCAAGAAGCTGCCATTCAAACATTTCAAAATTGTTATATTCAAAATATTTCCCTTCTATATCTACTCTCTAAAGGTCAATTACTAGAGAAACACAAAGTTTTACACACATTCATCAGAGGTATATATCTTTTTTCTCTGATATGGGTTTTCTTTTTAATGTCTAAAAAGGTTCTGATGGGAAATAAGACCTTCATTTTGAGTAAAGCATTTTCCATATTCAGGGCAATGAGGAAGTCTTTCCCCTGTATGAATGTTGGGATAGTTAATGAAGTGTGAGCTCTCAATGCAGACTTCCCCAAATACTTTACTTTTATAAGACTTCTCTCTTGTGTGCAGTCTCTCATACGATGTCAGGCCTCCATTGTGACTAAAGCTTTCTCCACATTCCTTAAAGTGATAAGGTTTCTCTCAGTGTGTACTCTATGATGCTTAAGAAAGAGTGGGCTCTGATTAAAAGCTTTCCCATGCATAAGATATTTGTAGGGTTTCTCTCCAGTATGTATTCTCTGATGTTTGAGATGGTCAGAATTCTGAAGGTCTTATTGCATACATTACGCTTGTGGATTTCCCTCCAGTATGAAGCCTCTGATGTTTACTAAGATCTGAGCTCCAAATGAAAGTCTTGCCACACTGATCACATTCATAGTGTCTGTGAAAATACAGCTTCTATAATGCAGGCTTTCACAGTGAAGGCCCTTCTATGCTCATCACACTTATAAGGGTTCTCCCCAGTGTGGATCTTCTGGAGATAGAGGCTAGTGTTCCCACTGAAGGCTTGCCACAAACTTTGTATTTACAGGGTCTCTCTTCAGTGTGGATCCTTTGCTGTTGAATAAGATTTGATTTCTTAGTGAAGAACTGTCTACATTCATCACTTTTACAACCCCTCTTTCCCATAAGTATTTTGTTCAGTACAGTTTTCATGACTTCTCTATGATCTCTTTTTCCTGGGGTGAAAATGTTCTCTGTCTCACCAACAAAGGATTTTCTTAGTGCCTCTCATACCTGCCCTCAGGGTCACAAATGTTTTCAATTGCAGGATTTAAGGGATCATCACTTTTCCATCTTCCCAGGAACAGTGAGTGAGATGCTACTTCTTCAGTACTTTTTGGAACCCTGAAGTCATGCTTAGCTTTCTAAACCTATACTCAGTCCAGGCATGGTGGCTCATACCTGTAATCCCAGCATTTTGGGAGGCTGAGGTAGGAGGATCACTTGAACCCAGGAGTTTGAGACCAAGCTAGGCAACATCATGAGACCCCATCTCTAAAAAAAAAAAAAAAAAAAAAAAAAAAAGCTGCTCATGGTGGTGTGTACCTGTAGTCCCAGCTACTCAGGAGGCTGAGATGGGAGGATTGCTTGAACCAAGAGGTCAAGGCTGCAGTGATTGTGCTATTGCACTCCAGCCTGTGCAACAGAGCAAGACTCTGTCTCAAAAATAATAAATAAACCTACACTCACCTTCTGAAATAAAACAACAAAAAATTATTTAAATTTCACTGCTAAATAAGAGCAGTAAGTTCTATTTCCCTTTCCTTCAACAGATTTGCAAATTTAGCTGTAAATGAAGGATTTGAACACAAACAAATTCACACTAAACTCTAGTTTCAGTGTTTCCTATCTTGTTGGCTATATGACCTTAGGCAAGTCACATAACTTTGTGCATCTGTATCTTTGCCTACAAAACATGGACAACAGTTGCAACCTCAAAGGGTTATGAAAGCACACAAAACTGTGTCTGACACACTGTAAGCATTATTAAGTGTGAGTTGCTATTGTTACCATTGTTGTCACATCTCAGTATCCCAACATGTTGCTTATCTTAAATTGAAAAGGATTAAGAAATGTTACTTGCTATTTCTACAAATTCTTTCTTGGTTATTAAAATGTCATGTAAGTAGCTTTGTAGCAAGTCTTGTGTATAGTAGTTCCTTGCTATATACCTGGTATAAAGACGAATAAGATGCCCTCTTGAAGGCCACAACCTAGAGATGTCCTTCAGTTACAAGGCAGTGTGGTAAATACTATAAGAGTGAAGCATAAGAGCTTTGGGAGTGCAAAGAAGGAAACATCTAACTGCCTGAGAGAATCAAACAGAAAGTTTTGCAGCGGAATGGTTGATTGGCGTATCTTAAAACATAAATACAAATAGTCAGAAAAAGGGAAGGCAGTAAAAGCTTTCTAGATGGAAAGTATATACATACAAAGTTATTAAGGCACTTTTAAAATGGTACTTTCAGACAGTTGAGAACAGTTTGGTCTAGCTGGAACACAGATTGAATATGAAGGCGAAAGGAGATAAAGCTGAAAATGTAAGCTACATCATGAACAGTCTTGTTGCCAGGATAATGAATTGAACCATTAACAGATGCTAAGAATGTGTGTAGGCCAGGCACGGTGGCTCACGCCTGTAATCCCACCACTTTGGGAGGCTGACGCTGGTGGATCACGAGGTCAGGAGATCTAGACCATCCTGGCTAACACAGTGAAACCCTGTCTCTACTAAAAATACAAAAAATTAGCCGGGCGTGGTGGCAGGCGCCTGTAGTCCCAGCTACTCAGGAGGCTGAGGCAGGAGAATGGCGTGAACCCAGGAGGCGGAGCTTGCAGTGAGCCGAGATCGCCTCACTGCACTCCAGCCTGGTGACAGAGCGAGAATCCGTCTCAAAAAAAAAAAAGAAGGTGTGTGTAATATTAGCTTTCAGTTTTATGCAAGTCACTATAGTGACAGTGTGAAAGATGGTCTTCAAGGAGAAAATGGACAAGACTGGCCGGGCACGGTGGCTCACGCCTGTAATCCCAGCCCTTTGGAGGCCAAGGCAGACAAATCTCTTGCGGTCAGGAGCTCAAGACAGGCCTGGCCAACATTGTGAAAACCCGTCTCTACTAAAAATACAAAAATTAGCCGGGCGTGGTGGCACGGGCCTCCCAGCTACTCGGAAGACTTAGGCAGGAGAATCGTTTGAACCGGGGAGGCAGAGGTTGCAGAAAGCCGAGATCGCGCCACTGCACTCCTGGGATTGATTGATTGATTGATTGATTGATTGATTTAGACAAAAGGTCTCTGTTGCCTAGGCTGGAGTGCACTGGTGTGATCTCGGCTCACAGCAACTTACACCTCCCGGGTTTAAGTGATTCTCCCACCTTCGCCCCCTCGAGTAGCTGGGACTACAGGCACGCACCGCCACACCCAGCTAATTTTTGTATTTTCTGGTAGAGACAGGGTTTCACCATGTTGGCCAGGCTGGTCTCGAACTCCTGAGCTCAAGTGATTCGCCCACCTCAGCCTCCCAAAGTGGTGATCCTGGGTTTTAACCAGAATAGAGGACATACCACTACCCACTTATTGAACATATTCTAAATAAGTTTTCTTATCCTAAAATATTTTATATTCCAATATTGGAATCGCCTGAGTCCAGGGTGGTCAAGGCTGCAGTGAGCTATGATTGTGCTACTGCACTCCAGCCTGAGTGACAGAGTGAGACCCTGTATAAAAAGGAAGGAAGGAAGGAAGGAAGGAAGGAAAAGAAAAAAAATTATAGAAAATAGATTGTCGGTTGCCTGCAGGTTGGGGGAGGCTGAGAGATGGGGAGTGACTGCTAAGGAGTATTTTTTTTTACCTTGAGGTGATAAAAATGTTCTAACACTGATGGTGATAATGTTTGCACAACTCTGAATATTCTAAAAGTGATTGAATTGAATTGAATGGTGTGTAAATTATATCTCAATAAAGCTGGTAAAAATTTAGTGATTCAATAAAATCCTTTATTTGGTCAATGTACGGTATTCTGTCAGTTGAGACAAAAGTTAACATTCGAATTTAGATTTAGATTTTATATCTTCAGCTTCTTCTATCTAGAAAAGGCATTCACTAGTAATTATTAGGATGATTGTGCATTGTTATGTACAGATAACCGCAGTGACTTATCTGATAGTCCTTTAACAGACAGGAGTACTAGTGTAGTTACTTTGTTTTTATGTAACTAGGTAGGTCTTATGTAATGTCTTATTTGTCTGAATGAAAGATTATTGTGTCTTTAGCAGAGGAAAAGAGATAATCTCTCCGCACTGAAGATTATTTTAATGAGTAGTATAAGTAATGATATACACAAAATGGGAAATTATCTTGGCCTTAATGAACCATGTATTCTACATATAGAGTATAGAATACATGGCTTCTGTAAATAAAAGTTTCCAGTATTGGAATATAAAAAAATTTAGGATAAGAAAACTTATTTAGAATACATTCGATAAGTGGGTAGTGGTATGTCCCCTATTCTGCTTAAAACCCAGGATCACCACTTTGGGAGGCTGAGGTGGGCGAATCACTCAAGGTCAGGAGTTCGAGACCAGCCTCGTCAACATGGTGAAACCCTGTCTCTACTAAAAAATATAAAAATTAGCCAGGTGTGGTGGTGCACGCTTGTAGTCCCAGCTACTCGGGAGTCTGAGGCAGGAGAATCCTTTGAACCTGCGAGGCAGTGGTTGCAGTGAGCCAAGACAGCGCCATTGAACTTTAGCCTGGGTGATACAGCAAGACTCTGTCTCAAGAAAGAAAGAGAGAGAGAGAGAGAGAGAAAGAGAGACAGAAGGAAGAAAGGAGAGAAGGAAGGGAGGGAAAGAGAGAGAGAAAGAAGGAAGAAAGGAAGGAAAGAAGGAAGGAAGGAAGGAAAGAAACGCAATTTAATTCAGTTCAACTGCAGTTGAGCATTTGTGGGGGTGGGGGCGGGGTTGGGATGAGGGGTTGGAGACAAGCCCAGGCTGGTCTTGAACTCCTCGCCTCATGTGATCCTCCCTCCTCAGCCTCACCCAAGTGCTGGGATTATAGGTGTAAACCACCGTGCCCAGCAGGACAGTCAAGAAAATTGAAACTGGAAAGTACCTTGGCCTTTTACCCCAAATCTACACAATTTTACACAGTGGCAGTGCTTTTTCCTCTAACGCTATAATAGAATTCTGCAGGAGAATTCTTTCAGGGAGTTCACCTTTTGTTTTATTAGAGAGCTAAGTAACCTTGGGAGGTTGGGCTGACTTTGGAAGCTTCTGGAAATAAATGGGGGTTTAACAGATATTAACTTCATCCCGCCTTACAGATAAATGCCATTTTACTTTGAAAAGCAGTAGGTGGGGGTAGGGGGCGAGAAATAGAAAATTCCATCAGTTTGGTGAAAGCTTTTAGAGGATAACGTACTCTGTTCCATGAAAGAATCAGAAATGTGAGCAATGCAGGGAGAAGTAAGGTAAATCCAGACAAGCAGGATGGATTCCAGATGAGAAACCATATCTTCCATAGTGAATTTTGAAATGAATTTAAAATCTCCTATTATATAATCTGCAGTTTACTTTGTTTTCTTGTTGGAGAAAGTGGTTTTTGGAGTCCAAGTATGCAGAGGGCACCTAGGATTCCAGAGTTAATGGGACTGAAGAGAAAAAAGCGTAACCTGACCCAGATTCTGCTGCTCACCGCTCCAAAGCCAAATGCTAGAGGGGAGGTTTGGTGGGAGGAAAAGCTGCTTTTAATCCGAAAGCCAGCAAACTGAGAAGATGGAACACTAGTGTTCTAAAGTACCACCTTAAAATTTAAATTTTACCATACGGTTTTTGTGTTTTTGTTTTTTTGTTTTTTGTTTTTTCCTGTGACAGAGTCTCACTCTGTTGCCCAGGCTGGAGTGCAGTGGTGCAATCTTGGCTCACTGCAACCTCCACCTCCCGGGTTCAAGTGATTTTCCTGCCTCAGCCTCCTGAGTAGCTGGGATTACAGGCATCTGCCACCACACTCAGCTAATTTTTGTGTTTTTAGTAGAGACAGGGTTTCACCATGTTGGCCAGGCTGGTCTCGAACTCCTGACCTCAAGTGATCCACCTGCCTCGGCCTCCCAAAGTGCTGGGATTACAGGCGTGAGCCACCACTCCGGGCCTACCATAGGGTTTTATTTATTTATTTATTTATTTATTTATTTATTTATTTATTAATTATTTTTTTTGAGACGGAGTCTCACTCTGTTGCCCAGGCTGGAGTGCAGCGGGCAATGTGGGCTCACTGCAAGCTCCGCCTCCCGGGTTTAGGCGATTCTTCTACCTCAGCCTCCCGAGTAGCTGGGACTACAAGCACCCACCACCACACCCGGCTAATTTTTTGTATTTTTTAATATTTTTAGTAGAGACGGGGTTTCACTGTGTTAGCCAAGATGGTCTCAATCTCCTGACCTCGTGATCCGCCCGCCTCGGCCTCCCAAAGTGCTGGGATTACAGGCCTGAGCCACTGCACCCGGCCAGCAATATTTCTTCTGTAAAAGAAAAGAATAAGTGTTCCACATGGAAAGAACCCAAGATATATTAAGTGAAAAATGTCATAGCATGACTACATTTCTGTTAAAAAAAAAAAACAAAATGTTATATATATATGCGAATGCAGAGAAAAAAGAAATGTAAAAAATACAATAAATTTTTCACGGTGATTACATTTGCGAGAGGAACGTACAGCTTTCATATTTCATTCAATGGTTAAAATGGTACTCAATTTTGACTGACAAAACGGTAATGATCAGATGCCAAAACGAGTGTGAATGTGCATAATTTACGAAAGACATTTTTGAGAACTGGTTACATGAGTTTTGAAAATAGGAGAGCAGAGGACCTGTGTAAGATTTTTAAAGAGACTGCACTGTCACGAGCCACAGCGTTGTGAGATTGGTAGGAAAGTGCTCCAGGAAATATCTAGGGGAGGGCTTGGATCTGAGACACAGAGTGTGAGCCTGGTCGAGAAGCGGGAAAAGAACCCGCCCAGAGCCCCTTCTCTCCATTCCCTCGGCGAGGCAGGAAGCTATCTGCGTTCCGAATCCCGCGACATCAGGATTATCTCGCACTGCAGCACAGAGACCAATCGCTAGTAACCTCTGCCTTTAATTAGGCGTTTTTTGGCCCAAATCTCGCGGCTTCGTAAAAATATCGCGATGCTTCCGCTTTTAATGTTTTTAGTTTGGACAAGCCCTTTGAGATAAATTTAAAAGCCAATTCTTTTTTTTTTTTTTTTTTTTTGAGACGGAGTGTCGCTCTGTCCCCAGGCTGGAGTGCAGTGGCGCGATCTTGGCTCACTGCACGCTCCGCCTCCCGGGTTCACGCCATTCTCCTGCCTCATTCCCGAGTAGCTGGGACTACAGGCGCCCGCCACCACGCCCAGCTATTTTTTTTGTATTTTTAGTAGAGACGAGGTTTCACCGTGTTAGCCAGAATGGTCTCGATCTCCTGACCTCGTGATCCACCCGTCTCGGCCTCCCAAAGTGCTAGGATTACAGGCGTGAGCCACCGCGCCCGGTACCTAAAAGCCGATTCTTAAAAATATACGTTGGTAATTGTTTATGCCTACTGCTGAGATCAGGATATCTCTAAAGTAAGGAGAGGAAAAAGAAAAGTATGTGTCAGAAGTGGGATTCGAACCCACGCCTCCATTGGAGACCAGAATCCCCACCGCGGAGGAAGCTTAGCTTGAGTCTGGCGCCTTAGACCACTCGGCCATCCTGACACACTGCATAACAGCCCTGATTTTTGCACTAAAATAGAGATCAACAAGCAATGATTCTGTGTCGTGCACGCACGCAGAAACGCGATGACGTCAGGGTTGCTTGGTAACAGAAGGGCAGAAAGCCACTTGTGGATTGAAAAAGCAAAAGGGTTCGCAGGACTAGAAAATGTTTCTGCATAAAACTGGATCAAGTCTCTTACGGGCCTTATAACTGTTATCGCCATCTCGAAAAACGTGTGCGGGTTTTTTTTTTTTTTTTTTTTGCTCCCAGCCTGCCCAGATTTCAGGAAGGAAAGAAGATCTTTTGCTTCTTCGGTCGCTGGGTCGGCTCTCCAGTGTCTGATGTTTACTGAAATCTTGATCGTGGTTAGCCTCCCCCAGGACTTCATTGTTTGGAAGATGGTGAGGAACAAAACAAAACCCTAACAAAAGACCCCGGTTCTATAGGAAGGTCCCCTTTTAGCCCCTCTATTTTGGTTCCATTTGTCACTGCCTTGCCACTCGTCGAAGTTTGTCTTGGGCTCTAAAAGTGGTAGCCGGGAACGGCTGGGAAGGTCTCCACAGGGACCACCACATGGGCAAGGCTGGTGTCCGCGCCGAGGGATCGGCGATCCCAGGTCCGGGGAAACTCCGCGAGCGACGCGCTCGCCCGCGGCCTTCCTTGTCGCTCTCGGATGTTCCCGATTAATGGGCTCCAAGTGACCACTGCCAGGTCGGGGAACACAGCGGTAGTTTTTAAGGGGAGTGCACCACATCGCCTGATCCACTTTTCTGTTTCTCAGCCTTCGCCAAGCAATCTGAGCTCCAGGCCGGGAAGCCCCAAGGTCACAAATTTTAATGGAGCCCTGAAACTAAACAGAAATCATCCCTCCCACTAGAACAAGAGCCCCTAGAGGCCAGCGACACCGCTAAAATAACATGTGTAGACCAATGCCGTCCAGGTAACAGTGCCTGGCAAACACGGTAGAGGTTCAATAAATACATTTTAACTCAACCGTCTTAACTCTTGTATTTGGGGCTGTGAGGTTCAGATAGAGGAAATATAAAGTTGGATATTTTAATTAGATTTTGTCCTAATAGCTTACTTTTTGTATTTGTTAATATAAAAAAAATTTCCTTTTTGTAAGGCAAAGTTAGGTCTCTTTTCTGCATGGAGAAATAACTGAGTTTCAGTAGGCTCTATCTTAATTTCCACAGACTTCCTTGGTTTCATATCCTATTTTTGATAGAGAGAAAATTAGTAGTGAGAAGTACAGTGAACACTGGTTCCCCAGTCTCCCTCCAATACATGAGATTTGTATATTTTCTTTCGATTGGAAGGAAATTGTCCAGGAAGTGATTCCCAACATGGCAACTGTAATCTTACCCTAACTATAATTATTTTTTTCTAATTGCAAAGTACACACAAATTGTAGAACATACAAACATGTCAAAAATTAAAATCATCCATAATCTCACTAGTCAGAGGTAACTATTAACATTTTTATATATTTAGTCTTTCATATGGTATACATTTTCCAAAAATGGTCATGTGTAGTAAATAATTTGCTAACTTGCTTTCTAAATGAATATATTATGAATATATACTTGCTAAGTACTATATTTTGCATAAATCTTAATTCCTGCACATATTCCATATCAAAGTGGTATTCTTGAAAACTGGATTATTTCTAATTTTTTATTTTCATCAGCAATGCTGTAAAAACTATCCTTACATAAATATTTTCAAACATCCACGATTATTTCCTTAAATTTCTAAAAGTGAAACCATTACATCAAATTTTTTTTTTTTTTTTTTTTTTTTGAGACGGAGTCTCGCTCTGTCACCCAGGGTGGAGTGCAGTAGCACGACTTGGCTCACTGCAACTTCCACCTCTCGGGTTCACACCATTCTCTTGCCTCAGCCTCCCGAGTAGCTGGGACTATAGGCGCCCGTCACGACGCCCGGCTAATTTTTGTATTTTTAGTAGAGACGGGGTTTCACTATGTTGGTCAGGCTGGTCTCGAACTCCTGACCTCTTGATCCGCCCGCCTCAGCCTCCCAAAGTGCTGGGATTACAGGCGTGAGCCACCGCGCCCGGCCTACATCAATGTTTATCCAGTTTTTGTTTGTTTGTTTTGACGGAGTTTTGCTCTGTTGCCCAGGCTGGAGTGCAGTGGCATGATCTTAGCTCACAGCAACCTATCTCCCAGGTTCAAGTGATTCTCGTCTCAGCCTCCCGAGTAGCTGGAACTACACGCATGAGCCATCACACTCAGCTAATTTTTTTTTGTATTTTTAGTAGAAACAGGGTTTCACCATGTTGGTCAGGCTGGTCTCAAACTCCTGACCTCAAATGATGTGCCCGCCTCGGCCTCCCAAAGTGCTGGGATTACAGGCGTGACCCACCGCTCCTGGCACATTTTAATAGGTAACAAATGATATAGCGCCCCCCCTTTTTTTTCTGATTTGATTATTAGTGAGGTCCAATATTCATGTTTAAAGGATTTTTATACTCCTTCCTCAGTAAATTGCTTACCAAATTTTTATGAGGTGTCCATCTTTCCTTATTGATTTGTAAGACTTATTTTATGAAAAGTAAACTCTTGGGATACAGTTTCTATTTACCAAGAACCCAAGCAGAAATTCCTATCTCTTATTAACAAGAATCCCATTATGTCCCTTAAACATTTAGTTACTTCCATCTTACAGAAACTAGAAGCTATACAATTAACAATGTTCCCATGTCAATTTTTAAAACCCAACTGTGGCCCACATTTAGTGTCCTCGTAGTTTTCATACTATAGATTCACTTCTAATCCTGGTCATTTTTTGTGCCATCTTTTTTTTTAATGAGACGGAGTCTCGCACTGTCACCCGGGTTGGTGTGCAGTGGCGCAATCTCGGCTTGCTTCAAGCTCTGCCTCCCAGGTTCAAGCAATTTTCCTGCCTCAGCCTCCCAAGTAGCTGGGACTACAGGCTCGTGCCACCATGCCCAGTTAATTTTTGTATTTTTAGTAGAAATGGGGTTTTTCACTATGTTGGCCAGGCTGGTCTTGAACTCCTGACCTCGTAATCTGCGTGCCTGGGCCTCCCAAGGTGCTGGGATTACAGGCGTGAGCCACCGCGCCCGGCTGTGCCGTATTTTTTCTTTCTTCCTTTATGGCATGTTAAACTCCTGATGTCTTGATTTTATGGGTTTGTTTTGGTTTTTTTTGAGATGGAGTCTTGCTCTGCTGCCCAGGCTGGAGTGCAGTGGTGCAATCTTGGCTCACTGCAACCTCCGCCTCCTGGGTTCCAGCAATTCTCCTGTCTCAGCCTCCCGAGTCGGGATTACAGAAATGCACCACCACACCTGGCTAATTTTTGTATTTTTAGTAGAGATGGGGTTTCACCATGTTGGCCAGGCTGGTCTTGAACTCCTGACCTCAGGTGATCCGCCCGCCTCAGCCTTCCAAAGTGCTGGTGTGAGCCACCGAGCCCAGACATGATTTTATGTTTTAAATGGCTTTAAGTCCTTTTTGGAATAAGGTAAAATATAATTAAATATGTCAATATTTTAACTATTTACTAATAATATTTATTGCACAATAAGACTCCCCACAGGCCATTCTACATTTTTATGAAAACATCTGTAAGAGGAATTTTAAAAGGCCTGACAAATTATTTAAAGAGGGAAGCAGAGGGACTAAAAAGGAAAGAAGCTAACAATGGCGGTCTATGAAAATGAAATAAACAAAACAAAAAAACAGGATTTAATTTCCAACCTTGAAATGAGTCCCTTGACTGTTTTGTTTGAGGTTCATATAACTTGGTTTTCTGGTATGTCCAGGATTACGTGAGAGTAACAGAGATTGGGGTGGAAATTGAGATGATGCTGTATTCAAATGAGACTGACCATAAATTGGTAGTTGAAGTTGGGAGATGATATAGGAGGGTTCGCTGTGTATTTTCTTCATTTTTGTATATGGTTACAGGTTTCCATAGTGAAGAGTTCATTCAATACAGAAAAAAAAAAAATCACCAAGTCTCATCAAAAGCATCTATGCTAATATTTTGGCATATTTCTTCCCAGTTTTTAAAGAAATATGTAGGTTCAAATCTTTCTAATTCTCACTTTTTTCTATTATTCTTTTTGTGCATCAGAACCCTAAAATGGGTTTGGCAATCACATCCCATACAAATCCAAGTTCTTCACATCCTCTAAACAAAGAATCTGGTAGAGATGTGTGTATCTCTAAAGGTTACCTTCAAATGTCCTGCTTACATTTCAAACTTCAAATGCAAAATTAATTCAACAGATAAGCCAGATCTAAGAAATGTATCTTTTCTCCAACGGGAAAAAGGAAATGTAATGGGGCAATACTGTCAAATGGAAGTACTATTTGGCCTGGCATGGTGGCCCATGCCTGTAATCCCAACACTTTGGGAGGTTGAGGAGGAAGAATCCCTTGAGCCCAGGAGTTCGAGCCTGCAGTGAGTAATAATCTTGCCACTGCATTCCAGCCTTGGTGACAAAGTGAGACCCTTTCTCTAACGCTGGTTTGGTTGGGATTTATTATTACTCTCACAGACTTCATATAGGAGGAATTTCTGGTTTCAACAAAGTGCAGGATTTAGTAATGTGCTTATATCATTAAGTCAAAATTTAGTGCAGGACGGAGCTAGTGGGCAAGTCTCTTAGTCTCAAGAAAAAGGGCACTAAGAAACATAGCCCAGGCATTTAGGCTTCCTCTTACATTACTGTGGTCTGCAATGAGGTCTCCTGGAGCACAAGTTTCACTTCTCCCCAGATCATCTTTAGTTGTACTCTACATTTTTTCACGTTATTTTCCCCCTCTCCTAATTAACTTTTCAAAGGATAGAAGCCATGCTCTCTTGTATTCTCTTCAGGAGCAAGTTCAGCTGGGGCACCCAACACTGGCTGAATTGTCTATTTGAATAAAAGAATGTTTTTCATTTGTGAAGAAGCAACTCAACCACCATTGGTATGCTAAGAACCTTTTGAGTTTTGTTTTTTATTTTGCTGGGAGGAGATACGTGATTTCCACGTATACTCTTTGGTCTGCATCTCAGGTAACTAAAGGAATTAGCAAATGGCTCTCATTTACCATCTGACAGTTATTTGCTCTTAATTTCATAGTGCCTTTAAGTGTTAGGCTGTTACATGCATTCTCTCATCTTCTCACTTAATTGTACATGGTGGAGGGTATGGGCCATGTTCAGTTTCCCTTTATTCTTTGAACCTATCTCTTCTAGGCCTTGTCTGCTCTTGGGGAAGATGGTCTTCTTTGCATGTTGGCCTTTATCAGAAAAAACAAGAGCACCTGAAGACACACAGGCATGTGCACATACGTGCATGCACAAACACACACTTCCTGGAACAGCAAAAGAATTAAGGAAGAAGTTATTGAAACCGTAATGTATAATTAACAATTGCAGATGTTCTGAGGAAAGAGAGGGGAGTCAAAGGAATCGGAGTGGGCCCCATATGTCTTTAGTGACTCAATTCCTGACTCGGTGAACTCAAAAGTTGCTTACCTTTCTGCAGATGAGTAAACTTAGAATCACAAGTTCATTTAATCCCATTCAAAATGGCAGGCTTTTAAAACTAAAAATATAAATAAATACCTATAAACACACCACCCACAAGAACTAGAAGATAACCAATAACACATGTTGTGGGGCAGGACCTGATGTGGTCATGTGTTCCATCTCAGTTTGAATCCTGGCTCTGCTGCTTCCTAGCTGTGTACCTTGGATAAGTCATTTACCCTCTCTGCTGCAGTTTATCTGTAAAGTAAGACAACAGTACACACTTGATAAAATTATCATGAGCATTAAGGAAGCTACTGTGCATAAAACTCTTCATATGATGTGCCAAGCACTGCTCTATGTTTGTTAGTAGTATTTATGTGCCTGTATATATATTACCGTATACATTTAGATCTCAGAATATTCAGCAAAAGCTAATCTAGCCTCATGGAAGCTACTTTCTATAGCCCTGGTTCTATTATTTCCCTTAAAACCTGATGAATAAATGAAGAATTAGGACATGATATCACCAACTCATGAACCTCAGCCATGGAACCCCAATGCCTGGCACAATACTACAAAAAGGACTTGAGAAAATACTTTCCTAGTAAAATTACAGGATTAACCAATATAAGAACTGTAGGCAGGCCGGGCGCGGTTGCTCACGCCTGTAATCCCAGCACTTTAGGAGGCCAAGGCAGGTGGATCACAAGGGTCAGGAGTTCAAGACCACCCTGGCCAAGATGGTGAAACCCCGTCTCTACTAAAAATAAAAAATTAGCCGGGCGCGGTGGTAGGCGCCTGTAGTCCCAGCTACTCAGGAGGCTGAGGCAGGAAAATCGCTTGAACCTGGGAGGCAGAGGTTGCAGTGAGCCGAGATCGTGCCACTGCACTCTAGACTGGGCGACAGAGCAAGACTCCACCTCAAAAAAAAAAGAACTGTAGGCTATGAATGTCCAACACTACTTTCTTAGCACCACTAGAAAGTAGTGACATGGCACTGAGAAAGTGGTTTTATTTTCCAGTTTGAAGTAAACTATTGGCCAGAGTGGGATTTTTGCACCCATATGGGAAAGCAACACCATTAACCATTTCCTCCCCACACGCATTCCAACATCTGAACCCAATCCTACCAACACCCAGAAAGCAACAACAATGTAAACATCCATATTCAGTTTATTTTTAAACAGAGGGGCACGTACCCACAGAGAAGCAGGACTGAGAACCATCATGGGGGCTTGCTTGAAGTGATCTGCCCCAGCCTTCTGACTTCAGAGTGTCTCATGATCCAATGGCCATGGGGACGGAGCTGCCCCTTGATAGGATGCACTTAAGCATGGTCAATTCCCCCTTCCCCCAAAGGAAATGGAGAAAAGGAGCCAAGAAGTCAATGAATCCCTGGAATATTGTCCCAGAATCCTTCCAGGGATGGTATACGACTGGCCACCAGTCCACAAATGTGACTGGTAAGGGATCTAGTAACAGAGGATGGAGTTGGGCAGAATATTATCCTGGATGATATGCACCCAGCACTAGAATACACCTTTCATTAGAATGAAGAGAACAGACAAAGCCCTCAGAAAAGATACAAAGGCAGAGACATTGATTAGAACATTATCTCATAACAGAGGTGGGGCCATTACCCACCATTATTGTAAAATAACTGTAACTAACCAAAACACATACAGGCTTCTTTAATGGAGTTAATAAAACTATGGCACATTGGGAATCAGGGGCAGAGGTACTGTTCCCAGACGGAAAACTGGGATAAAGGGAGCCATGCTGACAGGGCCTTATTCCAGTCTAGGTTGTTAGAAAGGAGCCCTAGCCCAGAAATGACAGCAAATAGCCATAATCATTATGTGGGGCTGAACCAGAGGAAGCCAGGCTGAGCCAAGAAGCTGGAAGTATCTTGAACGGCTCTCCAAATCCAAAGATTATCCATACTCTTTATCCCTCCAGCGATGTGTAAAACCAGAAAGTATGAAACACTGGAGGTGGACATCTGGTTTTTATTTCTAGGATATCTTGATACATCTCATTACATTTCACAATCTGCATGGGAAGGAAAAGGATGGTAGAGAACATGGACATCCTGTCTCCCACTGCAAGGGCGTGGAACATGGTAAGGATACCCAGCTGTGACAGGACGTGGCAAGGCAACAAGATGCCTTGTGCCTGGCGTAGGATTACAGCCAACAGCCCTTTTGGCCTGAATTCACCTCCTCAAGGGGAGGTCTCCATGGAATGACCATGATTCCCAACATGGCCAGAAAACCCATCTATCCCACTCATGGGGCAGATGATCAGAGGAGCTGCACTTTTCCCTCCCGAGTAACTCAGACTGAAGTAGGGCCGGACAGGCCCACAAAAGGTAGCATGAGAGAAAGTGAAGGTGTGACACCTCTCTGTCACGTTGTAGAAGGAGACCTCACCAGCATCATAGTCCAAGAAAATCCCCACCCGCTGGAGCGGGGTCCGCAGGGGTAGGGCAGTCATTGGGGAGGTAAGAGCCCAATATTCTTTCCCATACCACAAAGACACTGCCCAGAATCCATTCTGGGGGGCTGAGGTTACTCCACCTTTTCTGCACACTGAGTCTTCACAGACACCTATGGTCCACTTGGCTTTATCTCCCACCTCTACCTCCCAATAATGTCTCCCGGCGATGAAGCATGGAGAGCCCAAGACACAGGGAAACAGATTGAACCTCTCGGGGTTGTCAGGCAGGTCCTGTTGGAGGTAACTGTACCGCACTTGCCGCAGATTATCAGAGAGGATCAGGCTGGGGTAGGCCGTGTCTGGGTCCAGAGTCACGTCCACTGTAGAGACACAAGGAAGACAGTCAGCCGTGGGCCAGGAGAGCCTATTTTAGAACACCCAGCGCCTTTCTACTACCTCCCCAATAATAAGAGGTTCCCACTGGAGGTTGCACGTATTTTATTTAGAATATATTCTAAACTTCACATTTCAAAAATTACTGCTTGGATTAGCTGGTTACCAGAATACTCTGAAAATACAGAATTTTAGCCCCGTATCTTTTCTTTCACATCTGAAGCCACAATATCCATCATGAACTGATTTTAAGAGATAGGGTCTTGCTCTGTTGCCTAGGCTGGAGCGCAGTGGTGTGGTCATAGTTCATTGTAACCCCAAACTCCTGGGCTCAGGTGATTCTCCCGCCTAAGACACCCAAGTAGCTGGGACCATAGGTGTGCACTACCACCCTAATTTTAAAAAATTTTTTGTAGAGATGAGGTCTTACTATGTTGCTCAGGATGGTCTCGAACTCTTGGCCTCAAGCAATCCTCCCACCTCAACTTCCCAAAGCAATGGGATTTCAGGCATGAGCCACTGTGCCTGGCAGATACGCTGAATTGAGGTTTTCTTACACGCTCATCATCCCTTATTCTGAAAATTCCAGGGGCCCCAAGTTTCATAGAATTCAGAATATTACAGGTTTTAGACAGGCAGCATTCTATAATGAAGTATTAATAGATCTGCTGTGAGATTCATGAATGTTTACATAATGAAGGATAAAGGCTCTAAACAGTACCACATAAATTCAGGTTTTGATGCTATAATTAATTTCCCACAAAATAATGAAAAAGGTTTTGGCTTTCAGAGATTTGGGATTTTAGAACTGTGGGTAAGGGACTGGGAACCTGTATCAGTATGCTTACTTTTTAAATCACTCTTTTAAAATTATTTTTTACTTTTTTTTATTTTTTGAGATGAGGTCTCACTCTGTCACCCAGACTGTAGTACAGTGGCATAATCATGGCTCACTGCAGACTTCCCATTTCAGCCTTCCAAAGTGTTAGGACTACAGGTGTGAGCCACTACACCCAGCCCAAATCACTCTTTTATCCATTCTATAAGATCTTTACTCTGCACATCGAAGCTCTATTCATCTTCTTCTAATGTCCAGTCCAAAACACACATCCTCCAAGTTTTTCTTAATCTGCCCAGGCCATTACACTTACTGTTCTGAAATCTAAAACTGTGTATGACCCATGTCATCTCCTCTGGCATTTAGTATTACAGCATCTTGCTATCATCAAGTGTTTTCCTGCTTCAAAAACACTGATAATGGGCTGGATATGTGGCTCATGCCTGTAATCTCAGCACTTTGGGAAGCTGAGGCAAGAGGATTGCTTGCATACAGGAGTTTGAGACCCTGTCTCTACAAAAAATAAAAGTAAAAAAATTAGGCAAGCATGGTGGTGCATGCCTGTAATTCCAGCTACTCAGGAGGCTGAGGCAGGAGGATCACTTGAGCCCAGGAGTATGAGGCTGCAGCAAGCTATCACCATGCCACTGCACACCAGCCTGGGCAACAGAGAACCTGCCTCTAAAATGAATAATAAAAAATTTAAAAAATTAAAATAATAAATAAATAAATAAAAATACTGATATGTATTCTCTCATTTGCTCCTCACATCTTGTTCAGGAGGAAGAGTCCCAAACATTACCTCTCAGAAATTTAAGCCCACAAATTTTTACTCCCACAAAAGACAGGCAACTGATAGAGGTAACCAAGAACCCCAGAACCCTTGGCTCCTGGTTCAACAATCTGTCTACAACAGCTGCCTACCTTCTTCTTGTGTCATGGGTATACCTCCAACCAGACAATGTAAACCCCAAGAGTAGGATGACTTATGCTCTTCTGTTCCTCTAAAATACCCTGCACAATGTTAGGCAGTGTAGGATACAAGCAAAGTACTCATTTAATACTTGTTGAAAATAAATATGGATCAGAGCCACTGCACACCAAGGACTGCAGATCCACTGTATGTAGAGTCCTTCTCTTCATTTAGAGGATAATTCATAACAGAAGGTGACTGTGACTATGGGACGAATACACCTTAGATTTGAATACTTCTGCAATGTTAAATTTACCCAGGCTCTATAGTAGGGTGAAAGCGGTTGTGAGGGGGAAGGGAAGTTTCAAACTTTGCTCTGAGGCACAGTGATGGGATGACACAAGACTCCTAGACTTCCTCTAGCACTCAAGAGCACTATTGTGGAGCTCAATCAGTCCTGCTTGTCACAAACCATGGTTTGACCCTGAAGCTGGGCGGGCAGAGCAGTGTACTAGTGTACCAGCTCTGTTCTACTTTTGGGGAACTGCGGTTTCCACCCTATAATCCTTCTTTAACACCTGAGATTGATTTTACCCTATGGCTTCAGCTCTGAGACATTTCAGGAGGCAAAGATACTGTTAACACATAGAAACAACTGAGGATTTTTGTGGTTGTTGTGTATCATCTTTATACATGTAACCAAAAGAATCCAAATCTAAGCAATTTCCAAATCATTCATAATAGTAGTTAGGTTCACAAGGATTTTTACTCCTTACCCTAATATGGTTTTGTCTCTCATCACCTACCTGAGTATAACTGAGCCTCTCTTAATTCTGAAAGAATAAAAGAGCAAAGTTATGGAAGTCATGAGGGTTTCCAGGAAATACATAACTAAGGGGGCTTTGGTTAGTCATCATAAAGCAGTGGTCTCCACCAGAAACCCCAGAACCTCTGTTGTTAGTCATGCACTAATTTTTTCATATGATGTATGGCTCTATCATCCAACCAAAAGCTTTAAGGGGAGAGGGATTGGGAATCTTAAGTACAGGGATAACCACATGCCTGAGACTGGTAGAATATGGGATAAAACTGAGCCAAGATCAAGAATTCCACCTTCCAGTGAGTCAGCTGATTCTGCAGAGGGAAACGCGGTTCCAACCCCACGTCATACATAACTTTTGAGTTGCATAAGTCATCTGTGTACAAGAGCTGAATGGCTCAAGTGACACTCACTGACACTCTGGGGTAAACATGACCATTCATTTATAAGGCACTTTATAGTTGAAACAGAATTTCTCACACATTATCCCACTAAGACTTTTAAGTGGCAAGAAAAGAAGAGCCAGATCAAGGAAAGTCATGCCTGAACTAACCACTTCTGGTATTATCCACTGTATTGAGTGGAGTTTCTCCCCATTTGTCTTGCTTGTAGAGGACATGTATCTGCTAGCTCTATGTTGCTAGATGCCCCAAAAAGTATATATCTGAATAGATGCAATGCATATATGAACCCAGCATATACAAAATAGAAAATTATCAAAGATTGTGGGGGTTTGTAATTTCTAATAATTAAGAGAAGGGTTTACCTACATATAAGGATTTCAGAATCCACCAGACTGCCCAGGAATTTTAGTATTCCTGGGTGGAATAATATATGGCCAACTCTTTACTGAATGTGGCTCGTGAGCAGAAAAATTTTAATTTGGAAAAGCTTCTCCAAATGCCTAGAACGATTTAATAAACATAAATATAGGACTTATTATGTGTCAGGTTCTATTCTAGAAGTGTTAGAAATGGTAACTAACCTTAATTCTTATACCTCAGGAGGTAAGAACTATTACTGTTCTGTTACAGATGAGGAAATTACTTGTTGAATCCTTACTAAGTGGTAGAGGCAGGCCCAGAACCCAGGCAGCCTGACTCCTGACTGCCCGCTCCTAACCATGTCCCTGGCGGTGCTGCCTGTCAGTGCTGCTGGATTCCTCCAGCCCGAGCTGGCACCTGTGCCCACAAGCAGTAGGAACTCAGTAAATTACAATGATAAACACTGGCTCAAGTGAAACGTATCCAAGGTAGTTTTTGTTCATTCTTTCCGAAGTAAACAATCAAATTAATTCTGGATTGATTAATTTTTGGATTGCTTATTTTTCTCCTCCATCAATGCAGACTGCGAATTGACTAAATACAGTTAACAAACTTCAAATTAGAACAAGAAGCTGTTAATTGAGAAAATTAATTAAGACCAAAGGGAAGATGTAAAATATCAGGGAAGGCTGGCCAATGGGTATCACCCTTATCCCACGTTTCCCACTTTCAGTGCAGATGTTCTTTTTTCCAAGCAACTTTACATCAAAAGCCCAGTAGGTAGATAAATTTACCTTGGATTTTCTCCATATCTGACTGCATTTTTTCTAAGAAAAGAAAACAAGAAAATATTCAGTCTGCATCCCACTATCTGGCTGGAAAATTATCCTCTTCATCAGGCAATATGCAGATACTCAGTATAAATCCATTTCCCCTCATGACACCTCTCCTCACATTACCTGTGAACTGCTTTAGACTCTCCGTCAAGAATAGACATTTTTGGGCAAAAATGTGGATTTTCTCTTGCAAATCTGGAGGTGTGATCCAAGGTTCAGGAATCCTGATTCTTTCAGCCCTAAATTTAAAAAACATGAGTAAATTTTTTTTTTTTTTGAGATGGAGTTTCGCTTGTTGCCCAGGCTGGAGTGCAATGGCGCCATCTCGGCCCACCGCAACCTCTGCCTCCCAGGTTCAAGCGATTCTCCTGCCTCAGCCTCCTGAGTAGCTGGGATTACAGGCATGCGCCACCATACCCAGCTAATTTTGTGTTTTTAGTAGAGATGGGGTTTCTCCATACTGGTCAGGCTGGTCTCGAACTCCTGACCTCAGGTGATCCTCCCGCCTCGGCCTCCCAAAGTGCTGGGATTACAGGCGTGAGCCACCACGTCCGGCCCAAGTAAATTCTTTTTCCCAATTCCATGACCTTCCAGGAACTAGGACAGGGGCTAAGTTAAACTGTCTAGCGTACACGGACAGTCTTTAAAATCAGCCACTACAGCTTTTCCCACCTTCTCTTCCTGAGCTATGATCCTCTAGACCAAAATAGGATACTGTACTCATTCTCATACCCCCCAAAGCACCTAGCTCACAGCTTTTCAAATACTAAGTACTCAAAAAGGTTTACTGAATTACATATGAGGCTGACTTTGCCAGAAAGCACTAGATTCCATGACAGTCCTTGATATTTATGGTGGGCAATTAACCCGAATTCTCAGGTTCCCAAATATGGAAAGAATGACATGTTCAGATAGAAAGGCACTGTGGGGGACATTACCCAATTCCCTAGCCCTGCAAGGATGTCTATAGCAAAGACTGCCAGTTGCCTATCCAATACCCCTTCTGCCATCTTCTGCCTTTTATGGCTCACAGCTGCCCAGTCCCTCATAGCTAGATGTGACCTTGTGACTAAGTTCTGGCCTATGAGAAGTAAGACGTATCTCATGGTGTTTTGAGAAATCTACTTAAAAATGTAACATGACAGGAAACAGTGGCTCATGCCTGCAATCCCAACACTTTTGGAGGCCAAGGTGGGATAATTACTTTGAGGCTAGGAGTTCAAGACCAGCCTGGGCAACATGGTAAGACCCTGCCTCTACAAAAAAGAAAAATGAAAAAAAAAAAAAAAAAAAAACGAAGAAAAAAAGGTAATGTGATGCGACTTATCTCCTTCTTCTTGGTTGGCATTCTACCAGCTATTGTGGACTATATGAGGACCATACCTTAGGGATGGTAGAACAGTGAATGGGAAGAAACCTGAGTCTCTGAGGATCACTGGAGTTACCACACTAGCCACAGACTACCTACCTGCACATTTCTTACTTTTTTTTTTCTTTTGAGAGGGAGTCAGGCTCTGTCGCCCAGGCTAGAGTGCAGTGGCATGATCTCAGCTCACTGCAACCTCCGCCACAAGAGTTTGAGCAATTGTCCTGCCTCAACCTCCCAAGTAGCTGGGATTACAGGCATGCACCACCACGCCCAGCTAATTTTTGTATTTTTAGTAGAAATGGGGTTTCACCATGTTGGTCAGGCTGGTCTCGAACTCCTGACCTCAGGTGATCCACCTGACTTGGCCTCCCAAAATGCTGGGATTACAGGTGTGAGCCACCGCACCCAACCTGCACATTTCTTTTATTATGTTTAAGCCTTAAGCCAATAAAATTTTGGGTTTCCTATCTTATATAGCCAAATTCAATCCTTAATGTCACAAACTGCTAGGGTCTGAGGCAGCTAACTCTGTATGTTAGGTCACAGCTAGACTGGCATCATAAAGTATCAGGTAACAGTATTATTTGCTTAGGTCATCTGGCTGGGACTGGTATGAACTCCACCTTATCTCCATCCTAGGATCCCTCAGGAACCTCAATTCCATCAACATGATTCTATCAACACAGGCCTCCCAGCCAAACTGCCCCATCTATAAGGACCTCCCCAATCTCCTTAAATGCTCCCACATAGTCAAGCTGCATTTTGCTTTAGAAGGTTTTCACCATTCAGGATCTTAATCACCTTCACAGTACAGCTTCCTCAAAGTCAGTTTCCACCCCTGAAGGCATTCTTACACCAAACATGAGCTTCCCAAGGCCCATCCCACTTGCCTCGTCATCCATCCTGCAAAACAACTTTGCCCTGGCTTACTGCCCCCTCCAAGCTCTCCCTCTTTGATCGTGTTCCAGCTGCCAGGGAGTTCTTCCTCACTTTTTTTTTTTTGATGGAACATAGAGAAATAGCAAGAGTAAGAATAAGAGCCAGAATCCAGGTGGCTCATCAGTAATTATGTAAATGCAGGCCAGTCACACCTTTCTTAGGCTTTATTTCCCCCATTACAGAAAAAAAAAAATGAGATAATGAAGGGGGAAAGGATTCTGAAATGTATAGGAAGCAATAGACATAAACTACCCTTATATTCAGCCCAGGTCCCTGTAAGGCCACACCCTCTCCATGGAAGTGTCCTCATACCCCTAATCCACCGGCAGCCTCCCACATGAACCCCCTACTTCCTGAATTTTACTGAGTAGAGCTGTGGTTCATCTAATTCTTTGTATACTAGTGACTCTCTTCAGGGATATGTGTCAATTTGATAAGATGTCCATCCTCAGGCTCAGGGCTCCTTTCAGGATTTACAAATGTGAAGGAGACAGTCTTCTCATATTTGATTTAACACTAGGGAAACAGAAAACTATACCTGCTCAATGTGTCCCCAATGTCCTGCAAGAGAAAGGAAAAAAAATAACCATGAGAAGTCATTTAAAACTTCGGTTTTCTTTCACAGATGTTTGTTGAAAAACCAACTACAGACTGGCTCTCATGGGAGAAATTAGGGAGAAAAGGATCACTGGAACATAACTCAGTGTTGAGGAGCTAAAAGGCAGGCAGAGGAAAATGGGATGCATACTATTTGCTATACCAGCATTTCCCATACCCTCCTTCAGTACCCACCATCCACTGGTCAAGGACCTCAGGATTTCAAATTTACTAACTTAAGCGTCCTATGATTGGACCTCAAGCTTGCCTACCTGTCCAGCTTGCTTTCTTTTTATTATGAAATAATTTCAAATACACGGAAAAGCTGTTAGTACAAAGAACTCCAGTATACTTTTTTTTTTTTTTTTTTTGAGACGGAGTCTCGCTCTGTGTAGCCCAGGCTGGAGTGCAATGGCGCGATCTTGGCTCACTGCAACCTCTGCCACCCGGGTTCGAGCAATTCTCCTGCCTCAGCCTCCTGAGTAGCTGGGACTACGGGTGTCTGCCATCACGCCCAGCTAATTTTTGTGTTTTTAGCACAGACAGCATTTTGCCATGTTGGCCAGGATGGTCTTGAACTCCTGACCTCAGGTGATCCACCCACCTCGGCCTCTCAAAGTGCTGGGATTACAAGTGTGAGCCAGCGGTGGCCTCTCCCTTCTTTCATACACAAAAAGTAGCATACTCTTGTCAGGCGCGGTGGCTCACGCCTGGGCAACAAGAGTGAAACTCTGTCTCAGGAAAAAAAAAAAAAGTAGCATACTCTCTATTTCACATTTTTATTTTCCACAAAGCAATATATACTGAAAACCACTCCGTATCAGTTCATAGGTATCATTCTTTTCCTTTTTTTAACTTGGATAGTATTCCATAGTGTATATGTGCATAATTAACTAAAACAATCTTGTAGGTTTCTAAGTCAGACTATTTCCAGTATTTTGCAATTATAAAAATGTTGCAGCAGGTTATCTTGTGCATATGTATTTTCAAATATATTTTAATAGTTATATCTTCAAAGTAAATTCTTAGATTTTTAAAATTTTTTATTGATACGTAACAGACATATATATTTTGGGGGTGCATGCGATAATTTAACATGTTCATAATTTGTAAAGAAATCAGTGTATTGGGATATCCATCACATCGTTAAATATTTGCCTTTTCTTTATGCAAGAAGCATTGCAATTATTCTCCTCTAGTCACTTTGGACTATAAAATAGGCCAGGCGCAGTGGCTCACGCCTGTAATCCCAGCACTTTGGGAGGTCCAGGCGGGCGGATCACCTGAGGTCGGGAGTTTGGGACCAGACTGGCCAACATGGAGAAACCCCGTCTCTACTAAAAATACAAAATTAGCCGGGCATGGTGGCGTATGCCTGTAATCCCAGCTACTCGGGAGGCTGAGGCAGGAGAATCGCTTGAACCCGGGAGGCAGAGGTTGCGGTAAGCTGAGATCTTGCCATTGTACTCCAGCCTGGGCAACAAGAGTGAAACTCCATCTCAAAAAAAAAAAAAAATATATATATATATATATAATATACGTATGTATATGTGTGTGTATATACATAGATATATATAATAGTTTTGTAAACTACAGTCACCCTACTGACCTATCAAACACTAGCTTTTATTTCTTCTATCAAACTGTATATTTGTACCCATTAATCAATCTCTCATCTCTCCTCCCTCTACCCTTCCTAGAAAAATTGTTAATTCTAACTGTGTGTATACATACACACACACACATACAGTTTTGTTAAATATTGAGAAATTCTCCTCCAAAAGGGTCATGATTTTGCATTCCTACCAGCCCACTGGCATATGAGTGTCTCTCCGACACTTCGTCAAAAGTGTATTAAGTTGAAAATTTTTGCTATTGTAACGAGTAAGAAATGGTATTTTAGTGTGGTTTTAGTTTGCATTTCTCTTATTATAAGTACAGCTGAGCATTTTTTCACATGTTCACAAAGCAATTTATGTCTTTTGCAGCTTGTCTATTTGTGCCTTCAACCCATTTTTCTCTAGAATTTTGGTCTTTTCTCTCGCAATACTTAAAAGGTCTTTTTATATTAGAACTATCACTTGTATTTGTGATATTTGTGGCAAATATTCAATTTTAATACTATCTTTTGACTGGTTACAATGTGTGTGCGCTTTTTTCTTGTACTAATACCAACAGCTTTAATTATATGGGCTTTAAAATATGGTGTAGTATCTAGTAGGGCCAGTTCTCCCTCAGAGCTCTTCTTTCACAGTGTAGCCTACCTATGTTTTTTTTTTTTTTTTAAGACAGAGTCTTGCTCTGTTACCCAGGCTGGAGTGCAGTGGTGCAATCATAGCTCACTGCAGGCTCAACCTCTTGGGCTCTAGTGATCTATCCCAGCTTTTTTTTTTTTTTTTGAGACAGAGTCTTGATCTGCCTCCCAGGCTGGAGTGAAATGGTGCGATCTCAGCTCACTGCAACTTCCACCTCCGGGTTCAAGAGATTCTCCTGCCTCAGCCTCCCAGGTAGCTGAGATTACAGGCATGTGCCACCACACCTGGCTAATTTTTGTATTTTTAATAGCGACGGGGTTTTGCCATGTTGGCCAGGCTGGTCTCAAACTCCTGACCTAATGTGATCCACCTGCCTCGGCCTCCCAAAGTACTGGGATTACAGGTGTGAGTCACTGCACCCGGCCTATCCCATAAAAATAAGCACATAATAATATGTGCTTATTTTATATGTGCATATTATTATGTGCTTATTTTTCTATCTGAAGTTGACTGTCAATTTGTCTAGATCCAGAAAAAGAGCTTGTTGGTATTTTTATTGAAATTGCAAGGGTGGGGGGGGGGGGATGAGGGATAACAGATTACTTAATGGGTACAACGTACACTGGGTACCTGGGTGATGGTTACACTGAAATCCGAGACTTCACTACATAATATATCCGAGTAACAGAAAAAAAAAAGAAACTGCATTTATGAATGTGAAGGACAACTTGCTTTCCCTGTCTTATCAAAGAATAAGTGATATCTCTTTATTTGTTCAAGTTTATTTTGTGTCTTTCAGGAATCTTTGAATGTTTTATAATTTTCTCCACATAGGTTTTTGTATATTTCTTATAAATTTATTCCCAGATATTTTATCACTTGTTTTTTTTTTGCAAATGGAAACAGCATGTTCTCTTCTAATATGTCTTCTAGTGGCTGCTATCTGGCATATGAAGGCTGCTGATTTCTGTATGTTAACTTCTTTCCCAATTTGTATACCTATAATTATTTTATTTAACTGAACTGGTTAGAACCTTTAATGCAGTGTTAAATAGAGATAAATGATACTGGGCATCCGGCCTGTTTCTGACCTCAATGGGAATGCCTCCAGTATTGCCCCATTAAGTAATATTTATCCTGCTTTTCCAGTGACTTCCAACATAAACACTTTTTGATATTCATGGAGCCCCTCCTCCCTTACTGAGTCCATGACTTCTTTCTTTCTCTCCTTTCCTCATCATCCACCTTCAGTTTCATGCTCCATCTGTTTAAAAAAATATTCTTAAAAAAAAAAAAAAAAAAAAAAAAGAAGCTTTAGACCAGGCGCAGTAGCTCACGTCTATTATACCAGCACTTTGGGAGGCCAAGGTAGGCGGATCACCTGAGGTCAGGAGTTGAAGACCAGCCTGGCCAACATGGTGAAACCCCATCTCTACCAAAAATACAAAAATTAGCTAGGTGTGGTGGTGTGTGCCTGTAATCCCAGCTACTCGGGAGGCTGAGGCAGGAGACTCACTCAGGAGGTGGAAGCTGCAGTGAGCTGAGATTGTGCCACTGCACTCCAGCCTGGGCAACAGAGTGAGACTTTGTCTAAAAAAAATTTAAAAAAAGGTTTTAAAGCCTTAATTATGGTGCTTGCTTCAGCAGCAGATATCCTCAAATGGGAACCATGCACAGATTAGCATGGCTCCTGCACAAGGATAACACACAAATTTGTGAACCATTTTCTACTTTTTGTGTTCAATGTTCACAGCAGCACTATTGACAATAGCCAAAAGGTGCAAACAACCAAAATGCCCATCGACTGATGAATAAACAAAACATATTATATATCCATACAATGGAATGTTATTCAGCCATAAAGAGAAATACTGAAACATATATATATGTACTGAAATATATATTTTTTCATATATATATTTTTTGAGATGGAGTCTCATTCTATTGCGTAGGCTGGAGTGCAATGGCACGATCTCGGCTCACTACAACCTCTGCCTCCCAGGTTCAAGTGATTGTCCTGCCTCAGCCTCCTGAGTAGCTGGGATTACAGGCATGCGCCACCACGCCTGGCTAATTTTTGTATTTTTAGTAGGGACGGGGTTTCACCATGTTGGCCAGGCTGGTCTCGAACTCCTGACCTCGTGATCTGCCCACCTTGGCCTCCTGAAGTGCTGGGATTACAGGCGTGAGCCGCCGCGCCTGGCCAGTACTGAAACATATTACAATATGAATGAATCTTTAAAAAAATATGCTAAGTGATAGGCCGGGCGTGGTGGCTCACACCTGTAATCCCAATACTTTGGGAGGCTGAGGTGGGTGGATCACCTGAAGTCAGGAGTTTGAGACTAGCCTGACCAACATGGGGAAACCCCGTCTCTACTAAAAATACAAAATTAGCCAGGGGTGGTGGCGCATGCCTGTAATACCAACTACTCGGAAGGCTGAGGCAGGAGAATCGCTTGAACCTGGCAGGCGGAGGTTGCGGTGAGCGGAGATCGTGCCGTTACACTCCAGCCTGGGCAACAAGAGTGAAACTCTGCCTCAAAAAAAAAAAAAAGTATGCTAAGTGAAGAAAAAGGCTACGTACTGTATGATTTCAATTATATCTAATATCTAGAATAGACTAATCCATAGAGCCAGGAGTTAGGGGTAGAAGGAAATGAGGAGTGATTGCTTAATAGTGTGAGGTTTCCTTTTGGGTGGTAAAAGTGTTTTAGATCCAGACAGTGGTTGATAATTTACAACACTGTGGATTTACTAAATGCTACTTTGTGCCAGAGTTTTACACTTTAAAATGGTGAAATTTAGGTTACGTATATTTTACAATTAAAAAAATGAAGAAGGCTGGAAGGCTGGATGTGGTGGCTCACACCTGTAATCCTAGCACTTTGGGAGGCTGAGGCGGATGGATTGCTTGAGCCCAGGAGTTCAAGACCAGCCGAGGCAACATGGCAAAACTCCATCTCTACAAAAATTACACAAATTAGCCAAGCATGGTGGTTTACGCCTGTAGTCCCAGCTACTTGGGAGGCTGAGGTGGGAGGATCATCTGAGCCTGGGAGGTCAAGGCTGCGGTGAGCCATGATCATGTCACTGCACTCCGACTGGGTTTCAGAGTGAGACCCTGTCTCAAACAACAACAATAAAAACTAAGGAAAAAAAAACACTCAAGTCCATCTTGCAAAACCCCAATCCTGGATGAGACTGACCATCTGCTTACTCAGTGCCCACGCCAGAGCAGTCAAGATTTGAGAAAGCAAAGCTGATAAGAAAGTTACACGACAGGGGCTGGGCACGGTGGCTCGCACCTGTAATCCCAGCACTTTGGGAGGCCGAGGCAGAAGGATCACCTGAGGTCAGGAGTTCAGGACCAGCCTGGCCAACATGGTGAAACTCCGTCTCTATAAAAAATACAAAAATTAGCTGGGCGTGGTGGCACACGCCTGTAATCCCAGCTACTTGGGAGGCTGAGGCAGGAGAATTGCTTGAACTTGAGAGGGGGATGTTGCAGTGAGCCAAGATTGCACCACTGCACTCCAGCCTGGGCAACAGAGCAAGAGTATGTCTTAAAAAAAAAAAAAAAAGAAAGTTACACAACAGGGCAGAATGGTTACACTATAAATAGATGTTCACTGACCAAATACTCCTACTAGTTCTCGCAAACCAACTGTCTTTCCCATACTCTGAAACAATCATTTCTTCCCATACAACAGAAGACTCTCTGACACTAATTCCTGGCATATGTACTTTAGTTCTCATTTCCACCTGCCTTCTCAGGAACCGCACATTGCTGATCAGTACATGGTTTCTTTCTTCCTTTCTTTTTTTTTTTTTTGGAGACAGGGTTTCGCTCATTGCCCAGGCTGGAATGCAATGGCGCAATCTCGGCTCACTGCAACCATCGTCTCACTGGTTCAAGCGATTCTCCTGCCTCAGCCTCCTGAGTAGCTGGGATTACAAGCATGTGCCACCACACCCGGCTAATTTTGTATTTTTAATAGAGATGGGGTTTCTCCATGTTGGTCAGGCTGGTCTCAATCTCCCGACCTCAGGTGATCTGCCCACCTCGGCCTCCCAAAGTGCTGGGATTACAGGCATGAGCCACCGTGCCCGGCCAGTATATGGTTTCTTGTGGCTTCAGTGTTCTCCCTCACCTAGAAACCTTACAACATATACTCCTTTCCATATGTATTTTGAAAATATGTCTAACTTCTAGTTTCTTTAACCAACCCTTCCAGATAAAACTCCATAATCCTGTCTCGTCTCTAAGTATTTTATTACAACCCCTTAACAGTTGTACTTGAAATAGTCATCTACTTGTGTAGTCTCCATTCACCTGACCTAGTCACTACTCAACTCCCCCTAATGTGGCTCCTGCCCCAATTATTCCATTGTGATAGTTCTACCTAAGATCACCAATGATGGTCATGTTATTGAATCAAATGGGTATCAGCTTTGATATTATTTGACCTCAACTGCATTACTATGCTGTCCACTCCCTTCTTGCTTCGTCTCAAAAATAAAAAAAGAAAAAAAGAAAGAAAGAAATACATTTTTCTGATTTTTACCATTTAAAAATGTAAACTGGCCTGACGCTGTGGCTCACACTTGTAATCCCAACACTTTGGGAGGCCGAGGAGGGCAGATCACGAGGTCAGGAGTTTGAGACCAGCCTGACCAATATGGTGAAACCCCGTCTCTACTAAAAATACAAAAATTAGCCAGCCATGGTGGTGTGCGCCTGTAATCTCAGCTACTCAGGAGGTTGAGGCAGGAGAATCGCTTGAACCCAGGAGGCGGAGGTTGCAGTGAGCCAAGATCGCACCACTGCACTCCAGCCTGGGCAACAGAGCAAGACTCAATCTCAAAATAAATAAATAATATTAAATTAAAATTAAAATGTAAAAACCATACTTATTGCCCAGGACATACAAAAACAGGGGATGGACCATAATTTGCTGACCCTTGCCCTATGCCATCATCCATTTTTATTTTTATTTTTTATTATTTATTTATTTTTTTGAGACAGAGTCTCGCTCTGTTGCCCAGGCTGGAGTACAGTGGCGCGATCTTGGCTCACTGCAACCACTTCCTCCTGGTTTTGGGCAATTCCTTGCCTCAGCCTCCCGCGTAGCTGGGACTACAGGCACACCGCCATGCCTGGCTAATTTTTGTATTTTTAGTAGAGACGGGGTTTCCCCATCTTGGCCAGGCTAGTCTTGAAGTCCTAGACCTTGTGATCCACCCGCCTCGGCCCCCCAAAGTGCTGGGATTACAGGTGTGAGCCACTGCACCTGGCCCGCCATCATCCATTTTTAATGGCTTTTATCAAATACCTATAAGAACTATCTGATCGCCACACTAAAATATAATTCAGGAAAGCTTATTTGGCACTTAATCCCAGTGCCTAGAATAGTGCCTGACACAAAGCAAATAATTAATACGCACTGAATGAGCAAACGACAGACAGGCATTAGCTCATTTCCTGTAGTCTTGCCGGGGTAGGTCTGCTGCAGCTTTATCACCTGCTCTACCAAGGTTAAATCACAGGACTGCTCAGGTAACCTAACCACTCCTGCTCAAGTGCTCATTGTTTTGTGGCTATAGTAATACATTAAAACTACAGGATACTGGAGTGAGGAGAGTCTTTGAATGACATGTGGTCTAAGCCCCTCATTACTGAACAAATGAGGTCACTGAGGCCCAAAAAGGTTGAGAGCCTTGCCTGTAATCAGACCACTTGTCAGTGCTGTGTAGGCACAAGCACCAGGTCTTCTTTTTGCCATTTCTATGAGACAACGCAATTGACTAATTCAAGTTGTGTGAACCAGAACTTCTAGTTTACACAGTTTCCTTCCAAGGTGCACAATATAGAGTTTGGCAAGCTCTTGCTATTCCTGCAGAGTTAAAAAGAAGACAGGGGGTCCTGGATACTACTTGGCAAAGGAGAAGGGACGATATTTTCAGTGGGTGCTGCTCTAGCAGGGCTCTGCAAGCCTTACCTGCAGGAGCTCCCTGGTGGGCTGCTGCTGCTTCTCTTCTAGCTGAGCGATCAGGCTGCTGAGGTGGGAGATGTTGCAAGAGAACTGGGTGATGGCACCATTGATGCTATTGTAGATGGCCAAGTCTAGCTCCTCAAGGCGGGCCAGGAGGCGATACTCATGCTCCTTTAAGGAGTGATACAGCTGCTCAAACTCCCAAACAATCTTCTCCCTCTCCATCTGGGTTAGGCTCTATGCAGACGACAGGGAAAGGCAGTAAAGAGAAAAACGGCTCATTTCTAGGGCCTTCATAGTTCTCCTGTGACCATGTAGCCCAAGACCTCATTATGGATTAAAACAAGCACAGTGCTAACTCATTATTTCCAGTCTTTACTGACTGGATATATAATGCCCAGGAACTGAATTACCCCAGTGATTATTAAGACATAGTCCCTGTTCTCAAGCAACTCAGAGAAGTGAGTCAGGTTCATATGATATACATAGTCATGGATGGGTAATTAAAGATAGGGTGACAGCCTGCAATGAAAGAAACTGGTACCATCTTCACAGAAGCAATTTCACACAATGTTCATGTGATGAACAAGAATTCACCACATAGGCAATGAGCGGGAAGCCTTTCCAGGCAGAAGAAATGGCACAGGCAAAAGAGTGGGGAGAGAAAGCAAATGGTGCTATCTGGCTGGAGCACATGAGTGTTGAGGGAAGGGACCAGAAAAGGTAAGGCCTTGTCATGCCTGGCCTGGGAGGCTGGGGGTAAGGACTCTATCCCAACTGGGAAGCATGGAAGATTGTCACACAGGAAAGTGACAGGGTCAGATATGTGCCCTATGGAGGATGGAACAACCAATAACAGCTTCCTTGCCCAATTTCCCTGGGCCCTTCATATGTAATCCATACCCGCTGTCTGTCCTTCACGGGTGTTCACCAACTGCTGTCTCTAGCTTTGGGTAGGAGGGGGAGAGGTGCTCTCCCCACGATTCCCTCTTGGCGCTCATTTGTTTGCCATAATTTACTGTCCTTCGTTCTTCACCCAACCCCCACCACCAACAGGACTCTATTATAAACTTTTGTTCTAAACAAGGAGCCAGGCTGGGCGCGGTGGCTCACGTCTGTAATCCCAGCACTTTGGGAGGCTGAGGTGGGCGGATCACCTGAGGTCGGGAGTTCGAGACCAGCCTAACCAACATGGAGAAACACCATCTCTACTAAAAATACAAAAATTAGCTGAGTCTGTTGGCGTACGCCTGTAGCCTCAGCTACCTGGGAGGCTGAGGTGGGAGAATCGCTTGAACTGGGAGGCAGAGGTTGCAGCGAGCCAAAACCTCACCATTGCACTCCAGCCTGGATGACAGTGAGACCCTGTCTTAAAAAAAAAAAAAAAAATTCCCATATACCCCTAATATAAATTAACACATCAGCCACTTGTTAAGGCCTTGAGACTGGAGGAAGAGGGCAGAGTAAAAAATTCAGAATTAAGGCATTGTTAAGAAAGGAGAATAAGCCAAAGAGAAGCAACAGTGGGGATTACACAAATCCACTATTAGCAATTGTCTGCAGAATGGTACCAACGCAAGCTAACTGTATCCAATAATTTTACCTATCTCAGCTTTGCCAAGGATCAACCCTGGTCTACGCAGTTAGCAGGTTAAAGTAAACTGACAGGTCTGATTTCCAAGGGTTCCAAACTTGGCTTCTCCATGCTTTCCCCAAAAGTAAGGGAATCTTAGTTCTCCGGGTGAGTTCCCACTGCCATGTGCGGTTGATCCACCTCTACCTACAAGTTCTGGGTGACATGCTGGACAAGTTTAAGGGAAGTAACATCAGCTCTACAGAAGAGGAGAGCACCAGCAGAACCAACTGTGAATTCCAACAACCCTTACCAAGAGTTCAGCTCGTGCCTGTTCCCCCTGGGCCCGACGTCTCTTCTTTAAATCTTTCACTCTTTTTAAATGGTCGAGCTGGTTCTGGATTTGCTCCTGAGAAAAGCAAAACAGATGGGCAGTTCAAAATTAGGTAGACCTTAGCATCAGCATGGTACTTCTTATCACACATGGAGTCCACACACCTGATGCCAAGTCTCCAGTTGGCGCTTGTCCTTAGGCCACACTGCCACCCACAAGAGACTCAGGGCGCAGGGGCAAACAAGCCACTCCTTTGGCAATCTGTGTCTATCTTAGCAGCCTGTGGCTTCAACCACTCAGCTACCTCGTCAGGACTATTTGTGTCTATCTTAAACAATGAGTCATCTACCTGTCCCTGGTAGGATATTGCATGACTTAGCGGAACTGTGACTGGAGTAGGAGGCTTAGAACTATGTTGTATTGTAGCTCTTCCATATAGGTACACTGTGAAAGTGACTTATTTCCCTCATGTGTGAAATGGGCAAACACCATCTTCCCAACCTACTCAAGAGTTCTCACCAGAGTGAGTGAAATAATATAGCTGAAAGGTCCATAAATGTTAAGTGATTGCACATGAATGTACTCATATTTAAACACGGACATAATTGTGTACGCATTCCTGAAGCCCTCAACGTACAGAAAATACACAGTATCATGGACTCCTTGAAGGTCACCTTACAACTGTTTTATATGTAATACTTTGTTTCCACGTTTCTGTTTAGCTGTGCCAGTTCACAAAGGGCTCTGTGAGTCACATGATTCCACAATATTCCTCATAACTGTGTTATCTCCTGAGTCTCAGAGTGGTTAAGTGACTTACTCCAGCAGCGAAAAGCTGTTCTTTTCTGTGAGTTTCTAGACCAGGACGGATTGCAGGAAAGTGCTGGGGAAATGCTTATAGACTAAGGAATGGGCATAAGTCAGTTAACGTCCAACTGCGTTTTGTCTGAGAGCCGATGGGAGTAAGAGTGTCTGCAGCTTGTCGATGTGTACGCGGTTTTATGCACTTCTTTTAAACTGTCAAAAGGATGTCTCCGTGTACAATGTGTCCGTGAGACAGGTAACATGGGGGTAAACAGAGAAAAGAGAGTGGGGGTGGGGACACTCCTGGCTTCCTCGCCAGCTACAGGTTTTCCTCCAAATCTGAGTGCTGAGGCTCTGGAGCGGACAGAGAGGAAATGACGGCTGTGAACCACACGTCCGGCTCAGCCATTTTCTAGGCGGAAAAAAGGAAGCCCCTTTGGCTCTCTCCTCCCTTTGTCCGACTCGCGCTCCCGCCCTCCCGGATCCGCGCCCTCACCTTGAAGCCCTCCACCGCCTCCTCGAGCGGCAGCACGCTGTGGCCGCGGTGCTCGCGGGAGCGGTCGCACACCACGCAGATGGGCATCTGGTCCTCCTCGCAGTACAGCTTCAGGGGCTCGCGGTGCTTCTCGCACACGCCCATCTCGCCGCCGGGCCCCGACGGCCGCTCGGTGCGCAGCTGCTTTACCAGTTGGGTCACGTTGGCCAGGTGCCGGTTGGGCCGCATGTGCCTCTGCGGGAAGGTCTCCCGGCACTGCGGGCACGACACGTTAGTCTCTGCCGTGCCCCAGCAGCGGGCGAGGCACGCGCAACAGATGTTATGGCCGCAGTCGAGCATCATGGGCTCTGCGAAGTACTGCAGGCACACGGGGCAGGTGGTCTCCTGCTGCAGGCACTCGGCCACACTCCCGGAGGCCATGGCGCCGGCCTGCGGGGGCGCACGGGCATGGGCCCCGGCGCCGAGCTCTGCACTGAGCCCAACTCTCCGGCGCTCTCTCCGGTTCGCTGTTCCTGAGAGGCACCGGGCGGACGGAGGGCGGCGCCTCCCGGGCCCGTATCCCAGACGCGCCCGCGCACCGAAGGCTTGGAGTGGCCGGGCCGATGCCTGCGCCTGTGCCCCCTAAGCGAGAGCGGGAATACGGCCGGCTCACCGAGGCTCGCGGCCACGCTAGTGGGGCAGGAAAGGGTAGCCGAGGGTCAGAGTCCCAGGGCCAGGCGGGCAAAGCGCGCAAGACAACGTGGCCGCGTCCGAGCGGATGCCGGCGGCAGCGTAAACCCCACCCCAGCGCGAGCGGAAGAGGCGGCTCGCGGGGGCGGGGCTTGGCTCGCGCTTCCAGCGAGTGACAAGGTTTCGTGGCCTGGGGGCCTGAGCTGTTTCCTCTTGGAAAGGCCGAGGAGGCTCCGCCACTCTCCTTTGGACTGGTCGCGCTGAAGCTCTATCCTAGGGCACTGGTCGCAAGAGCAGATGGTGCCACACGCTCCGGGCCTACAAACTTCAGCGGCTGCCGGGCCCGGGCCCCTCGTCTTTTGTTGGGTTTCCTCTTGGTGCCAGGTCTCAGCCCCTGCAAAAGAAAGCTGGCTTTGGCCGCGCGCAGTGGCTCGCGCCTGTAATCCCAGCATTTGGGAGGCCAAGGCAGGTGGATCACGAGGTCAGGAGATCAAGACTATCCTGGCCAACATGGTAAAACCCCATCTCTACTACCAATAGAAAAATTGGCCGGGCGTGGTGGCAGGCGCCTGTAGTCTCAGCTACTCAGGAGGCTGAGGCAGCAGAATCCCTTGAACCCAGGAGGCGGAGGTTGCAGTGACCCGAGATCGCCACTGCACTCCAGCCTGCGGGACAGAGGGAGACTCTGTCTCAAAAAAAAAAAAAAAAAAAAAAAAGAAACGAAAAAATGAAAGCTGGCTTTGTATAGGTGCTGGGGAGCGCAAACACCTGGCCTCCCCAAGAGGCTGGAGGATGAGGAGGGTCACCGACTGAGCCCACCTGATAAGTGAGGCCTTTTATTAAACAGCCCCATTTGTAGGCACTTGCAGTTTTGTTTAGAAAAAGAAAGGTTTAATTATCAGATGGTAACATTTCTGTGTGTCAATAACAAGCCCAGTTCTGCTACCTCTCACTTGTGCCCAAGCAAGTTGGTTTACCATTCATTTACCTCAGTTTCTCCTCGTGTGAAATGGGGATGATAATTGTACCGCAGTAAGAAGTAGATTTCGTTACATCTTTTACTTTTTGAACCATAAGATTGTTTATCCATTAAAATGGTATTAAAATGCCCACTACGTAGGGTTGTTGTATTGAGTAGCAACTAAAAATTGCTTGCTCCTTTCTGAAGTATAGAGAAACTAAGAATCCTGCGGTGACCCAGGGTCTTGGAGTCCCACAATACTCATTGTCTTATCATCCAGTAGACCTCCAGCATTTTTAAGTTGCTTTCTTATCCCTTACTTGGTGTTTCCTAGTTTTCTTTGAGATTTTCTCAATATTGTCTTGCTATCTGAGCAAGGCGGGCTTCTGCTTCCAGACCATCACTTTATTTTTATTTTTTCAAAGTGAAAGTAAGATTATTAAGAAAATAAAGGAATAAAGAATGGCTACTCCGTAGGCAAAGCAGCCCACATCATCACTTTAGAGAGTTCCACTCTGGTCCTCTTCCCCATGGGACAAGAAGTCTGAGGGATTAAGTGGACTTGCCAGCCCCAAACCCACATCTACCTTCTCAACCATACTCTGAGTACCCAGTCATTCAAATTCCAGTCCCAAATAGCTTTAGCCCATTTCCAGAAAAATGTAGAGTACTTGGGCCAGGCCACACCACAGTCTGGTCTTGGTTTGAGATTGGGTCAACAATGAAATTTGTAAGAATTAAAGGATATGTCTATTCTCATTTACTCCAAAAAGGACTAATAAGCATTGCAATACAGTGCAGAAATATGAGAGATATGGATAGGTAGATAAAGCTGCCCTTCATCTTCTCCTTTACTTGGGGGATGCAAGCCTTGAGTTTGGCTTTGTTTTTCAGAATTGATTGTGTTTATCTTACCAACCCTTTATTACCTCTGGAGGCAGGTGACCTGGGGGTAAAGAAAGGTAGAACAGGCAGGGTGTGGTGGCTCATGCCTGTAATCCCATCACTTTGGGAGGCTGAGGCGGGTGGATCGCTTAAGCCCAGGAGTTCAAGACCAGCCTGACCAACATGGTGAAACCCCGTCTCTACCAAAAATACAAAAACTCGATGGGCACAGTGGTGCACACCTGTAATCCCAACTACTCTGGAGACTGAGGCTGGAGAATCACTTGAGCCTGGGAGACAGAGGTTGCAGGGAGCCGAGATCAGGCCACTGCACTCCAGCCTGGGCAACAGAGCAAGACTCCGTTTCAAAAAAGAAAACAAAAGGAAAAAATTTTAAAAAGGTAGAACAAAATAGATGAGTTGGGTAGAACAAGGTGGGAGTGGGGGAAAGGGAATATTTACATTAGCAATCTCTAACAGTCCCCTTCCTTTTTTTTAATTTAAAAAAGTTACACCTGTCTTTTTCTCAATAAATTTTGTAAGAAAAAAGAAATTTTAAGAGATGGGGTCTTACTATGTTGCCTAGGCTAGTCAAGAACTCCTGGGCTCACGTGATCGTGACCCTCCCATCTCAGCCACCCAAAGTGAGGGGATTACAGGCAGAAGCCACCATGCCCAGCCCCTCTTCCTTGAGTGTTTACTGTCTTCCCTTCATCATCCAGATTTCATGGAATTTTGATTTGCTTAATTTACCTGTTCATGTTAATTTCTATTACTAATCCTAACCTATATTATTGCACCAGTGTGTCAGTTTACAAGTATTTTTCAAAGAATCGGTAGCCGTGCAGCCTTCCCATTAATTTCTCTATTTGTACTTTTTCACTGATTCAAATACCACCTCAAGGAATAGAATCATCCTTAAAAATTCTTAAAGAAGAAAATGCTTTTCATTCTGTCGCTTCTTACTCAGACATCTTCAAAGTTTTGTGGGTTTTTTGTTGTTGTTGTTTATTTGTTTGTGTTTGCCTCTGGGACATTGTCCAAATTCTTTAGTATAAAGGCCTAATAAAATTCTTATTAATAGGCCCGGTAGCTCACGCCTGTAATCCCAGCACTTCCGGAGGCTGAGGTGGGCGGATCCCGAGGTCAGGAGATCATGACCAGCCTGGCCAACACAGTGAAACCCCGTCTCTACTAAAAATACAAAAATTAGCCGGGCATGGTGGCGCACACCTGTAGTCCCAGCTACTCAGGAGGCTGAGGCAGGAGAATCGCTTGAACCTGGGAGGCGGAGGTTGCGGTGAGCCGAGATCGCGCCACTGCACTCCAGCCTGGGCGACAGAGCGAGACTCCGTCTCAAAAAAAGAGTATTAATAAAATATACTTTTTTTTTTTTTGAGACAGAGTCTCGCTCTGTCGCCCAGGCTGGAGTGCAGTGGCGCGATCTCGGCTCACCGCAAGCTCCGCCTCCCAGGTTCACGCCATTCTCCTGCCTCAGCCTCCTGAGTAGCTGGGACTACAGGCACCCGCCACCATGCCCGGCTAATTTTTTGTATTTTTTTTAGTAGAGACAGGGTTTCACCGTGTTAGCCAGGATGGTCTCAATTCCCTGACATCGTGATCCGCCCTCCTCGGGCTCCCAAAGTGCTGGGATTACAGGCGTGAGCCACCGCGCCCGGCCTAAAATATACTGTTTTAGGGACAGGCACAGTGGCTCACGCCTATAAACCCACTCTGGGAGGCTGAGGCGGGCGGATGACCTGAGGTCAGGAGTTTGAGACTAGCCTGGCCAACATGGGAAGCCCCGTCCCTACTAAAAATACAAAAATTATCCACGCATGGTGTCGCATGCCTATAACCTCAGCTACTCGGGAGGCTGAGGCAGGAGAATCGCTTGAACCTGGGAGGCAGAGGTTGCAGTGAGCCAAGATTGCGCTATTGCACTCCAGCCTGGGCGACAGGAGCGAGACTCTGTCTCAAAAAATAAATAAAATAAAATATACCGTTTTAAAATGAATTTCCTCCTGCCTCCTCTAAACCTCCCTGCCCTAAGGGAACGAGTGACTTTTACTAGTATTGGCCAAATCCAAGGGACACTTTTCAGTCTTCATCTTAACATCTCGAAGGCATTTTATGTGGAGTCCTAATCAGGGAAAAGGAGTCAGGCTGGTGGGACCAGGGGAAAGCAAAGATAAAGCAAACAAGTGATAGGTCTGCTTTTTTTATGGCCCAGGGCACATGGCCCTCCTGTACATAACTCACAAACTTCCTGCTTACCATCAAACGCCTCGATTTATCAAGCACCTTGGCTGACAGAAGAATGCGGGTTAAGCTTCCTGCTACCTTAGCGTTATCAATCAGTCCAAGTTCCATTGTATAAAATCCCTAGCAAGTCTTTGTTTCTTTGTAGTCAGCTTCTCTTCTGTTGATACTGCCTGTTGTCTCCCTGGCAACATATTTTTCTACTTTCTCTAATAAATCTGCCTTTCTTTACCTACAATGGTCTTGGTAAATCTTTTCCCCCTACACCACAGGCCCAGTTAGTCGTCACTTACCTGTGACATTTTACACTGTTGATCCCTCCCTCCTTGGATCATTCTTCTTCCAAGCAGCAAACTGAGTGGGACCTGATGAGGCCTAAAGTATTTCTGCTTCTTCTATCTCCTTCTCTCTTATCTGTCTTTTACCAACTGATACTAACCTTAGTCTGGAAAAATAAAAAATTATCATAATAAATACAAGAATACAGTACTTAAGAAGCCAACGTATTAGATGAGACAGAATGGGAAATGGAGAAAAAGACAAAATATCAATAAGAATTTAACATTAATATAAGGTCCGGGCGCGGTGGCTTATGCAGGGTAATCCCAGCACTTCGGGAGGCCACGGCTTGAGTTTAGGAGTTTGAGACCAGCCTGGGCAACATGGTGAAACCCAGTCTTTACCAAAAATACAAAAAATTAGCTGGGTGTTGCGGCGTGCACCTGTGGTCCCAGCTACTGGGGAGGCTAAGGTGGGAGGATCCCTTGATCCCAGGAGGCAGAGGTTGCAGTGAGCCGAGATTGCACCACTGCACTCCAGCCTGGGTGACAGAGCCAGACCCCATTTCCAAAAAAAAAAAAAAAAAAAAAAAAAAGAATTTAGTACAAGATACAGGAGAAATTGCAGGTTGGTGCTATACATTCAATAAATGATTGTGGAATAACTGGCTAGCTACTTGGGAGAAAAAAGATCTCATCTCACTTCTTATACTGAACTATATTATTGATCAATGAAATTTTTTTAAGAAAATTAATCCATAAAAATTCCAGGAAAAAGAAAACTGATTGATTTTTTTTAAGGCACTTGTCATCTGGAAGATCTTTCTAAACATGACCCCACAGAAGTCACAAATGGATAAATTTGGTTATACAGAATTCAAAATTAGATGTCTTCTTATAAAAAAATTTTCTAAACAGCTGAATGATAAAGGAAAATTGGGGAAAGATGTTTTTAGCAAATTAAACAAAGGATGAATTTCCTTGAGACAAAATATTTGCACAAATAAAAGCAAAAAAAGAGAGAAGAAAAATGAGCAAAGGTCATGAACAGATGGTACAGAGAAAAAGAACAAATGGTCAATAAACATGTGAAAAGAGGTGATGTTAATTTTAATTTATGAGATTAGCAAAGATTTAAAACTTTGACAGTATTCAGTATTAATGAGAATGTGAGGAATTCCAGTACACTGTGAGAATGTAAATTGGGAGAACACCATTGAAAGCAATTTGACAATTGGGCTGGGCGCGGTGGCTCACGCCTGTAATCCCAACACTTTTGGGAGCTGAGGCGGGTGGCTCACCTGAGGTCAGGAGTTCGAGGCCAGCCTGACCAACACGGAGAAACTCTGTCTCTATTAAAAATACAAAATTAGCTGGGCGTGTTGGCGCATGCCTGTAATCCCAGCTACTCAGGAGGCTGAGGCAGGAGAATAGCTTGAACCCGGGAGGCAGATGTTGCGGTGAGCCGAGGTCACGCCATTGCACTCCATCCTGGGTGACAAGAGCAAAACTCCATCTCGATTAAAAAAAAAAAAAAGTAAAAGAAAACAATTTGACAATCACTAAAAAAATTTAAATGCACTCACTCGTAGAACCTTCTACTCTGCTTCTCTCCCATCTGGACAGAGATGTTTGATTATACAAGGATTGCCATTACAGCATTGTTTGGATTTGTAAAATACTGGGACCAACGTCAATATGCTCCAACAGGGGATAAGTTAATGAAAATATTATGCAGGTGTACAATGAAATGCTATGCAGTTTCCAAAAACAAAAACAAAGAAGAAGGAGGAGGAGGAAGAAGAAGAGGAAGAGGAGGAGGAGGAGGAGGAAGAAGAAGAAGAAGAAGGAGGAAGAAGAAGAAGAAGAAGAGGAAGAAGAAGGAGAAGAAGAAAAAGAAGAAATAATCTAATAGGGAAAGGTGTCTGAGATTTATTTACTCATTAATTTATTCAACAAATGTTTGTTGAGTGTCAACTATGTGCCAGTCTTCTAGATTCCAGGACACTGTGTGGAACAAAACAGACAAGGTTGCTGGGGTCATGGAATTACTTTCTAGAGGGAAAGTTGGATGATAAGCAAACCAAGCAATAAACACATGGTATGAAACATGCCATAAAGTGGAATGAATCAGAATATGGAAGATGAAGAGTGATGGTTATTACTTTATATTGGGTCATCAGGGTGGAATCTCTCTGATGAGGTAGCCAAACAGCTGCTGCAGTTTAGAGTCTCAAATTTGCATGTCACTGGGCATTTATCTCAGAGAAATAAAAATGTTTGTTCACCCAAGAATCTGCACAAAACATTGTTCGTAATAGCCAAGCCTAGAAATAATTCAAATGTCCTCGAATGGTGAAGAGTTAAACAGTGGCACATCCATATTATGAAATACTACCCAGAGATAAAAATGAATGAACTACTGAGATAGGCAGCAACTTGGATAGATCTCAAGGAAATTATGCTGAGTGAGAAAAGTCAATCTCAGGTTGTGATTTGTATGATTCCATTAATAACATTTATTTATTTATTTATTTATTTATTTATTTATTTATTTATTTTTGGGAAAGAGTCCCACTGTGTTACTCAGGCTGGAGTGCAGTGGGACAATCTCGGCTCACTGCAGCCTCTGCCTTCCGGGTTCAAGTGATTCTCCTGTGTCAGCCTCCGGAGTAGCTAGGATTAAGGCATGTACCACCATGCCCAGCTATTTTTTTTTTTTTGTATTTTTAGTAAACACGGGTTTTCACCATATTGGCCAGGCTAGTCTCCAACTCTTGACCTCAAATGATCCACCTACCTCGACTTCCCAAAGTGCTGGAATTACAGGAGTGAGCCGCTGTGGCCAGCCCACAACATTCTCGAAATGATAAAATTATAGAGATAGAGAGCAGATGAGTAGTTGCTAGGCATTAGGGAGAGAGAAGGGAAGGAGGTGTCTGTGGCTATAAAAGGGTACCCTGAGGGATCCTTGTGATGGAACAGTTTTGTATCTTGACTGTAATGTTGTTCCTATGTGATATTTACACATGCAATAAAATTGTATAGAACTAAACACACACAAACAGATGAGTGTATGTAAAAATGGTGAAATCTGAGTAAGATTGGTGGATTTTATCAAAAATAATTTCCTGGTGTGATATTGTACTATATTTATGCAAGATGTTACCATTGGGAGAAACTGAGTGAAGGGTATGCTGGATCTTTATTTTTATTTTATTTTATTCTTTTGGAGACAGAGTCTTGCTCTGTCGCCCAGGCTGGAGTGCAGTGGCATGATCTTGGCTCACTGTAACCTCCGCCTCCTGGGTTCAAGCAATTCTCATGCCTCAGCCTCCCAAGTAGCTGGGATTACAGGCATGTGCCACCATGGCTAGGTAATTTTTGTATTTTTAGTAGAGACAGGGTTTTGCCATGTTGGTCAGGCTGATCTTGAACTCCTGGCCTCAAGCAATCTTCCCTCCTCTGCCTCCCAAAGTGCAAGGCTTATAGGAGCGAGCCACTGCACCCAGCCACTGAATCTTAATTACATCCTATAACTGTATGTGAATCTACAATTATGTCAAAATAAATTTTAAAAAATTTCTGCAGTCACAGCATCAATGACTTGTCTTTCCCAGCCAGCAAAGCCCTGTGTTTTGCTCTTATTGATTGGACTAATCCCTGTGGACAGAGAAATTCATGTGCCAGTTGGCTTAGGTTTGGTTTTACTACCTATTCCTGAACCAATTACTATGGCAAGGGGACTGAGATAATGCTCACTGGTCTATGCATCAAGACCCACTGAAAAATGTAATTGTCATTAGTCATCTAAATATAATTTATTTTTGAATTGGTTATGTGCTTCCCAACATTTAGCTATATTCTATTTCCTGGGGATAAAATCTTTGAAGACAGTGGGAGGAAAAGCTAATCTGACCCCTTCTTTCAAACAGCAAGGGGTTGAGGATTTCCTTGATTTTAACACAGGCATTTTGAATATGAGCAGACCATGCCTGGTAAACACACTAGACAAGATTCCTGCCCTTATGGAGCTGACAGGCCACTGGGGGCTGGATGGAGGCCGAGATGGTAGCTGTCTCCAAGATAGTCACTATCTTAGAGACCTCTCATATGCACATGACATTGGATCACCAAGATATGTAAGCTGGGCATCATGGCACATGCCTGTAGTTCCAGCTACTTGGGAGGCTAAGGTGGGAGGATTGCCTGAGCCCAGGAGTTTGAGGCTGCAGTGAGCTATGATCATGCCACTGCACTCCAACCTGGGCGACAGAGTGAGATCCTCATCTTAAAAAAAAAAAAGGCCGGGTGCGGTGGCTCGCACCTGTAATCCCAGCACTTTGGGAAGCCAAAGCAGGCAGATCACCTGAGGTCAGGAGTTCAAAACTAGCCTAAGCAACATGGAGAAACCCTGTCTCTACTAAAAATACAAAATTAGCTGGGCATGGTGGCGCATGCCTGTAATCCCAGTTACTTGGGAGGCTGAGGCAGGAGAATCACTTGAACCTGGGAGGTAGAGGTTGCAGTGAGCCAAGATCACACCATTGCACTCCAGCCTGGGCAACAAGAGTGAAACTCTGTCTCAAAAAACAAACAAACAAACAACAACAACAACAGAAAACAGGGTGCAGCCCACTCCTCCAGCCCCTTGAATCTGGTGGGCTGGCCTATGAGTACTGTGACTAACACTGTATGGCAGAAGTGATTCTATACCAGTGCCAGGCCAGGGCTGTAAGAGGGCTGACAGCCCCTGTCTTGTGTCTCTGAGTCCTGAGACACCATAGATATGTCTTTATTAGTCTCCTCAGGCTGGCATACAAAATACTAGATGGCTTAAAAAACGGGAATTTATTTGCTCACATTTTATTTTCTGGATACTGGAAGTCCAAGATCAAAGTCTGCAGGGTTGGTTTCTCCTGAGGTCTCTCTCCTTGGCTCGCAGGCAGCCGCCTTCTGACTATGTCCTCACATGACCTTTTCTCTGTGTGCATGCACCTCTGATGTCTCTTCTTCTTCTTATAAGGACACCAGTATTATCAGCTTAGGGCCTCACTCTTATGACATCATTTATCCTTAATTGTCATCCCTATAAAGATCCTATCTCCAGGCAGTCGCGGTGGCTCACGCCTGTAATTCCAGCAATTTGGGAGGCCGAGGCAGGTGTATCACTTGGGGCTGGGAGTTCAAGACCAGCCTGGCCAATATGGCAAAAGCCTGTCTCTACTAAAAATACAAAAATCAGCTGGGCATGGTGGTGCACACCTGTAATCCCAGCTACTCAGGAGGCTGAGACAGGAGAATCACTTGAACTCAGGAGGCAGAGGTTGCAGTGAGCCAAGATTGAGGCACTGCACTCCAGCCTGGGCAGCAGAGCAAAACTCTATCAAAAAAAAAAAATTATCTTCAAATATAGTCACATTGGGGGTTAAAATTCCAAAACATGAGTTGGGAGCTGTGTGTATGTGGTGGGCAGAGTGGACACAACTCAGTCCATAGTGATGTCCACCTACTCTACTACGGGACTCCATAAGGGGGGAGTGAGCTCATTGAGGCCATCCTTCCAGCCATTCCCTGAGAAAAGCATGAGGATTTTCAGTGAAGAGCAGCCCAACTACCAAATGGATACATTCTGAGTTGCCAGTTAATGCCAGGTGTTACAGAAAAATCATCCCAGTGAGCCCTACCTGTTGGGGCAGTTTGTTATGCAGTATGAAATAATCAGAATAAGGAGTTGCATTCAGTTATTAATCAAATCAATATGTGGTTACTAATTGTGACAACTTCTATGATGGAAGAGACAGGATGCTATGAGAAAGAATAACACAGTGGGTGGGAATGGCATCACAAACTGCAAGGGAGAAATAATTGAAGGACCTAGAGATGTTGGGCCTGAAGAAGATTTCAATGCTTTTGTGAGCTCTGGAACCATTTCTCTTCCCTTTCTGGGCTAAACTCCTTGAATAAGCGGATCCCTCCGCTTTCCTTGCAGGTGACCACTCCCTCCAGATCAGCCTCTCATAAAACTTTTCTCGTCTTCCCAGGTCACAACAATTTTTCCCTTTTTAACATTGTATTAGGCTGTGCCGGCACTGCTGTAAAGAAATACCTGAGGGCCGGGTGCAGTGGCTCACACCTGTAATCCCAGTACTTTGGGAGGCTGAGGCTTGCGGATCACTTGAGGTCAGGAGTTTGAGACCAGCCTGGCCAACATAGTGAAACGCTGTCTCTACTAAAAATATAAAAAAATTAGCTGTGTGTGGTGGCGTGTGCCTGTAATCCTAGCTACTTGGGAAGCTGAGGCAGGAGAATCGCTTGAACCTGGGAGGTGGAAGTTGCCGTGAGCCAAGATTGTGTCACTGTACTCCAGCCTTGGCAACACGGAGAGAGACTCCATCTCAAAACAAAACAAAACAAAAAAAGAGAAATACCTGAGACTGGGTAATTTATAAGAAAAGAGTTTTAATTGGCTCATGATTCTGCAGGCTGTACAGGAAGCACAGTGGCAGCTGCTTCTGCAGAGGCCTTGGGAAACTTCCGGGTTTTTTGTTTTGTTTTGTTTTTTTTCAGACGGAGTTTCTCTCTTGTTGCCCAGGCTGGAGTGCAATAGTGCTGTCTTGGCTCACTGCAAGCTCCGCCTCCCGGGTTCAAGCAGTTCTCCTGTCTCAGCCTCCAAGTAGCTGGGATTACAGGCGTGCACCACCGCGCTTGTCCAATTTTGTATATTTTTAGTAGAGACTGGTTTCACCATGTTGATCAGGCTGGTCTTGAACTCCTGACCTCAAGTGATCCACCTGCCTCGGCCTCCCAAAGTGCTGGGATTACAGGTGTGAGCCACTGCACCTGGCCTAGGAAACTTCGAATCATGGCGGAAAACAAAGGGGGAGCAGGCATATCGCCTAGCGAGAATGGAGCAAGGAGGCCCCACCGGACCCCACCTCCAATATTGGGGATTACATCTCAATGTGAGACAAATATCCAATTTGAGTGGGGACAAATATCCAAACTATATCAAACATTTTTAGAGTTTATGCTGTAGAGCATTTAATTGACATTAAATGATAAACTGTTTCATATTGTTAATTTATTGAGGTAAAATATACATAAAGGGAACAAGCCTTCAGTGTATAAGCTAATGAATTGTTACATGTGTGTACCCACCATCCAGATCAAGAGGAAAAATATTTTCAGCATCCAGGAAGGCTGTCTCATGTCTCTTTCCATCAGTATCCACTCCCAGAGGTTACTTAGAAAAAATCACTATTCCAAATTTCTAGAAGCATTGATTAATTCTGCCTGTTCTTGAACTTCATATGAAGAGACTCCTATCATGAGCACTTATTGGGGTTTTAAATTGTTGTCTGTTATGAATAAAGCTGCCCTAAACGTTCTGGTGGTATATGTCTGTTCATGGACAAATGCCCTCATTTCTAGGAGTGGAATTGCTAGTAGGCATATGTTTAGTTTTTTAGATAATGCCAAAAAATGTTCCATAGTGAATGTGCTAATTAACACTTCTAGCAGCAATGCATGAGAATTCTAGTTGCCGCACATATTACACCAACACTTGGTACAGCATATGTGTTTTAAAATATTTTAGCTGTTCAGGTGGATTTGTAGTGGTATCTCATTGTGGTTTTAATTTATATTTCCCTGCTAATTAATGATACTGAGCACATTTTCAAATTTTCTTTTGCTGGAGTGCAGTTATGCAATCATGACCCACTGCAGCCTCAACTTCCCAGGCTCACAGGATCCTCCTACCTCAGCCTCCTGAATAGCTCAGACTACAGGCACACGCCACCATGCCTGGCTAATTTTTTTTTTTTTTTTTTGTAGAGATGGTGGGGCAGGGGGAGTCTTACTATGTTGCCCAGGCTGGTCTCGAACTCCTGGGCTCAAGTAATCCTCCCACCTCCTGAAGTGCTGGTGGCATTACAGCGTGAGCCACTGTCCCTGGCCTCATATGTGTACTATTTGAATGTAGTCTTTAGGGAAGTTCCTGATCAAGTCTTTTGTCATTAAAAAAAAATTATTTGTCTTTTTCTTGTTGATTTACAAGAGTGCTTTATATATTTAGGATGAGTCCTTTCTCAGGTATGTATTTTGCAAATGTTTCCTGCAATTTGTGGCTTCCATTTTTCATTTTCTTTTTCTTTTTTTTTTTTCGGGAGACAGAGTCTCACTCTGTTGCCAGGCTGGAGGGCAGTGGCACAATCTCGACTCACTGCAACCTCCGCCTCCCGGGTTCAAGTGATCCTCCTGCCTCAGGCTCCTGAGTAGCTGGGACTACAGGTGTGCGCCACCACGCTCAGCTAATTTTTGTATTTTTAGTAGAGACAGGGTTTCACTGTGTTGGCCAGGATGGTCTTGATCTCTTGACCTTGTGATCTGCCTCAGCCTCCCAAAGTGCTGGGATTACAGGCGTGAGCCACCACGCCCGGCCTCCATTTTTCATTTTCTTAATGATGTTTTTTGATGAATAGAAGTTTCCAGTTTTGATGAATTTTATTTCATCGACTTTATTGATTTATTTTTAAAATTTTTACACTTATTTATTTATTTAATAGACATGGGTTCTCACTGTGTTGCCCAGGCTAGAGTGCAGTGACTGTTCACAGGGGCTATCATTGTGCACTACGACCTCAATTTCCTGGGCTCAAGCGATCCTCCCACCTCAAGCCTCCTGAGTAGCTGGAACTACAGGTGGGTGCCTGTTTAACTTTTTTTTTTTTTCATTTTGGTTACTCTTTCCTGTTTTTGAAATCTTTGCGTACCTTACATTCATTAACATATCCTCTTTCTAGAAGCTTTACTTTCCCTGTCATACTTAGGTGTATGGTCCATTATGAATTCATTTTTGTGTTTGGTGTGAGGCAAAGGTCTAGATTTAGTTTTTTTCCTAATTGGTCCAGCACCTTTTATTGAAAAGTTATATCATAAATTTGTAAATGCATTTCTGTCTATTCACCTCGTTTTAACCACTATCTCCAAAAAGCAGAAAATAGCTGCACTAATGGAAAACCAGTTCACCAGATTTACTTATTCTGTTTTTTTTTTAGACGGAGTCTCCCTCTGCCGTCCAGGCTGGAGTGCAATGGCATGATCTCGGCTTACTGCAACCTCCTGCCTCAGCCTCCTGAGTAGCTGGGACTACAGGTGTGCACCACCATGTCTGGCTATTTTTTTTTTTTTTAAGACAGTGTCTGGCTCTGTCGCCCAGGCTGGAGTGCAATGGCGTGATCTCGGCTCATTGCAACCTCCACCTCCCCGGTCCAAGCAATACTCTTTCCTCAGCCTCCTGAGTAGCTGGGACTACGGGCAGCCACCACCACGCCACCACGACCAGCTGATTTTTATATTTTTAATAGAGACGGGGTTTGACCATGTTGGCCAGGATGGTCTCGCTCTCTTGCCCTCGTGATCCCCGCACCTTGGCCTCCCAAAGTGCTGGGATTACAGGCATGAGCCACCGCACGCGGCCTATTTTTTGTATTTTTAGTAGAGATGGAGTTTCACCATGTTGGCCAGGGTGGTCTTAAACTCCTGACCTCAAGTGATCCGCCCACCTCAGCCTCCCAAAGTGCTGGGATTACAAGTGTGAGCCACCACACAAGGCCTACTTGTTCTTTTTAACTAATTATAACATTTACAGCAACTCATATGTTGAAGCGGTTTTAACAGCTTTAAAAGGTTTCTGTGGGATTATCATTGACCTGTTTTTACTTTGTCTTAGTGATAGCTTTGTAGGAAAGATTAATTTTTCCTTAGCCCAGCAGAGAGAGGTGAGACTGATGGACATAAAAAGAAAATACTCAAGAAAATATATTAATCAATAGTGTATTTTATTATTAGAATACATCCATAAGAATCCTTTATATTTATGCCTACACTCTTCATGAATCTCTTCTTGTGGACATATTTATTTACTTATACATTTCTTAATTCAACATATATTTATTGAATACATTTTTGAATATGGCAATATACATTCATATTTGTTATTATTATTATTATTACGAGATGGAGTTTCACTCTGTTGCCCAGGCTGGAGTGCAGTGGCGCCATCTCAGCTCACTGCAACCTCTGCCTCACAGGTTCAAGGGATTCTCGCGCCTCAGCTTGGGAATACAGGGGTCCGCCACCACGCCCATCTATTTTTTTGTATTTTTAATAGAGACAGGGTTTCACCATGTTGGCCAGGGTGGTCTTGAACTCCTGACCTCAGGCAATCCGCCTGCCTCGGCGTCCCAAAGTGCTGGGATTATAGGCATGAGCCACCGTGCCCAGCCTCATATGTATAATTTTTAGTTAAATTAATAAATTAATATTTATGGTTTTCATCATTATGACTTTGTAATATTTTTCACAGCTGAGCTCCATGGTATACCATAATTACCTTCTTTGACAACCTTTTGTTCTTCCTGGGATTAATAATTGCCTCCTGTTCTTTGCTTACTTTTCTAAATATTTATTCCTAATTCAAAACCAGCTTTCTGACACTATTTTCTCGTCAAATGCATGAGGCAGTATGTCAGTTCCATTTTCCCCCATTGGAAACAACCCTCGTTTAGCCCTCTTTTTTCTATTCCACCGTAGACTGATTGCCTTCTAGCCTGGTAGCTCAGCAGTTGCCCCGGAGTTTTTTCCTTTACCTTTCTTCTGTGTTAGGTCCCCAGTCACCGGATTTCATATTTCCTTTTTCTTAGTTTAATTCCCTAGTTAGTGGACAATTCTCCAGAAGCTTTCTGAGAAAAGGTACTTGGGAGATAATGTTCTGCAAATGTCCATTCACATTTGATTGATAGTTTGGCTGGGTTCAGAAATCTAGTTGTGGAAACTATTTTCCTTTATTGAAATGATTTAGAAGGCATTGCCTCATTGTCTTTCAGCTTTTGGTGTTGGTGCTGCTGTGGAGAAAAAAAGATGACATTCTAATTCATAATCCTTTCTGTGCAATCTTTTAGTTTTGTTTTCCTTCTGGAAACATTTAGGATATTCACTTTATTCATCTGATATTTCACAATGACAAGCTTTATTGTGGGGCTTTGCCACACCCTATGCAGGGTAGTTGGTGGGCCTTTTAAATCTGGAGACTTAAGGTCTTTGGTTCTGAAAAATAATCTTATATTACATCTTTATCTCCTTTATTCCACTTTCTCCTCTTTTCCTAGAATCCCTGTTAGTTTGTTGGCATATCTTCTATTATACACCATTTTATTTTCTTATCAATTCTTTGCTATTTTCCATCATTCACCCCAAACTTTCCAGATTTCTACAACCTTATTTTGAAATTTTAGGCCAGGCGCAGTGGCTCACAACTGTAATCCCAGCACTTTGGGAGGCTGAGGCGGGCGGATCACCTGAGGTTGGGAGTTCGAGACCAGTCAGACCAACATGGAGAAACCCTGTCTTAACTAAAAACATAAAATTAGCCGGGCGTGGTGGCGCATGCCTGTAATCCCAGCTACTCTGGAGGCAGAAGAATCTCTTGAACCTGGAAGGCAGAGGTTGTGGTGAGCCGAGATTGCATCATTGCACTCCAGCCTGGGCAACAAGCGCCAAACCCCGTCTCAAGAAAAAAAAAAAAGAAATTTTTAAAAATCCAGCCATCATAATATTATTAATAATTTTAAGAACTCCCCTCCTTTTTGTTTCATGAGTGCAGTATCTTCTCTTACTTTCCCGAGGATTAATTATAATTTTTAAAAAATCCAACTTCCTGCATTGTATTTGTTTCCTCTTAGGTTCTTCCTGCCCCCTTCTGTTTGTATTCGTCCTTGTCTTATTGTAGAAATATTTTCACAACCACCTGATTATCCTTGGTTGTCGTACATATTTTAAGTAAGGCACTAAACACCTGATTCTGGAAGCTCTGTGGACCTGCTCCAAGCCTGTAGACTGCAGAGTCTTTGGGGATTCTATGGAGACCCAGCCATTTCTTTGGGAGATCCTCAAATACCAGTGTTTGTCGTTGTTTTAATTTTTATTTTTTCCTTGTAAATTGACTTGGATATCTCATCTGTCTTTCTTTATCTCTGGAAAACTTTATCCCAGTTTCCCTTGACATACTCCTTCAACCTCCTGGGAGAGGTAGGGGGAGGGGAGATGAGCCTGTTTGACTAGTTCTGGGAATGTGGTGAGGGAAGAGATCTGGGGATTTCGGCTCAGTGCTGACACTTCCTTCATGCTACTCTGGTTTAGCACCCCTGCACTTCACCCTCTTTCAACTCCTGACCAAGTCAACTCCTGTTACTCACATCGACAGTCATTTTTCATGTTCAAGACCCCTGAACCGCTCTCATCCCCCACTCTCCGCTAACTCTCCTGCTTCGCTTCAGGTCTACATTGCCTCGCTCATTTCTTCCCTGCTGAGCTCTTTGATTAGTTTGCTAAGCAGCATCTCGGGAACAGCCCCCGTGCTATGTGTTCTTTCTTGTCATGGATATGTGTTTTTTCTTGTCATGCTATGTGTTCTTTCTTGTTCAAGGCAGAGTCGCGGCTGGGTTGTTAGGATGCTCGCGCCCCTGTACCCGGGGCGTGCAGGGAAGTGTAAGAAGGGGGCGAAGGGCGAGAAACGCTGAATTCTAGCCTGAATTGGTAGGAGAGCCTCGCAAGCTGAGTCACGGTTCCTGATTCCATTTAAATAGAACGTTTTGTTCACTTGTAGGAATTTCCTTTTCCATTTCTTTCATTAAATCGCGAACGTAGTAATGACTTAACGCTGGTTACGCATTCATTACAATCGAAGATTATATTAATTTGCGATGGTAAGTGTCCCAGGTGTCAGGATGGCCGAGTGGTCTAAGGCGCCAGACTCAAGCTTGGCTTCCTCGTGTTGAGGATTCTGGTCTCCAATGGAGGCGTGGGTTCGAATCCCACTTCTGACACAACTATCTTATTCTCCTTTTACTCTACTTTCTCAGCCATTTCTGTGTTTTCATTCTTTCTACCTCAACTTTTTTTATTCTAACTAAAATGATACACTCTCAATGAGGTCTGCCCCCTTGCTTTTCAGTCTTGTTCGCTGTTTAGTAGTGAATCACGTTTTGCCCCGCTTTGGTCAGTTCGTTAAAAGGCGCATTCATTTACCACATGAGCACTCACCCAGAGGCGTACTGGGAGGAAACTAGACTAGGTAGGAATAGAAAGACATGTATACAGACTCCATCATTACATACTGGCCCTGAGCTCATAGGTTATTGGGACCGCAGATTACATGTTTTTCCTCACGGCCAGAAACCATCAAAAATAAAAGTGATGAAACTGAAATTGAAAGCAGCAAGGTTCACGCTCAAGGTTATCGGAAACAAGGCAAAAGGAGAGAAATGAAAGGTTCCACCGAGATTTGAACTCGGATCGCTGGATTCAGAGTCCAGAGTGCTAACCATTACACCATGGAACCCTACTTAACAAAAAATGGATACTCGATCCACCTGGGGTCTCTCTTGTCTTCTACTTACTAATTGATTTAAAGTAATTTTGCAGGGGCAGTTTTTTTGTTTTGGATGGCCAAACGCAGGGATGGGAGGGGTAGGGCTCACACACTGTTTCCACCGCGCCTTTCTCCCAGATTTCTTTCCATCCTTCGGGGCAGGGCAGTATACTGATCTGGGAATATGGTTATTCCTGGAGATTTTTATTTTCTTTCGTTTCCAGCCCACGAAAAGGTGAATTGAATTTTAGTCTCACGGTTTGAAAGGGAGAAAAGAGAGAAAAGAAAAAATATACTATCTACTTTCTACAGTCTTATTTATTCATTGTACGATACCTACAGATGCCTCTAGAACAACCTCCGAGTATCTTGGCACTGCCCCTCAGTTGTAACCATGGGCTTAAATTTTTAAAATCTGTCTCCCGCATTCCTCCAAAATGCCTTAAGTGCAGGGCTGAGTCTCAGTAGTCTTTGATAGCCCACGGTCTGCTACTTTGTAGAAGCTCAACCAATGCTTGTTGCATGAATGCATAAATGAAAGGATGAGTGAATGAATGAATGAATGAATGAATGAATACTCAGTGGGACAGCCCAGCTTAGACTTTTGGGAGACTTTAGACTTCTTTTTTGCCTTCACTTGCTAGGCTAAATTTTACAAGTTCAAAAGGGAATAATTATTTCTCCTCCTCCTCCTATCTTCTTTTGCCTTTCCAGGTCCCAGCTCCCAGGTGGACATCTTAGCGTCCAGATGACCCAACATATAGGTGTCCTTTAGTATGGATGACCAAACTAGGATGTTATAGTGCTGGATGTAGTAATTCATTTTTTCAAATCTTAACTTTATTAAGATAACATGGTTATTTATCTAGTAATTGTGAGAACAACATATAACAAATAGACCACATATATACGTAGCGTGTCTGGAAGAAATACTCAGATATAAATTACTACTTTAGTCAATCTTAATATTAATTATTTGTCAACTATGCTTAATGTGCCTCTCTAGTCTCTCAAGACTAAATTGCTAAGGAACCCTGGAATCATTTGCTGGCATTCATCCTTTCAAGCAAGGTGCCTGTTACAAAATATCTGCTCAATTAGTATGTATTGGATACATCTTTTGGAAGGTGAGGAAGGAAGCAGTGAAATTAGAAGACTTCTGCCTAGGCGACTGTAAAGTGCTCCTAAGCATCTACCCACCTCCCTGCACACAAAAACTCTCCATTCTATCTCCTCGAGTCTCCTAGCCTTAAAAGATGGTCTAAACTACCCCAGATCCAGGTAAATAACGGATCAAGTCCTTCTTCCCTAAAACAGGTGTTATTCTTTCTATTCTATGAGCCTCCACCTTATTTCTTAAAAAAAAAAAAGAAAAAAATGTTTACTGTTTAAGAAGATAACAGAATCTCAAAAGCTAACTCTTCAACTGTGTTCAACTAAGGACCTTAAACTGCTCTCTGAGGATAGGTGAAGCGGGAAAGGCTCTAGGTGTCTGGTGACTGTTTCTTTTGTTGGTTCGTTTGTTTTTTCAGCCTTAGCACATTTATCCCTTGGAGAAGACAATGGAAAATAGGGCAGATGAGCGTGCGTGGCTTATTTATTCTTGAGTCTGGAGTTAAGAAGGTTGTACTTTTTCCTTAGGATTGCCCTTGGTTGGTTCACAAATTTCGCAAAGTGAATGAAAACACATGAAGGCCACTGAAGGGAATAACTAGGGGACGAGATGTCTGAGCCCCTAAATCGAGAAACATTTGGGCACCGTTTGTGGGACTGTACATATGGGTGTTATCTGTGGCCCCTAGGAAAACAGAAGAGGAACCTGTCTCACTTAGGAAGCTGTGAGAACTGCCCACACAAGGCTTGAAAATGGAACTTTACTGGGTCAGAATGACGAGGGGGAAAAAAAAAATACCTCACACTGGCAGCGGTGGGATTCGAACCCACGCCCCCGAAGAGACTGGAGCCTTAATCCAGCGCCTTAGACCGCTCGGCCACGCTACCACCCACAGGGTGCGTCGCCGCTTTCAGTTTCACCCAAGTGACTGTCGCCCCTTTCCAGTCCTTTCATTCCCATTCCCACATCACCATAAGCCCTTCCCTCAGGCCCCTTCTTCAGCATTCCTTGCTTCTCAGCATAGCCCGAGAACCCCCGATCCCTGACACTTTGCTTCTTCTCAGCTCCCAGATGGATCCTGGACAGGATGCTGCAGGTGGTGCAGGAGGGGAATCCTGCCCCATTTATCATCAACACAGTAAAAAGGGGTCGAAGAGACCGAGAGCGCCAGAGGACGCCATGGGCTCCACATCCACTTGGATTCCAGGGAGTAAGCCTCTCGACTTCAGGAGTAAGCAAGGCCAACCGTTTGGTTTGAGCCTGTTGCTTCTAAGAAAAGCGAGGAAAAATCCTGAGACCTCCTCCCCTCGCCCTTCATCCACTTCAGGGGACCGAGTGTCTCCACGGAACTTCACAAGGGAGGAAAAGAGTGAACTCATTATTATTTGTCTTGTCTTCGTTTCAGAGGCGGTACATCTACGAAAGCCCTAATCATAGAGGGAAAGACTCCTCGTTCCTGGCCCAGAAATGAGATGAGAAATCCAGGGCCCCGTACAGGAAGGCCTTTCGCAAAGTCCAGACTCAATTGCCTTCGCAGCCCTTAAAGTTTCCTTAGGAAGGTCTGTGGGAGAACGAGGTTGGTTTAGGAATTGGCCCCTGCCTTGTACTACGTAGTTTTGTCATCCAAAGTGTTTTAGAAGTGAATTGAATCATAGTTACGCCTTATTTTGAAACACTGTAATTCAGAGAACGTAAAACCTTATTAAAATGCCTCATAATCATCTTGGTAGAGCCGTTGGTTAAGCGGGAGAGACAGTTGCCTCCTTAGCGCAGTAGGCAGCGCGTCAGTCTCATAATCTGAAGGTCCTGAGTTCGAACCTCAGAGGGGGCAAGGCGTCTGTTTTGCCATTTTACTTCTTCTTGATCCAAAATGAGTAAGACAACAAAGGAAGTTGACAAAACGTTGTTCTTTCTCTGCTTTCTCTATAGAAAAGTGTACAATATGTCTGGTAAGGGAAAAAAAAATCTAAGGACATTGCTTTGATGGAACAGAACGGGTAATTGCTGTTTAATAGAACCATGTTCAGTTACAAAACAGTGATTTTCACTAAGAATTAAATTCTCCAAAATTCTCATCTCCCCTCCCGCCCTGCATACCAATTGGAGATAGAGCTGGTAGCATTTTCAAATGTTTTTCAGATATGCTTGGCAATTGTCTTTGTTTTAACAACACCAGAGTCAAGAAACTTGCCAGTTTTAGAGTGCTGAGATAAGAAAAAGTGGGTGGAGGGTTGTACTAGGGGTGTGGAAGGTATAGAATCTAATTATCAATTACTGACTTGGTTATCTTTTACCATTCTTCTGGAATGGCTTACCACCAGGTTGCCACCAATAACATTCCATATGAAAAAAGAAAGGAAACAAAAAACTGACAAAAAACTCCCCCCTCAGTCTCATTGCATTGGACCTTTTCTCTTGCTTCCAGTCCTGTTGACTGGATCTAAATCATCCAAACTACCAGATGCAGGAAGGGGTAAAAAGAGAAACAAGAAGTGAAGAAGATAGGCTGATATTTACAGTCAAGATGAGCCCCTGACTCAAATAATAATGAGCAAGACTGATCATTAATGTCCTGCTCTTGAGTCCTACTTTGTTCCAAGCTGTGTTCCTATTAATCCATTCCCTCTCAGCTTTAAAATCACCCTTATATACTTTGTTTTGTGACATTGGGGCTGGGCGCCTGCAAATGATATTTCCCAAACTCCTTTGCCCATTGGCTTCCTCTTGTGTTCTGTCAATAAGAGGAACCAGAAAGAGACTAGAAAGCAAGAGGAGAGAAGCAGGGGCTGCTTTCTAAATTTTGTTCTTCCTGTCAGGTCACTCCAACAATGGCAGTTGAATCCCATCTCTATTTGTTCTCTTCATGCATTCCAGAATGTCTCACTGTCCATTACATAAGTAAGTAGTAGTCCAGCTGCAGCGCGTCCTCTTTAGCACTCCAGGATGCCTTTCCTCAGTGGTCTCAACCTCTTCCTTTTTGTTCTTCCAGCCCTACAAGGTGGTAGCTACTTCCCAGTAGTTATCACCTCTGAGTTACCATGGTGTGCCCAGTTGAAATACCTAGTCTTATTCCTTTTTTTTTGAGACAGAGTCTTGTTCTGTCACCCAGGCTGGAGTGCAGTGGCACAATCTCAGCTCGCTGCAACCTCTGCCTCCCGGGTTCAAGCGATTCTCCTGCTTCAGCGTCCCAGGTAGCTGGAATTACAGGCGCCCGCCACGACGTCCAGCTAATTTTTGTATTTTTACCAGAGACGGGGTTTCACCATGTTGGCCAGGCTGGTCTTGAACTCCTGACCTCAAGTGATCTGCCCGCTTCGGCCTCCCAAAGCGCTGGGATTACAGATGTGAGCCACCGTGCCCAGCCTTATTTCTTAACTAGACCCTGAACCACACATAGGGGGTGCAGGGATAGCACTCCACACAACAGAAAAAGCTTCTGCTCTCATGGAGTTTACATTTTAGTGGGGAATGATAAAGAATAAATTCAACCAGATATATAAAATGTGAAGTAGTGATACATGCCATGAAGGAAAAGAGCAAGAGAATGGAGAACAAAGGGGAGGGGATTGCTTTATAATAAAGGGTGACCAAGGAGGCCTTCCTGATAAGGAGGCATCTGAACAGAGACTTGAAGGAAGTGAGTGAGTGAGCTGTGAGGCTATCAGGGAGAAGAGAATTTCAGGCCAAGGGAACAGTAATTACAAAAGGCTTGGCAGGAATGCCATTGGCATGTTCAAGGAACGAAGGAGGAGACTAGTGCAGCTGTAGGTCAGTAAACAAGGGAGAACTTGATAGGAGATGAGGGGGTTAGATACACATAGACCCTACAGGATGCACATAGATCATGCAGGGTCTCAGAGGTCATGATCATGTTCAGAGAGGGAATTCGCTGCATAGGGGAGAGAAAAGACAACAGTGATTTAAGTTGTGGAGGTCAGCCAGACCTTGAGAATATTCTGATTCATGAGTCTGAGATAGAATCTGTGAATCTTTTTTTTTTTTTTGAGATGGAGTTTCACTCTTGTTGCCCAGGCTAGAGTGCAATGGCACGATCTCGGCTCACGGCAACCTCTACCTCCTGGTTCAAGCGATTCTCCTGCCTCAGCCTCTGGAGTAGCTGGGATTACAGGCATGCGCCACCACGCCCGGCTAATTTTGTGTTTTTAGTAGAGATGTGGTTTCTCCATGTTGGTCAGGCTGGTCTCGATCTCCTGGCCTCAGATGATCCATGCACCTGGGTCTCCCAAAGTGCTGGGATTACAGGTGTGAGCCACTGCAACTGGCCTGAATCTGAGTTTTTAACAGTGACTCCAGGAGATTTGAATGCCATCAGTGTGGCAACATTTTGGAAGCCCCAGTCAAGGACTTACTCGGCCTATATTCATTTATCCTATGTTGACCGTCTCTGGAGAGATCATTTCCTCCCAAAATTCTCCTCATTTTTGTTTAGTCATCCAGGGCTTGCTTACTGGTTAAAACTAGGAGCACTTGCCTCATCAAGAGCAGAATAAATGTTCTATGCTTCCCAGAGAACTCTCAAAAGCTACAAGGTGCCATTTCCTATTCTGCTTTATTTCTAATTTTTCTTTTTTCTTTCTTTCTTTTTTTTTTTTTTTGAGATGGAGTCTTGCTCTGTCACCCAGGCTGGAGTGTAGTGGTGTGATCTCGGCTCACTGCAACCTCTGCCTCCCAGGTTCAAGTGATTATTTTGCCTCAGACCCTTGAGGTAGCTGGGACTACAGTCATGCACCACCACACCTGGCTCATTTTTGTGTTTTTAGTAGAGATGCGGTTTCATCATGTTTGCCAGGCTGGTCTGGAACTCCCGACCACAATTGATTTGCCCACCTCTGCCTCCCAAAATGTTGGGATTACAGGTGGGAGCCACTGGCCTCGCCCTGTTTTGCTTTATTTCTGCCTTTCCCTGTAAAGAGCTTTTCTTGGTAAATAAGCAGCTGAGACATCTTGACACCTCCTGCCCTCCAGGTTCCCAGGGGCAGTCTGGGCCCAAGTTTTCTTTCTTCTAGCTGTTCCCCAGTTTCTCTGCATCATTCCTCCCCACTGCCATGTCTCGATGGCCTTCTTCTGCACAATGGCCTAATTTATGTTTTTGCATCACCTCTTCCTCCATTCTGACTCATTCTTTACATAAAGCCAGTGTACTCTTAAAAGTAATCTCATCATGTCATTTCTTCCTGCTTAGAATTCCCAGTGGCTTCACATTGCTGCTAGGGTGCAGTCAGCTCTCTGCACTACTAGCCATAACCTCTGAGCCTGTGAGTCACTGGTCTGTCCCTGCCTTCCTGTCCACCTCAGACCCCACCTTCATGAACACTCTCTTGAGCTCTCTGTACACAAGCTGCTCAGGCCTTCTCTCAGGTGTCTGGAAGTGTTCTGCTCTTTAATCTCCCTGGAATGCTGGAATCACATTTTTGTCCAACTAGGCCTTTAGTTTTCAGTTTAAACATCACTTCCTGGGAGAAGTCTTCTCTAATCCCCTGGAAGAGGTCATCTCCCTTTATAATCCATGCTCTTGAAGATAGAGGGCAGGGTGTGATTTACAGTGTGCGATTTACAGTGTGCATTATTTTGTCTCACCTTACTTTTCTCTATGTTCCCTTTATCTTGATTTAAATTAACATTTTTCACTTTATCTTACAGTATAGTTGTGTAAATAACCTCGAATCTGTTTTTCAATAGTAGCATAAATAAATGCACGATCAGAAATGTACCACATGACAACCATTGTGCTAGACCTAGCCTTTGAGGGATTTCTGCTGTGAGATTAAAGTGGTCAAGAGATTAACAAACTTGTCTAAAGTGGCACAAGCAAAATGGTTAAAATACAGTGTTCTAAATGATCCACTTTACAATAAGAATAATTGTGATAACACCTAATTTTCATGGAAATGTCACCAAGCGTTTGCTTACATTATCTCGTTTAATTTGCAAAGTAAGGTCATGAGATTTTGCTTGTTTTTCCTCAACATTTTGTAACCTGAACGTTTTCTCAAGAGCATGTGTTACAGTGACTGTTTAAACAGTGTAATTTGTCGTTTAACGGCTGCTTTTCACTTGTAAAATATGAACGCCCCAAGGGCTGAGGTAGTGTGTCCCGAATTGGTGGGTTCTTGATCTCACTGACTTCAAGAATGAAGCCACGGGCCCTCGCGGTGAGTGTTACAGCTCTTAACGTGACGTGTCTGGAGTTTGTTCCTTCTGATGTTCCCATGTGTTAGGAGTATTCTTCTTTCTGGTGGGTTCGTGGTCTCGCTAACTCAGGAGTGAAACTGCAAACCTTCGGAGAGAGTATTACAGCTCTTAAGACAGCACGTCTGGAATTGTTCGCTCTTCCTGCTGGGCTTGCGCTTTCGCTGACTTCAGGAAAAAAGCTGCAGACCTTCACGGTGAGTCTTACAGCTCATAAAAGCAATGTGGACCCAAACAGTAACCAGTCGCAAAATTTATTGCAAAGAGCAAAAAAAAAAACAACACTCTACAATATGGAAGAAGAGCCGAGCGGGTTGTGGATGCTGGCTCCGGCAGCCTGCTTTTATTCTCTTAGCTGGCCCCACCCACATCCTGCTGATTGGTAGAGCCGAGTGGCCTGTTTTGACAGGGTGCTGATTGGTGCATTTACAATCCCTGAGCTAGATACAAAGGTTCTCCACGTCCCCACCAGATTAGTTAGATACAGAGTTTTGACACACAGGTTCTCCACGGCCCCACCAGAGCCGCTAGATACAGTGTCGATTGGTGCACTCACAAACCCTGAGCTAGACACAGGGTGCTGATTGGTGTGTTTACAAACCTTGGGCTAGATACAGAGTGCCGATATGTGTATTTACAATCCCTGAGCTAGACATAAAGATTCTCCACGTCCCCACCAGACTCAGGATCCCAGCTGGCTTCACCCAGTGGATCCCGCACCGGGGTTGCAGGTGGAGTTGCCTGCCAACCCCACGCCATGCGCTCGCACTCCTCATCCCTTGGGTGGTCGATGGGACTGGGTGCCGTGGAGCAGGGGGCGGCGCTCGTCGGGGAGGCTCGGGCTGCACAGGAACCCACGGAGGCGGGGGAAGGCTCAGGCATGGCAGGCTGCAGTCCCGAAGCCTGCCCCGCGGGAAGGCAACTAAGGCCCGGCGAGAAATCGAGCGCAGCGCCGGTGGGCTGGCACCTCTGGGGGATCCAGTACACCCTCTGCAGTCGCTGGCCCGGGTGCTAAGTCCCTTATTGCCCGGGGCCGGCAGGGCCTGCCGGCTGCTCCGAGTGCGAGGCCCGCCAAGCCCACGCCCACCCGGAACTCCAGCTGGCCCGCAAGCGCCGCATGCAGCCCCGGTTCCCGCTCGCGCCTCTCTCTCCACACCTCCCTGCAAGCTGAGGGAGTGGGCTCCGGCCTTGGCCAGCCCAGAAAGGGGCTCCCACAGTGCAGTGGTGGGCTGAAGGGCTCCTCAAGTGCCGCCAAAGTAGGAGCCCAGGCAGAGGAGGCGCCCAGAGCAAGCGAGGGCTGTGAGGACTGCCAGCACGCTGTCACCTCTCAGTAGTACTTCTCCACTGCAGGAAACCCGGGGCAAAGCTGAGAGCCTTGCTCAAAATAAGTTCTCAAAACCTATTTTTTTTTTTTCTGGAGTCTCACTCTGTCACCAGGTTGAAGTGCAGAGGCAAGATCTCGGCTCCCTGCAACCTTCGCCTCCCGGGTTGAAGCGATTCCCTTGCCTCAGCCTCCCGAGTAGCTGGGACTACAGGCGTGCGCCACCACGCCCGGCTAATTTTTTTGTATTTTAGTAGAGACGAGGTTTCACCATGTTGGCCAGGATGGTCTAGATTTCCTGACCTTGTGATCGCCCGCCTCGGCCTCCCAAAGTGCTGAGATTACAGGCGTGAGCCACCGCGCCCGTGTGCCAGGTGTTCTTAAGGTCGCAGGGAAGACTGGAGCATAACCTTTGAAGACTAAAGACAAGACAAACCCGGCGATTACGTCTGTAGTTATACATTGCTTTTACAAGTAATTGTTTGGAGTACATTACACAAAGATGGGAGTTAATTTTTTCCATGAGTTGGGGACAAAAATAACTGTGAGCCATATTCAAAGTGGGCAAAAGCATAGATGGGAATAAAGAAAAGGAACATGGATAGGATTTAAGTTGGACGATATCAAGTTTCTGCACCTTTTTACTCACTAGAATGTGCAGGAAGAAGGCTTTTGCAGGGAGCCCGGATAGCTCAGTCGGTAGAGCATCAGACTTTTAATCTGAGGGTCCAGGGTTCAAGTCCCTGTTCGGGCGGGAGTGGTGGCTTTTAGTACCTGATTCTGGTATCATGTTTGAAAAAGCCAAAAAGGATACTATCGTTTTATAGGGACAGATTTCATATACTGCAAAAATTCACCAAACCCTGTAGAACCCCAAATTTTAAACCACGAATAGGCGAGTAACTCTGATGCCAAATAAAAGTAGTAAGGTGAATACATGGGCCCTCTACAGTGAGATAGCCCCAGATTTTCTGAAGAAAACTAACATTTAAGGACAACCTTAGAATACGAAGTATTTAATATTTTATGATTCCTGTTACTCTGCTTACAGGTGCCAAAGTAATCTTCTGTTGTTACTTGCTTTCCAGTGCAGAGTTTATTTTACGTAGGAGGGAATATACTGATCAATTATCAAGAAAGTTATAATATGTTCATATTCTGGCTTGGCATATTTCTGGCATTTAGTTACCGTGAGTCAGCCCTGCAAGTCTTAAAAACTCTAGGTGAATTTAAAAATAGTTTCCGGCCGAGCGCTGTGGCTCACGCCTGTAATCCCAGCACTTTGGGAGGCCGAGGCGGGCGGATCTCGAGACCATCCTGGCCAACACGGTGAAACCCCGTCTCTACTAAAAATACAAAAATAATTAGCTGGGCGTGGTGGCGGGCGCATGTAGTCCCAGCTACTCGGGAGGCTGAGGCTGGAGAAGGGCGTGAACCCGGGAGGTAGAGCTTGCAGTGAGCCGAGATTGCGCCACTGCACTCCAGCCTGGGCGACAGAGCGACTCCGTCACAAAAAATAAAAATAAAAATACATAAAAATAATTTCTGACGGGGCGCGGTGGCTCACGCCTGTAATCCCAGCACTCTGGGAGTCCGAGGCGGGCAGATCACCTGCGGTCAGGAGTTCGAGACCAGCCGGGCCAACATGCTGAAACAGTCTCTACTAAAAATACAAAAATTAGCCGAGAGTGGTGGTACGCGCCTATAATCCCAGCTACTTGGGAGGCTGAGGCAGGAGAATAGCTTGAACCAGGGAGGCAGAGGTTGCAGCGAGCCGAGATCGCACGGCTCCACTCCATCCTGGTAGACAGAGGGAGACTCAAAATAAATAATACAAATAAGTAAATAAAATAAAAATAGTGTCTGATTCTGCAAAGGAGAGGAACAGACTCTGAATTGTGATGGCTCCAATAAGGATAAAGCAGTCTCTGGAGAGCTGCCTGAACAGCCAGACAACCCAGCTCTTAGGCTTCTCCCAAATCTTTAACAGCATTTCCTTAACTGTGGTAGATGCAGGCTCCTGGAACCAGAGGCCTAGGGTCCAGACGAAATTGTTAAGATGTTCCCTATAAAACGCTTCCTTAAGTCGGCAACAGAATGAACTGTTAAGAGAGCTGTCCTGAAATACAGACCCCTGAGGTCCAGACATGTTGGAGGAGAGCCCTCTCTTTTTGCAGCACGGACTGGGCCAGAGAGGTATAGCCTGCAAGATGAATTTCAGTATGTGTAACTGCTGGGGTGATGATTGCAAGTAATCTAAGTTTGAGATGTTGATTGTGTGGAATAAGATAGTGACAAGAAGCATGGAAAGAAAACCATAACATTTAATATGCAAATTAAATGATTGATTTGAGAAATACTTGTTTATCAGATACCGTGCTAGGCACTGAAAATATAGAACTGGATAAAACAAATTCAGTCTCTAACGGAATTTACAGTCTAGGAGGATGGGTGGGCAACAGACAATAAAAACGTTAAAAAATAAAAGAACAAGGAAACTTTATATAGTAAAAAATTCTATGAAGAAAATAAAACAGCTTGAGGTTGATGTGATGGGAGGTTGGTGAGTGAAAGAAGGGATGGTGTGTTGGTTTCCTAGGGCTGCCACAACAAATTGAATATCAGGTTTTCATCTGTCTATTCATTTTTTCAATAAATTAAGTTGCACCAGTAGAAGGATACTGTCCCACGAGGGAATTGAGGTCAGAAGAACTCGGAGAAAACAGCAAGCCCACTGGAAAGAGATGATACTCATAAGAAGAACTAAAAGAGATTTACTAGAACTTGATAAGCCGTCGGGACAAAGAGAGCTGAGACTTCGTCTGTCTGACAACATATGCCGGGCCCGGCAATTATAGAGATAATTGTATACTGAACAAATAGGGTTATTTGTGGAAGTTGGGGACAAAATGGCAGCTGCCCCCTCTGAGGTTCGAACTCAGGACCTTCAGATTATGAGACTGACGCGCTGCCTACTGCGCTAAGGAGGCAGACAACTAGTGCTCCTCAGCAGGTGTTTTCAACACTGATTTTTACCTTATTTAAACATTTTTGTCTACATTACCTTTATTTTAAATTTCTAAAATAAAATATTCTTATGAAACTTCTCAAAGCTCACCAGCTTCCAAAACCTGAATCAGATGAAGAAAGTCGCTGCTGATCCCGCTGCTTTTGCCCCTCTTATTCTGAACTGATGACCCCCCACTTCTCACCTTAGGTGGAAAATTTCCAAAACGTCCTGTCCAGAAACCTGACAATTAACCTGCACGGGCGTCCATCCATTTTGTCTGGAGAGATCAGGAAAACGGCCTGTTTTTCTCTCTCCCTCCATACCGGTTCTTTCCCGCAGGAAAAGTGATCCGGTGTTTCCCATCCGGAAGCATTGAAGCGTTTACTATCTTAAACAACAAAACAATGTCCTTTGACAGGCGTCTCCACCTGTCGCTATCTCATGTGCTCAAACGTCTTGTAAGGCCGTCTTAATGTACAGCAAACTTCTTGTAAGGCCGTCTTAATGTACAGCAAACTCCTTGTAAGGCCGTCTGTTTTAAAAAAATACCTCCCTAAGTCCCACTGGCTTTTCAACCCACTGCAGTCTTCCCCAATCACGTCTCCGTCTCGGTCTTGAGGAAGTCCAAAGGGATTTGGACAAATGCAACTTCATGGGGTAAAGAATATGGCGCTCTTGGTGCAAACTCTTGGGCATCTGCTAGGATGTGAGAACGGTAGTAATAGCAGGAAGGGGTGAAAAGCTTGTCTTCTCCACTGTCTTTGTTTGCCAGGGGATTGTCTGGAGTTTAGCACTCAAAGACCCACTTCCCAGGAAAACCCTACCTGGGATGTGAAAAGTCCGGGCTTTCGGTTTTTGGCGATAGGTTGGAGAGAATATATACACACAAAAAGTGACAACCCCATCCTTGTTCCCACCCCTGCCCCAGGGCCGAAAGCAACACTGATTTTATTGCCAATGGATAATAGGGTTTAGGTTATCCCACTTTTGTAGTTGTCGCCGTTTTTCCCCTGTCCGCTGATGGTGACAACCTTGCACCGTGCATCGCTCTGAGTGAGGCGACTTAAATGCGCGATGTTACCGTTTTCAGCCGTGACCGTAGCACTCGGTCTTTGACTGTAGACTGTTGTGTCTACATAGTGCTAGTTTGTATTGCTAGTTTAATTTTTTTTTTTTTTTTTGAGACGGAGTTTCGTTCTTGTCGCCCAGGCTGGAGGGCAACGGCGTGATCTTGGGTCACTGCAACAGCTGCCTCCAGGGTTCAAGCGATTCTCCTGCCTCAGCCTCCCGAGTAGCTGGGATTACAAGCCTGCACCACCACGCCCGGCTAATTTTTTGTATCTTTAGTAGAGACGGGGTTTCACCATGTTGGCCAGGCTATTCTGGAACTGCTGACCTCAAGTGATCCGCCCGCCTCGACCTCGCAAAGTGCTGGGATTACAGGCCTGAGCCACCGCGCCCGGCCTTAGTTTAATTTTTAACATTGTGAATATTATGGCCAGATTTTTAGAGTTTAGATAACGAAAACGAGAACGATTATCATGCGAACGCCAGCATAACCCAGATAGCACTGAAAAAGTCTAAGTAGACTGTTACTTCAATGACAGATAGAAGGACACATACAACCGGATTTGGAGAATAAATAATCAAAACGGAGCATACTACGCAATATTCAAAACAGATTTGGATGTGAAAGTACACAGGGAGACGGCATCTCTCAAGTCTGGGATGAGACAGGCAAGAACTTCTGAACCAATCAAAAGTGTTTTTGTCTCCCAAAAGTGACACCAGCGCTCTGTAGAGAATAGCATTGGGCTTGCTTACAAGGAGACCTTAAAAAAAGTTAAAATTAAATAAAAGAAAATGGTATTGGGCAGAATATTAGAAAAGAACACGCATTATTTTATGGCTTCCTTAATTACTCTATTTCCTGATTCAGAGGTTGCATCTCGTGGGTGAACAAGAGGAAATTCTGATACCACATATTGGTCTCTTGCAGTGTACAGCTGATTCTATCAGACGACCTTGCTCTCTACAACATAATGATGTGTCAAATCCACCTCAACCATTAAAAAAAAAGTTTCCCTTAGCTCTTACATACTTTGATTTGAAACATGATGTTGAAAATCATCTTTCCTGGTATGCATGAAGACTTAATGAAACCACTTGAAGCATAAACAATCATTGATATGTTGGTCAACTACAAGTTAGATCTTGCTCATCTATCTGCATATTTGGCAGACAGTGCAAATGTAAATTTTGGCAAATTCCATTCAGACTATAAACTTTCTACCAAAGAAAATGAAAAGATCTTACATGTGACGTGTTCTGCACATGTTGTTCACAACACTGCTAAGAGGCCGGGCGTGATGGCTCACGCCTGTAATCCCAGCACTTTAGGAGGCCAAAGCTGGTGGATCACCTGAGGTCAGGAGTTTGAGACCAGCCTGGCTAACATGGTGAAACCCCGTTTCTACTAAAAATACAAAAAATCAACGGGGTGTGGTGGCACATGCCTGTAATCCCAGCTACTCGGGAGGCTGAGGCAGGAGAATCACTTGAACCCCAGAGGCAGAGGTTGCAGTGAGCCGAGATCGTACCATTGCACTCCAGCTTGGGCAACAAGAGCGAAACTCCGTCTCAAACAAAACAAAACAAAACAAACAACACTGCTAAGAAGGATTGTGATTTGTTTACTGGTGATATTGAGGCTTTCATGGCTTAATGAGATTTATGGTCACTTTTTAGTTTCCTCAAAATGTGCAGAAACAATAAGAATTTTCACTTTATAGAAACGAAAGGAGGTAGCCTCCTTAGAAATGTCTAAAGTTGACTATAATTATTGCTGGCCATAGGATAGATGTTAAAATGTTTACTTGGTGTAAAATCATATTTTCAAAATGTGGGACAAGAGGAATGCTATTCTCTAATTTGACAATATTTTAAGAGTGAGAATGGAGAAAAGAACTACCGTAAAACAGAAATTTATACTTTCATTTGTTTGACGTTGTCGAAGAACAAAATTTCAACACACTTAGGTTAAAGATCAGATCAACTTTTATTGGCAATTCATGAATCAGGCAGCATCTCATCTACAAAATAGGAAGGTGCTCTGACGAGGAGATGAGGTTATAGGTAGAAAAGGCTGAAGAAACTACAAACAAGGAACAATAGGTGGATTGGTAATTACAAAGTGACTGTCCTTGTAAGGTTAAAGCAGAGGATACTTCCTTAACATGCTGGCTGAGGTAGTCTGGACCCTTTTCTACTGGTTATTGTGAATCTCCTGTTTTTTGGAAAACTGGCCTGTTTTAAATTTCAGTTTGATTACTTGGCACCCTGCACAAAGGGCTCCCTTCTGGTTTGGTCTGGTCTGTTGGAGCCTAATGCAGGAGTTCATTCCAAAACAATAGCCTCCCATTAATTTTAACAATGTTATGTTATGTAGATTGTGACATAAAGATTCATACACTAAGAAAAGATTCTTTTTTTAAAAAAAAAAGACTGCTTCAGAATGCAAGTTAAATAGGACTTTATCAATCTCTTGCTAAAAATACAATTTATTTGGAATCCAAGCTTTGTTTCCCAAATTTATCATTTATTTATTTCATTTTATTTATTAATTTTTTTGAGATGGAGTCTCCCTCTGTTGCCCAGGCTGGAGTGCTGTGGTGCGATCTCAGCTCGCTGCAACAGTCTGCTATTGCTAGTAAGTAAAATACCGAGTATTCAATGCTCAAATGCTTTTGTTGAGAGGATATTTAGTGTGATTTTATCACACTAGAATGATACCAGGAATCTAAGTAATATGGGCTTGATAAGAGCAGAGCTGCAATTCAAAGTGAATTTTACCTTTGACTGTATTCAGTATTACCACTATATAAAAGAAAATAAAGATGTCTTAAATGTTGCAGACAGGTCACAGAAAGAATATTGGAAAAAGAAACAGAAAGGGTAAAGATACTCGATTGTTTCATGCGACAGAAAGAAATGTCATTATTTTTTATTAAATATAGGTAATATCTGCTTAAGTAGTTTTATTGTAGTTATGTTCTTCTTTTACATTCTTGTTGTATTTTACGTTTTTGTATTTATGTTTTTCATTTATTAATGCGCCTTAAAGTTGAAATAATATAGCCTATGAGACTTAAATATCCAATAGTTTTAAAAAGTTAAAATAAATCACTACATAAGAGAACAGATAGAAATACTAAAAACATATTGTTATATTTTTCCCAAACATATTATTTATGTAATTAGTCCTATTATAAATTACTTCTAATTGCCATTATTAACTACTCCTATTGAGAGGTGACAGCATGCTGGCAGTCCTCAGAGCCCTCGCTTGCTCTCGGCACCTCCCCTGCCTGGGCTCCCACTTTGGTGGCATTTGAGGAGCCCTTCAGCCCCCCCACTGCACTGTGGGAGCCCCTTTCTGGGCTGGCCAAGGCTGGGGTCCACTTCCTCAGCTTGCAGGGAGGTGTGGACGGAGAGGCACGAGCGGGAACCGGGGCTGTGTGCGGCGCTTGCCGGCCAGCTGGAGTTCCGGGTGGGCGTGGGCTTGGTGGGCCCCGCACTCGGAGCAGCCAGCCAGCCCTGCTGGCCCCGGGCAATAGGGAACTTAGCACCTGGGCCAGTGGCTGCGGAGGGTGTACTGGGTCCCCAGCAGTGCCAGCCCACCAGTGCTGTGCTCGATTTCTCGCTGGGCCTTAGCTGCCTTCCCACGGGGCAGGGCTCGGGACCTGCAGCCCACCATGCCTGAGCCTCCCATCCACTCCATGGGCTCCTGTGCGGCCCGAGCCTCCCGGACGAGCACCACCCCCTACTCCATGGTGCCCAGTCCCATGGACCACCCAAGGGCTGAGAAATGCGAGCACAGGGCGCAGGACTGGTAGCCAGCTCCACCTACAGCCCCGGTGCAGGATCCTCTAAGTGAACCCAGCTGGGCTCCTGAGTCTGGTGGGGATGTGGAGAGTCTTTATATGTAGCTCAGGATTGTAAATACACCAATCAGCACCCTGTGTTTAGCTCAAGGTTTGTGAGTGCACCAATCGACACTCTGTATCTAGCTGCTCTGGTGAGGACGTGGAGAACCTTTATGTCTAGCTCAGGGATTGTAAATACACCAATCGGCACTCTGTATCCAGCTCAAGGTTTGTAAACACACCAATCAGCACCCTGTGTTTAGCTCAAGGTTTATGAGTGCACCAATCGACACTCTGTATCTAGCTGCTCTGGTGAGGATGTGGAGAACCTTTATGTCTAGCTCAGAGATTGTAAATACACCAATCGGCACTCTGTATCTAGCTCAAGATTTGTAAACACACCAATCAGCACCCTGTGTTTAGCTCAAGGTTTGTGAGTGCACCAATCGACACTCTGGCTGCTCTGGTGGGGCCTTGGAGAACCTGTGTGTCAAAACTCTGTATCTAACTAATCTGTTGGGGAGGTGGAGAACCTTTGTATCTAGCTCAGGGATTGTAAACGCACCAATCAGCGCCCTGACAAAACAGGCCACTGGGCTCTACCAATCAGCAGGATGTGGATGGGGCCAGATAGGAGAATAAAAGCAGGCTGCCCGAGCCAGCATTGGCAATCCTCTCGGGTTCCTTTCCACATTGTGGAAGCTTTGTTCTTTCGCTTTTTGCAATAAATCTTGCAACTGGTCACTCTTTGGGTCCATGCTGCTTTTGTGAGCTGTAAGACTCACCGTGAAGATCTGCAGTTTCATTCCTGAGCCCAGCAAAACCACGAGCCTACTGGGAAAAACAAACAACTCCAGATGCGCTACCTTAAGAGATGTAACACTCACTATGAAAGTCTGCAGCTTCACTCCTGAGCCAGTGAGACCACGAACCCACCAGAAGAAAGAAACTCCGAACACATCTGAACATCAGAAGGGGCAGACTCCAGACCCACCACCTTAAGAGCTGTAATGCTCACCGTGAGGGTCCGTGGCTTCATTCTTGAAGTCAGTGAGACCAAGAACCTACCAATTCTGGACACACCATTATTGTTTTGTTTAAGTAATAACAGTTTTGCAATGGAGAAACAAATATTGCAGAATAATATATAATTTCAAACATCTATTTTTAAAATTTGATGTCAAAGTAATACATGCATTTATTATATAATTGTTGGATTTTTTTTTTGTGGGGGTGGAAAGGTTTGGTATGGCTATGTCTCAGTTGGCTCCCTAAAAAGTTGAACAGCAACAGCAACTGGTTCACCAGTTTGGGGAAACACTATTTATGAAAAGAATAAAGAATTAAGAGGTCTCAGTGAGCTTCAAGGACAACGTCTGGCTTAACAGATAAAAATGGATGGTTTGATAGATAATAATGGTTTATAGGTGATTGGAGGTAACAGGATGATTGCCAATGGCTTTTCCTTCTTTTCAGATACTTATTCTTTGGGTCATGAAACTGCTTCTGCCTGAATAATAAAACAATTTTAGCAACACTGAAGGAAGTTATTATTTCCTTTCTGCTGTGAAAAAAGATTAAAAGAGGTCATCTCATAAACTTGAGGCTGGTATACTTGAGGTCTTTCATTAACATTCAAGGATTTAATATTTGTGAAAGAAGACCCTCAGGGGTCTAATGAGGAACATGTTGTTTTTTTTTAAATTTATTTTTATTATTTATTTATTTATTTATTTATTTTGAGATGGAGTCTTGCTCTGTTGCCCAGGCTGGAGTGCAGTGGAGCCATCTTGGCTCACTGCAAGCTCCGCCTCCCGGGTTCACGCCATTCTCCTGCCTCAGCCTCCCAAGTAGCTGGGACTACAGGCGCCCGCCACCACACCTGGCTAATTTTTTTGTATTTTTAGTAGAGACGGGGTTTCACCGTGTTAGCCAGGATGGACTCGATCTCCTGACCTCGTGATCCACCTGCTTCGGCCTCCCAAAGAGCTGGGATTACAGGCGTGAGCCACTGCGCCTGGTCGGAATGTGTTTTCATGAAGGGGGAATATCAACTGGGCCAAATGACATTGAGAGGCTGAGCAAATTGAAGCCTGAAAATTGAACATTGGGAGAGCATTGGGAACATTATGGCAGACGGGAGACAGGACTAGATTGCACCTCTTACTTCAATGGACGGAGCAGCGTGTGGAGGCCCTCATCATGAATTTTAACTCCAGAACGACTTCAGGAATAAATCCGGAAACCCGAGAGGACCCACGGACCCTCTGAAGGAAGCAGATTGCTCCTGTAGGACCTGGGAGACACCTCAAATACTGTGAGTGCCCAAACTGTGGAAGTGAGAAAGGGAGATCCTCCGCCCCCGAGCACACACCCCCACTGGGGAAACTGAAGGTCTACTTTACGGGAGAAGATTCTGAATTTATCTGGAGCTGAGTCAATTTAGAGAGCCAAGGGAAATACAGGGGTAGAGGAATCAATTGGACAGGCCCTGTGAGCTTGCTGGGTCCCCAAGTAGGCCACTCCTGCTGGCATCACAGGGATCCTTTGGGAGGGCAGCCAGAGGCACAGGGAAAATGGCACAGGAAGAAGGAAACCTCCAGCTGAGCTTTGTAACAATTTGAACTAGTCAAGAAACCTCATGGCCAGAACTTGGGGGAGGGCATGAATCCAGCATGCAGACTCCACAGGTAGGGGAAGAACTAAAACCCTACTTTCTTTCACAGCTGGGAGGCGGGTAGCCTGGGGCAAATTCTCAACTCTTCTTGCCCACTGCCTGGAAACAGATTTGGTGCTGTTAGGGGAGGCACAGTGGGAGTGAGACTGGCCCTTCAGATTGCATGGGAGCTGGGTGAAGCCTGTGACTGCTGGCTCTCCCCCACTTCCCTGACAACCTACATGACTCAGCAGAGGCAGCCAAAATCCTTCTAGGTACATAACTCCATTGACCTGGGAACCTCCCCTCCTCCACAGCAACCGCAGCAAGACCCACCCAAGGAGAGTCTGAACTCAGACACGCCTAGCCCTGCCCTCACCTGATGGTCCTTCTTTACCCACCCTGATAACTGAACACAAAGGGCATATACCCTTGGGAGTTCTAGGGCCCTGCCTACCGCTGGTTCATCTCCATACTACCACAGTTGATGTTCTCTGGAAAGTGCCACCTACCAACAGGAGGCCAACCAGCACAAAAATAGAGCATTAAACCACCAAAGCTAAGAACCGTCACGGAGTCCATTTCACACCCTGCCACCTCCACTGGAACAGATGCTGGTATCCAAGGCTGAGAGACCCATAGATGGTTCACATCACAGGACTCCGTGAAGACAACCCCCAGTACCAGCTCACAGCCTGGTAGACTTGCTGGGTGGCTAGATCCAGAAGAGAGATAACAATCATTACAGCTTGACCCTCAGGAAGCCACATCCATAGGAAAATGGGGAGAGTACTACATCAAGGCAACACCCTGTGGGACAAAAGAATCTGAACAACAGTTTTAGCCTTAGACCCTCCCTCTGACAGAGCCTACCCAAATGAGAAGGAACCAGAAAACCAACTCTGGTAATATGACAAAACAAGGCTCTTTAACAACCCCCAAAAATCACACTAGCTCACTAGTAATGGATCCAAACCAAGAAGAAATCCCTGATTTACCTGAAAAAGGATTCAGGAGGTTAGTTACTAAGCTAATCAGAGAGGCACCAGAGAAAGGTGAAGCCCAACACAAAGAAATCCAAAAAATGATACAAGAAGTGAAGGGAGAGACCAGGTGCAGTGGTTCATACCTGTAATCCCTGGGAGGCTGAGGTGGGCAGATCATTTGAGGTCAGGAGTTTGAGGTCAGCCTGGCCAACATGGTGAAACTCCATCTTTACTAAAAATACAAAAATTACCTGGGTGTGGTGGCGTGCACCTGTAATGCCAGCTACTTGGGAGGTTGAGGCAGGAGAATCACTTGAACCTGGGAGGCGGAGGTTGCAATGAGCTGAGATCATGTCACTGCACTCCAGCCTGAGCAACACAGTGAGACTTCGTCTCGAAAAAAAAAAAAGTGAAGGGAGAAATATTCAATGAAGCAGATAGCATAAATAAAAAACAATCAAAACTTCAGGAAACATTGGACACATATATAGAAATGCAAAATGCTCTGGAAAGTCTCACCAATAGAATTGAACAAGTAGAATAAGGAAATTCAGAGCTTGAAGGCAAGGTCTTTGAATTAAACCAATCCAACAAACACAAAGAAAAAAGAAAAAGAAAATATGAACAAAGCCTCCAAGAAGTCTGGGATTATGTAATGACCAAACCTAAGAATAATTGGCGTTCCGGAGTAAAAAGAGAAATCTAAAAGTTTTGAAAACGTATTTGGGGGAATAATCGAGGAAAACTTCCCTGGTCTTGCTAGAGGCCTAGACATCCAAACACAAGAAGCACAAAAAACACCTGGAAAATTCATCACAAAAAAGATCATTGCCTAGGCACATTGTCATCAAGTTATCTAAAGTTAAGGCAAAGGAAAGAATCTTCAGAGTTGTGAGACAAAACCACCAGGTAACCTATAAAGGAAAACCTTCAGATTAACAACAGATTTCTCAGCAGAAACCTTACAAGCTAGAAGGGATTGGGGCCCAACATTCAGCCTCCTCAAACAAAACAATTATCAGCCAAGAATTTTGTATCCTGCAAAACTAAGCATCTTATATGAAAGAAAGATAGTCTTTTTCAGACAAACCAATGCTGAGAGAATTTGCCACTACCAAGCCACCACTACAAGAACTGATAAAAGGTTCTCTAAATCTTGGCCAGTCGCGGTGGCTCACACCTGTAATCCCAGCACTTTGGGAGGCCGAGGCGGGTGGATCACCAGGTCAGGAGATCGAGACCATCCTGGCTAACACGGTGAGACCCCCGTCTCTACTAAAAATACAAAAAATTAGCCAGGTGTGGTGGCGGGCACCTGTAGTCCCAGCTACTCGGGAGGCTGAGGCAGGAGAATGGCGTGAACCCAGGAGGCAGGGCTTGCAGTGAGCCGAGATGGCGCCACTGCACTCCAGCCTGGGCGACAGTGCAATACTCCGTCTCAAAAAGAAAAAAAAAAAAGCGGAGGAAAACGGCATTTCATTCAAACGGACAATAAAATTGAGCAGGCGTAGCTATTCTTATATCAGACAAAACAAACTTTAAAGCAACAGCAGTTAAAAAAGACAAAGAGAGACATTATATAATGGTAAAAGGCCTTGTCTAACAAGAAAATATCACAATCCTAAACATGTGTGCACCTATGATTGAAGCTCCCAAATTTATAAAACAATTACTTAATAGCCCTAACAAATGAGATAGATGGCAACACAATAATAGCGAGGGACTTCAATACTCCACTGACAGTACTAGACAGGTCATCAAGACAGAAAGTCAGCAAAGAAACAATGGATTTAAACTATACCTTGGAACAAATGGACTTAACAGATATATACAAAACATTCCATTCAACAACTGCAGAATACACATTCTATTCAACAGCACATGAAACTTTCTCCAAGATAGACCATATGATAGGCCACAAAATGAGGCTCAATAAATTTAAGAAAATTCAAATTATATGAAGCACTCTCTCAGACTACAGTGGAATAAAACTGGAAATCAACTCCAAAAGGAACCTTCAAAACCATGCAAATACATAGAAATTAAATAAGCTGCTCCTGAATGAACATTAGGTCAAAAATGAAATCAAGATGGAAATTAAAAAATTCCTTGAACTGAACGACAATAGTGACAACCTATTAAAACCTCTGGGAAACAGCAAAGGCAGTGCTAAGAGGAAAGTTCATAGCCCTAAACACCTACATCAAGAAGACTGAAAGAACACAAACTGACAACCTAAGGTCACATCTCAAGGAACTGGAGAAACAAGAACAAACCAAACCCAAACACAGCAGAAGAAAGGAAATGACCAAGATCACAGCAGAACTAAATGAAATTGAAACAAACAAACAAAAAAATACAAAAGATAAATAAAACAAAAATCTGGTTCTTTGAAAAGATAAAATTGATAGACCTTTAGCAAGATTAACCAAGAAAAGAAGAGAGAAAATCCAAATAACTTCAATAAAAAATGAAATGGGAGATATTACAGCTGACACCACAGAAATACAAAAGATCATTCAAGGCTGCTATGAATACCTCTATACACATAAACTAGAAAACCTGGAAGAGATGGATAAATTCTTAGAAAGATGCAACCCTCCTAGCTTAAATCAGGAAGAATCAGATACACTGAACAGACAAATAACAAGCAGCGAGATTAAAATGATAACTACAAAATTACCAGGCCAAGCTGGGCATGGTGGCTTATGCCTGTAATCCCAGAATTTTGAGAGGCTGAGGTGAGTGGATCACCTGACATCAGGAGTTCGAGACCAGCCTGGCTAACATGGGGAAACCCCATCTCTACTAAAAATACAAAAAATTAGCTGGGTGTGGTGGTGGGTACCTGTAATCCCAGCTACTTGGGAGGCTGAGGCAACATAATCGCTTGAACCCAGGAGGCAAAGGTGTAGTAAGCCGAGGTCACACCATTGCACTCCAGCTTGGGCAACAAGAGTGAGACTCCGTCTCAAAAAAAAAAAAAACAAAAAAAAAATTACCAGGTCAGGCATGGTGACCCATGCCTGCAATCTCTTTGGGAGGCCAAGGCGGGTGGATCACCTGAGGTCAGGAGTTGGAGACCAGCCTGGCCAATATGGTGAAACTCTGTCTTTACTAAAAATACAAAATTAGCCGGTGGTGGTGGCGGGCCCCTGTAATCCCAATTACCTGGGAGTCTGAGGCAGAAGAATCCCAATTATCCAGGAGGCGAGGCTGCAGTGAGCCGAGATCATGCCACTGCACTCCAGCCTGGGTGACCGAGCGAGACTCCGTCTAAAAAAGACAAACAAACAAAAAACATTATCAACAAAAGAAGTTCAGTACCAGATGGATTCACAGCAGAATTCTACCAGACATTCAAAGAAGAATTGGTACCAATCCTATTGACGCTATTCCACAAGATAGAGGATGAGGGAACCCTCCCTAATTCATTCTATGAAGCCGGTATCACCCTAATACCAAAACCAGGAAAGGACATAACCAAAAAAGAAAACTACAGACCAATATCCCTGATGAACATAGATGCTCAAATCCTTAACAAAATACTAGCTAACCGAATCCAACAACATATCAAAAAGATAATCCACATTGATCAAGTGGGTTTCATACCAGGATGCAGGGATGGTTTAACATACACAAGTATGTGTGCAATAAATGTGATACACCACATAAACAGGGTTAAAAACAAAAATTACACAATCATCTCAATAGATGCAGAAAAAGCATTCAACAATATCAAGCATCCTTTTATGATTAAAATTCTTAGCAAAATCGGGATACAAGGGACATACCTCAACGTAATAAAAGCCATCTATGACAAACCTACATGCAACATAATCTGAATGGGGAAAAGTTGAAAGCATTCCCTCTGAGAACTGAAACAAAACAAGGATACCCACTGTCACCACTCCTCTTCAACATAGTACTGAAAGTCCTAGCCAGAGCAATCAGATAAGAGAAAGGAAGGGCATCCAAATCAGTAAAGAGGAACTCAAACTGTCACTATTTGTTGATGATATGATTGTTTACCTTGAACACCCTAAAGACTCCTCCAGAAAGCTCCTAGAATGGATAAAAGAATTCAGTAGTTTCTGGATATAAAATTAATGTACGCAAATCAGTAGCTCTTCTATACAGCAACAGCAACCAAGTGGAGAATCAAATCAAGAACTCAACCCCGTTTACAATAGCTGCAAAAACAATTAAAATACTTAGAAATATACCTAACCAAGGAGGAGAAAGACCTCTACAAGTAAAACTACAAAACACTGCTGAAAGAAATCATAGACAACACAAACAAATGGAAACACAACCCTTGCTCATGGGTAGAATCAATATTGTGAAAATGATCAAACTGCCAAAAGCAATCTATAAATTCAATACAATTCCCATCAAAATATCACCATCATTCTTCACAGAATTAGAAAAAAAAATCCTAAAATTCATATGGAATGGAAAAAGAGCCCACATAGCCAAAGCAAGACTAAGCAAAAAGAACAAATCTGGAGGCATCACATTATCTGATTTCAAACTATACTATAAGGCCATAGTCACCAAAACAGCATGGTACAGGTATAAAAATAGGCACATAGACCAATGGAACAGTAGAGATCCCAGAAATAAACCCAAATACTTACAGCCAACTGATCTTCCACAAAGCAAACAAAAACATAATATGGGGAAAGGACACTCTTTTCAACAAATGTGCTGGGATAATTGGCTAGTCACATGTAGGAGAATGAAACTGGATCCTCATCTCTCACCTTATACAAAAATCAACTCAAGATGGATTAAGGACTTAAATCTAAGACCTGAAACTATAAAAATTCTGGAAGATAACATTGGAAAAACCCTTCTAGACATTGGCTTAGGCAAGGATTTCATGCCTAAGAACCCAAAAACAAATGCAATAAAAACAAAGATAAATAGTTGGGACTTAATTAAACTAAAGAGCTTTTTCACAGCCAAAGGACAGTCAGCAGAGTAAACAGACAACTCACAGAGTGGGAGAAAATCTTCACAATCTATACATCTGACAAAAGACTAATATCCATAATCTACAATGAACTCAAACAAATCAGTAGGGAAAAGAAACAAACAATCCCATCAAAAAGTGGGCTAAGGACAGGAATAGACAATTCTCAAAAGAAGATATCCAAATGGCCAGCAAACATATAAAAAATGCTCAACACCACTAATGATCAGGGAAATGCACATCAAAACTACAATGTGATACCACCTTACTCCTGCAATAATGACCATAATCAAAAAAATCAAAAAACAGTAGATGTTGGTGTGGATGCGGTGATCAGGGAACACTTCTACACTGCTGGTGGGAATGTAAACTAGTACAACCACTGTGGAAAACAGTGGGGGAGATTTCTTAAAGAACTAAAGTAGAGCTACCCTTTGATCCAGTAATCCCACTACTGGGTATCTACCTAGAGGAAAAAAAGTCATTAAACAAAAAAGATACTTGAACATGCATGTTTATAGCAGCACAATTCACAATTGCAAAATTGTGGAGCCAACTCAAATGCCTGTCAATCAATGAGTGGATAAAGAAACTGTGGTATATATATACAATGGAATACTACTTAGCAATAAAAAGGAATGAATTAATGGCATTTGCAATGACCTGAATGGGATTGGAGACTATTCTTCTTTTTTTTTTTTTTTTTTTTTTTTTTTTGAGACGGAGTCTGTCTCTGTCCCCAGGCTCAAGTGCAGTGGCATGATCTCGGCTTGCTGCAACCTCTGCCTCCTGGGTTCAAGTGATTCTCCTGCCTCAGCCTCCCAAGTAGCTGGAATTACAGGCGCCTAACACTATGAATGGCTAATTTTTGTATTTTAGTAGATACAGGGTTTCACCTTGTTGGCCAAGCTGGGTTTGAACTGCTGACCTCAGGTGATCTGCCTGCCTCGGTCTCCCAAAGTGCTGGGATTACAGGTGTGGGCCACTGTGCCTGACCTTGGAGACTATTATTTTAAGTGAAGTAATTTAGGAATGGAAAACGAAACATGATATGTTCTCACCAATAAGCTATGAGGATGCAAAGGCATAAGAATGATACAATGGACTTTGGGGGAAGGGTGGGAGGAGAGTGAGGAATAAAATACTACAAATAGGGTGCAGTGTATACTTCTCGGGTGATGGGTGCACCAAAATCTCACAAATCACCACTAAAGAACTTACTCGTGTAACCAAACGCCACCTGTTCCCCAATAACTTATGGAAAAATTCATAAATAAATAAATTAGTTAATTATGAAAAAGAAAACTAACCATTGGATCTAGCAAGATGGAGGTTGCTGGGATTTGACAAGGAAGTTTCAGTGGAATGGAGGGGAGGAAACCTTGGTTTAGAGTGTGACAAAGAAAGGAGCGCAGTTAGGAGTATTCTCTATTCATTCACCTATTCATATTCAGATACGCCTTTGCAAAGATTATCACAGTGAGAGAAATCTAACATGGCTCACTCCATCTTGCTTCTTTCTACCTTCACAGGCTGATCATCCTCACTCATTCTTAGGTGTAGGCCAAGCTAACCATTGGAGGAATTTAGTTTATAGTTTAAGTTGGAAGCAAAGATGATAATATCCCTCCTTGTTTGGGGTGCTAAAACTGCCTTTGTAAGACAAATGAAAGACCATAAAATTAGGATTCTGAAAGGGGCCTGAATTCTGCTAAAATGTAGGTATAGTTTCTATAATCCCTTACGGCTCAGGAGTCATGTGGTCAGAGGTCACATGATCTGTGACTTCTCCAGTTGTTCCTATAGATAACATCACTATATAGATCCTAAGATTGGTCTTAAAGATGCTTTTCAGACTTTTGTATTCTACCAACCGACTGACCCCACCTGGATTTGGGACTCACAACTCAACTGATCCTATACCTCCCTCCAACCCTCCACGAGAGGTGAACTCAGCACATGAGGACCGTTTTCCACACCCCTGTGATTGCATCCCCAACCAATCAGCAGCACTCATTCCTTTGTTCCCTGCCCACCAAACTATCCTTGAAAAACCCTAACTTCTAAACCTTCAGGAAGACTGATTTAAGCAATAACTCCATCTTCCACGTGGCTGGCCTTGTGTTAATTAAACTGGTTTTTTTGTTTGTTTGTTTGTTTGTTTTTTACCTCCGAACTTCCTATTGGTCTCCTGCGCCCCAGAGGGTACCCTGCTTTTGCCAACTTGATGTCTCAGAACTTTGGTGTCCTTGGTCTCAGACACCACTTTGCCATCCACTCACTATCGGGCGGGTGGTGGTCTTTCGGATGGTTTGCATGGAGTTGCTGCTGTCCAGGGCATCACGAAGGCTGAAGTCCTCGCCATCTTCCAGCAGGCGGCGGTAGGTGGCGATCTCAGCCTCCAGCTTTACCTTGATGTTCAGCAGGGCCTCGCACTCCTGGGCCTGGCGCTATCCGTCTGCCCCGGTCTGTGTCAGCTCTGACTCCAGGTGCAGCAGGATTCCGCTGAGCTGCTCCATCTGCAGGACATAGCGGGCCTCCACCTCCCTCAAGCTGTTCTCCAAGCTGGCCTTCAGATTTCTCATGGAGTCCAGGTCGATCTCCAAGGACTGGACTGTATATCTCTGCTCCGTGAGCGTCATCTCAGCAGCTCCAACACCGATGGACTGCATGGTGACCACTGTGGTGCACTCTCAATCTGCTGAGGCCAGTGCTTGTCTAGCTCCTCTCGGTTCTTCCAAGACAGCTCGTCTTATTGGGCCCAGATGTCTGCCATGATCTTGGCGAGGTCCTGAGATTTGGGGACATCTACCTCCACGGTCAACCCAGAGATGGCAATCTGGGCTTGTAGGCCTTTTACTTCCTCTTCTTGGTTCTTCTTCAGGAAGAGCAGCTCCTCCTTGAGAGCCTCGATCTCTGTCTCCAGCTGCAGCCGAGTGACATTGGTATCATCAATGACCTTGCGGAACCCATGGATGTCGCTCTCCACAGACTAGCGCATGGCCAGCTCTGTCTCACACTCGACTCTGAAGTCAACAGCAGCAAGTCGGGCATTGTCAATCTGCAGAACGATGCGGGCATTGTCCACAGTATTTGATCTGAGCCCCCAGGTCCTCCATGGTCTTGAAGTAATTTGTCCAGTCTCCGACCTGGCGTCCCTTCTTCTCCAGGTGCTCCCGGATTTTGCTCTCCAGCTTCCGGTTCTTGGTCTCCATGCTTCTCACTCTGTCCAGGTAGGAGGCCAGGCGGTCCTTCAGGCTTTGCATGGTCTCCTTCTCGTTCTGGATGCCTCCCATTCCTGCCAGAACCCCAGCCATCCCTGCCGCCAGGCCTCCAGACCCCATGCCGCCCCAGAAGCTGGTGGAGGGGGACGCGGAGATCCGGGAACCAGAGCCCCCGGCGCCTGCATAGACGCTGGCCGCGCTGCAGACTGGCTGGGAACCGTAGCTGGGCGCCTGGACAGAGCCCAGGGACCGGTAGTTGGTGGAGAAGGTGGAGCGAGTGGTGAAGCTCTTGCTGTCCGGGGAGGAGAGCGAGAGGACAGGACTCAGGCTTTGCTGACGACCAATTAAACTCTTAAACGCAATACCACAGTCTCAGTGAAATGATTTTGTCTGTGCAGGGTGGGGGCAGGAAGAACCTGTCTGGTGATTACATGACCAATGATTGTGAGTGAGACAAAGGTTTTGTAAGCTACTAATGCTGATAATTAATCATGAAATTTAAGTTGTGTAAAGAGGGAAGTAAAGATGTAAGGAGAAAGGAGATGCATTAAATAATTTTCCACTGGGCAAAAGAAAATAAGCTGAAAAAACAGAAGGTGATAATCAGTATAAGAGATGATTGAAATTTACATCTTGGGCTTGGTGCCTGCAGTTTAGGTTAATGTCAAGGTCAAGGGTAGTGTGTTTTTCAAAATGTATATTGTGACACCCTTGTGGCACATGAAGTTAATTGAGTGGATCATGAGTAGAATTTTGATTTTAGTGAAAGAGAATGGAATGCAAAATGTCCCAGTGCATTGCAAATAAATAAGAGTTGTGTTGTAACCTATACTTATATTTTTTATTATGGGTTCCACTAAAAAAGTTTGAAAAACAGAATGGGATATTTAGAAATGAAAAAGTCAAGGACCTGGGGGAGACTAATGGCTGAGGGAATGCATGTCCCCCTGCACACCTGAAACCCATTTACTAGACAAGGTTTGGGAAGCTCTTTGGTGTATCCACTATACAGAAAGGGAAGGAAGACACCATGAGTAAGATTTGTTTCTCACGAGTTTCATATATACCTGGAAAAGGTGAGAAGTCATAGAAGCTGGCTTTTGACAGAATAATGCAGGCACATTTACTGAAACCATGATTTTTAAAGCAGGAAGAAATCATAGTTCTCAAATTAAGGAAAGTGAGCATATTTCTTTCTACAAAAAGACTATCTTAGATTTTATGTCGAAATATACTCGTGGTTGGGCATGACGGCTCATGCCTGTAATCCCAGCACTTTGGGAGGCTGAGATGGGTGGATCACTCGGCGTCAGGAGTTCCAGACCAGAGTGGCCAAAGCGGTGAAAATCCATCTCTACTAAAAACACAAAAAATTAGGCTGGGCACAGTGGCTGACACCTGTAATCCCAGCGCTTTGGGAGGCTGAGGCAGGCAGATCACTTGAGATCAGGCGTTCAAGACCAGCCTGGCCAAAATGGTGAGACCCTCCCCCCACCCCCGACTCCGTCTCTACTGAAAATACAAAAATTAGGTGGTGGAAGTTGAAGTGAGCCAAGATCGCCCCACTGCACTCCAGCCTGGGCAACAGAGCAAGACTCTGTCTAAAAAAAAAAAAATATATATATATATATATATACATATACACACACACACACACATATGTGTACATATATATATATTTGTGCTATTATTTTCTTATCCTTTTTTAAATCTTCCCTTTTCTCCTCATTCTCCTTCCTCTTTCCTCCTCAATTTGTGAGATTTCTAAATACAGAGTCAATTCTTTTTGAGCATGTTAAGGAGAGGATTACTATCAAGCACCCCCATCAGCTTTGTAGGCTTCTTTTCACTGGGCTCCAAATTCAGTCTTGCTGACTCTGGTAACTTCAAAACATTTTAGCATGCAATAGCATTTCTTTGTTTTGTTTTGTTTTGTTTTGTTTTTGAGATGGAGTCTTGCTCTGTCGCCCAGGCTGGAGTGCGGTGGCGCGATCTCGGCTCACTGCAAGCTCCGCCTCCCGGGTTCACGCCGTTCTCCTGCCTCAGCCTCCCAAGTAGCTGGGACTACAGGCGCCCACCACCACGCCCGGCTAATTTTTTGTACTTTTAGTAGAGACCAGGTTTCACCGTGTTAGCCAGGATGGTCTTGATCTCCTGACCTCGTGATCCGCCCGCCTCGGTCTCCCAAAGTGCTGGGATTACAGGCGTGAGCCACCGCACCCGGCTAGCATGCAATAGCATTTCTTCATCTGAATGAAATACTGTGTTAAGGCATCAGACTCAAAGTTCGTTATTCTTTTGTTTTCTTATTTTTTCAAATCTCACGTCTTCAGAAGAAAAGTATCATCTTGGAGAAGACTTGCTGCTTCTGATGGCAGGCGACTAGCATCATCACATCTGCATCCTTTTCAATCTTTTCCTCTCTTTTACTTCCCACATCTTATGACCTTTTTTTTTTTTTTTTGAGACGGAGTCTCTCGCTCTGTTGCCCAGGCTGGAGTGCAGTGGCGCGATCTCGGCTCACTGCAAGCTCCGCTTCCCGGGTTCACGCCATTCTCCTGCCTCAGCCTCCCGAGTAGCTGGGACTACAGGCGCCCGCCACCATGCCCGGCTAATTTTTTGTATTTTTAGTAGAGATGGGGTTTCACCATATTAGTCAGGATGGTCTCGATCTCCTGACCTCGTGATCTGCCTGCCTCGGCCTCCCAAAGTGCTGGGATTACAGGCGTGAGCCACCATACCCGCCCTAAGGGAGTGTAATTTTGTCTAGTTCTGAGTTGTTTTTTTGTTTGTTTGTTTTGTTTTTTTTGAGGCGGTGTCTCTCGCTCTGTCGCCCAGGCTGGAGTGCAGTGGCCTGATCTCGGCTCACTGCAAGCTCCGCTTCCCGGGTTCATGCCATTCTCCTGCCTCAGCCTCCCGAGTAGCTGGGACTACAGGCGCCCGCCACCACGCCCGGCTAATTTTTTGTATTTTTAGTAGAGACGGCATTTCACCATATTAGCCAGGATGGTCTCCATCTCCTGACCTCGTGATCCGCCCACCTCGGCCTCCCAAAGTGCTGGGATTACAGGCTTGAGCCACCGCACTCAGCCTGAGGGAGTGTAATTTTGTCTAGCTCTGAGTTGTTTTTGTTTGTTTGTTTTGTTTTGTTTTGTTTTTTTGAGATGGAGTCTCTCGCTCTGTCGCCCAGGCTGGAGTGCAGTGGCCCGATCTCGGCTCACTGCAAGCTCCGCCTCCCGGGTTCAAGCTATTCTCCTATCTCAGTCTCTCGAGTAGCCGGGACTACAGGTGCCGGCCACCATGCTCAGCTAATTTTTGTATTTTTAGCAGGGACGGGGTTTCAGCATGTAGGCCAGGATGGTCTCAATCTCCCGACCTTGTGATCTGCCCACCTCGGCCTCCCAAAGTGCTGGGATTACATACAGGCGTGAGGCACAGCGCCCGGCCCCGTACTTCCCACATCTTATGAATTCTGTGTCTTCAGTTCTTCTGAGTCTGTTTCCTTTATTCTAATACAAGATTACCACCACCGTTTTACATGAGACTTTTTCCCTCCTCTTCCTTCTCCTCTTTCTGTATCTTTCCTGGATTACTGCAACAGCCTCCAGTTTGGTTGATTTGCTTCTAGCCCTGCTTGTCTCCCATTGTTTCTCTATACAGGGAGTCCCACTGGTGCCCTACAAAAAAAGATTTCCAGAGAAGGTGAATGGGGGCTGAAATATGACCTGAGCACTGAGAGCTAAGAGTCCTGGAGAGAGGACTTTTGACATTTTCCCTTTTCTATGCTTCATCAGCCCTGAGGGTTGTCTTTCTGTAATTCATCCACCAAAATGGCTTACTGTGGCATTTTTTTTTTATTTTATTATTATTTTTTTGACACAGAGTCTCACTGTGTTTCCCAGGCTGGAGTGCAGTGGTGGGATCTTGGCTCACCGTTGTCTCTGCTTCCTGGGTTCAAGCCATTCTCCTGCCTCAGCCTCCCGAGTAGCTGGGATTACAGGCATGCGCCACCATGTATTTTTAGTAGAGATGGGGTTTCACCATGTTGGCCAGGCTGGTCTCGAACTTCCGACCTTGGGTGATCCGCCCACCTGGGCCTCCCAAACTGCTGGGATTAGAGGCCTGAGCCACTGCGCCCAGCCTTACTGTTGCATTATTTGCCCAAAGGCACTCTGTGTGCTAGCTGTGGCTCTGCTTCCACAGAACTGGCAAGAAGAGCTTGCAAAAATACCCGTCATACTGACCTCTCTGTTCAGAACACTTTTCTGTCTCTCCATAGCCTTTTAGGGAAAGCTCAAAGTATTTAGTATTGTCAAGATACGGCTCACAGTTTGTTCTTACTTCCTACCAATATACAAGAGACAATTCCAAATGGAGTGATAGACAGAATAATGCTATTTCCACCCAAAAATATGCCCCTTCTAACCCTTGGAAACTGTAAATATGTTAACTTACATGGCAAAGGGACTTTGAGATGTGATTAAGGTTAGGGAACTTGTGATGGAGAGATGATCCTAATCACTAGAGTCTTAAAAGTGGAAAGAGGAAGCAGAAGAGTAGTTCAGGGAGGTGTGATCTGAGGACGCCATCCACCATTGCTGGTTTTAAAGAGCCCAGCAACACAGCAGCCTTTAGAAGCTGGGAGTGGCCATTAGCTTACAGGCAGCAATAAAACAGAGACTTTGATCCAACAACTGCAAACAACTGAATTTTGCCAATAATCTGAATGAGCAGAAAACAGATTCTCCCTTGGGGCCAACAGAAAGGAATGCAGCCTGCCAATACCTTGATTTTAGCACAGTGAGACCATACCAGACTTCTGTCTTAAAAAACTCTAAATAATAAATTTATGTTTTTTATAACCACTACATTTGTGGTAATGTGTTATGACAGCAATAGAAAACTAACACATGTCTTGAAATGCCAGCCGTTTTACTATTTCTTACAATTCTGTGAATAGACTGGGCTTACCTGGGTGATTCTGCTCCACATGATGTCAGTAAGGACTCCATTCCTCTGAAGGCTTGATTGAGCTAGGGATGTTCAAGATGGCTCACTCACATAACTGGCAGTGGCAGTTGATGTTGCTAGGACCTCAGTCAGTTGAGACTGTGACCCACAGTGCCTAGCCATGGCCTTTTCATGTGGCTTGGGTTTCTCATGGCATGGTGACTGGATTCTGAGAGGGAGCATCCCAAGATTTAGCATTCCAGAAAACCAAGTCAGAAGGTGCAAGATTTCACATGGCTTAGCCCTGGAACTGGCACAGTATCACCTCAATGAAATAATTTTGTTAGGTCAGCCAAGATTCACTGTGGGAATGGACTACAAAAGGGTGTAACGACCGAAAAATATGCTGCATTGAGGTCAGTTTTTGGAGACTGTATACTACACAAAGTAACGATTTTTTCCTTTGTAGCCTCATCTTTATCCTTTTTTTTTGTTTTTTTCAGATGGAGTCTCACTCTGTCACCCAAGCTGGAGTGCAGTGGCACAATCTCAGCTCACTGCAACCTCTGCCTCCAGGGTTCAAGCGATTCTCATGCCTCAGCCTCTCAAGTAGCTGGGATTATAGGTGTGTGCCACCACACCTGGCTAATTTTTGTATTTTTAGTGTGTGTCGGTGGCGGGGGGTCTCACCAAGTTGCCAAGGCTGGTCTTGAACTCCTGACCTCAGGTAATCCTCCTGCCTTGGCCTCCCAAAGTGCTGGGACTACAGGCCTCAGCCACTGCTTCATCTTTTTACTTTGGTCCATGAACCTTTGATTTTCTGCTCAGGTCTACTTGAACTAGGAACTAGTAATTTTCCCAGGCATTCATACCTTTTTAGCTTTGCTTCTGTCAGGACTTGATGGTAAAAATTTTTCCATGCCCTTCTTTATGTGCCTAATTATAGCTTATCTTTAAGACATATTTCAGGTAGCACCTCATCCAGTAAGCCATTCTTGTTCAGATTAGGTGCCTGTATTGGTGATCTTGTACACAGTACCCTGCCCTTACACCTATGGAAGAACTTAGGAGTAAATCTTCACTCTCACTGATTTACTTGTCTCTATTCTTTTTTAAAATTTATTTATTTATTTATTTATTTATTTATTTACTTTTTTGAGACGGAGCCTCACTCCGTCGCCCAGGCTGGAGTGCAGTGGCGCGACCTCGGCTTACTGGAAGCTCCGCTTCCCGGGTTCCCACCATTCTCCTGCTTCAGCCTCCCGAGTAGCTGGGACTACAGGTGCCCACCACCACGCCCGGCTAATTTTTTGTATTTTTAGTAGACACAGGTTTTCACCATGTTAGCCAGGATGGTCTCCATCTCCTGACCTCGTGATCTGCCTGCCTCGGCCTCCCAAAGTGCTGGGATTACAGGCGTAAGCCACCAGGCCCGGCCGTCTTCTATTCTTTAACAGGCCATAAGCTCCTTAGAGGAGTGCATTTTGTACTCTCAGATTCCCCAGGTAGACCTACTGTATATGGCACAGAAAAGGGTCTCAGTTAATGTTGGCTGACAGAAGGAGTGATTGAACAATTATCTGTACATATTTACCACTTACACAAGGTGGAAATGCACCCAACATGAAATCGTACAAATGTCATGGCTTCCACCATGGAAAAAATTATGTATGCGTGAGGACAAGAGCTAAAAAACAAGAAAGAAAATGTCTAGAGTCACTTGTGAGGCTGGAACTGTGGTTTTCTTTCTTTCCTTTCTTTCTTTCTCTGTTTCTTTCCTTTCTTTCTTTCTTCCTTTCTTTCTCTTTCTCTCTCTTCTTTCTCTCTCTCTTTCTTTCTCTCTCTTTCTCTTTCTTTCTCTCTCTTTCTTTCTTTCTTTCTTTTCTTTTCATGTTCTAATATTATAATGATGTGACAAGAACTTGTAGAACCATCAGGTCCAAAAGCATCAACAACCTTGTCACTTGCAGCGTGGGCTGCTGATCAGCAACACTGACCTAACCTGGGAGTTTCTCACAAATGCAGAATATCTACACCCCATCCTACACCTACAGCGTTAGAACTCTTCATTTTAGCAAGCTCCCCAGGTGATTTCATATACGTATTGAAGTCTGTGAAACCCACTCAACACAGTCCTTCACTCTTTCCCTTATTAAATTTACAGCTGTTTGTTTAATTGACCTTTTTGTAAAGGTTCCGAGGACAACATAGTAAGGGATGCTCATTCATCTCTCTGCCAGTGCTTTCTGCGGTCTCTTCAGCTAGTTCTATCAGGCACTTCTGGCAATCTGGAGCGGCAGCCGGCTGGGCGGCGAGGAAACCGCTGCACGGATCCCGCCTCCCAGCACACGCAGTCGGCAGTTGCAGCCTCCAAGACCGCGGTGCCACCAAACCAAGCGCCGGACGCGGTGGCGCGCGCCTGTAATCCCAGCTCCCCGGGAGGCTGAGGTCGGCGGATCGTGGGTGCTCGGGGGTTCGGAGCTACGGCGCTGTGTGGAGCGGGCGTCCGCACCGGGCCTGGCACCAACATGGTACTCCCGGGGGAGCCCGGGAGTACCAGGTTGTCTAAGGAGGGGGGGACCAGGCCCAGGCCGGACACGGAGCAGGTCAAACTCCCCGTGTTGGGCGACGGTGGGACCGCGCCTGCGAGCAACGCCTGCAGTTCCGCCCGGGACATCCGACGAGACCCGGTCTCTTTTAACTTCCCTTTTCGGGATTTCTTTTAAAAAATCAACAGCATTATTTCTGCATACCAAGTGAGTTCACTGGTGGGACTGGTATATGCTACCCTTTGCTCGATCTTCCTTTTTTTTTTTTTTACCCCTCAGGGAATGATGATTCATTCAGTCAGTGGGAGCCGGAAGAAACTCGTTAGTGACTTATCATCTTGGAAATTTCTCCATGTTGCACTCTTCCTTTCCCCAAACAACAAGACAGTAGTCTGTTTTGCATTTTGCAAATGCAGTTGCATAAGAATTTAACAAAGACTATTCGCTTGGCCAAACTTTAGTCAGGCTTCTGAATCTTCTGCTAGGCCCATCTGTGCACTTCCTTGTAACGTCCAGTTTTAGCAAAGAACCCTGCCAAGTCAGTTTAGCAAGAACCCCCATATCATCTATGTTTAACCTCCATTTCTGATCAGGCTCCTCATTCTCCACCATCCCCCAGATGATTGATGTCTGATTACCTTGGCCTGTCTTCAGCAAGAATCCTGTTAGGTTTGTTTGGCCAGAATTCCCCTTACCTCTGAGGTTTTCTCTTGGTAATTTCCTGTCCACTGACCAGGACACACTGCTCCTTGGCTATAAATTCCCATTTGCCCATGCTATATTCAGAACTGAGGCCGATCTCTTTCCCTCACTGCAAAACCTCCTTGCAATGGTCCCTTGTGCCTATCCCGATAGTCCTGAATAGTCTTCCTTACATTGCTTTCAGAAGTATCACTAAATAATTTTTTTAAAAAACAAATTGCATGGCATGAGAACTTCATAATCTAAGACAGAGATTTGGAAAAGGTTTGAACTTCCAGCTTTTTCAGGAACTTCCCACATAAAAACCTGTACACAACTATTCTTATCGGATTGGATAAAACACCTAAAGAGACATTTCACCGAAGAAGATATACAGATGGCAAACGAGCACATAAAAATGTTTTCAACATCCTTAGCACTAGGGAAATACAAATTACGACCAAGATGAGATATCACTATACATCTATCAGAATGACTAAAATAAAAATAGTGGCAACAACCAAATGCTGATGAGGCTGTATACATGTAGGTGGGAATGTGAAATGTAGCTGTTCTGGAAAACAGTTGGCAGTTTCTTAAAAAGCTAAATGTGCAAGTACCATACCACCCGGCAGCTGCACTCCTGGACATTTATCTTGGCTAAACGAAAATTTATATTAACACTAAAACCAGTATGCAAATGTTTATGGTAGCTTTATTTGTAAAAGTCAAAAGCTGAAAATGACTCAAATGTCTTTCAGCAGGTGAATGTTCAAACTGGTAAATTCATACCACAGAATGCTAGTGAGCGAGAAATAAGAATGAACTACTGATGCTGAACAACCTAGATGAATCTCTAGAGAATTACACTGAGTGCAAAAAGCCAATCCTAATAGGTTACATAATGTATGATTCCATTTTCATAACATTCTCGAAATGATGAAATCATAAAAGTGAAAAACAGATTACTAGTTGCCAGAGGTTGAGGCAGGAACAGTAGGCAAGTGGGTGTGGCTGTAAAAGGGCCAAAAGGAATCCTTGTGGTGATGGAAATGTTTTGCATCTTGACTTTATCAATATCAATATCAATATCCGGATTGTGATTTTGTGCTATAGTTTTGCAAGATGTTACCATTGGGGGCAAGCAGGTAAAGGGGACATGGGACCTCTCCATATTATTTCTTATAACTGCATGTGAATCTACGACTACCTAAAAATTAAACATTTAATTTAAAAAAAGACCAAAGTCATTAAAATTGGAGGGATAGGGAGCTGAAAGGGAAGAGCAAGAGAGTATGGAGAAAAATAATGGAGAGTCAAGTTGATACAGGAGATACAAAGAAATTGCTTAGGTAGTTAGGGCAAAAGAGTCCTCGGCAGAACTTCTCTTCTAACAAAAAGCAGCCCTAGAAATTATTCCTTTTCTAACAAAGAGCAGCCTGCAAGATGGAGCTGCAGACATAGATAAGGAAGCTGGAAACTTGCATGGGGGAAGGCTGGCAGCTGCACCGATAGAAAAGGTCTACCTGGGGGTGAGGCATGTCCACCATGAGGCTCCACCTTCCCTTTTTTGTTAGCATGTGTACAGTAAGAAAGAAATGGGCAACATGGAGAAGTTCAGGCAGAGAACCCACCTGCATAATAACAGATTGGGGTGAGGGTTGCCAGAGATTCACACCCTATGCAGTTGGCACACCTGGTCCTATCTGGGTTTTTCATGCCTTATGTAGATCAGACACCATCTCCCCACTAGCTCATCTGTAAAACCCCCTGCATTTCACCGAATTTCGGCAACCCATTTTTCCAGGACCCCTCTCTGTAGCAGAGAGATATTTTCTTTCTTTCGCCTATTAAATTTCCACTCTTAACCTCTCTGTGTGTCCAGGTCCTTGATCTCTGTGGCTGTGAGACGATGAATCTAGGGTGTCACCCCAGACAACGAGGCTGCTTCAAAATCCCAAAGTCCAAAGGAGGACTGCTTCATAAGGGAAGGATTGTTTATAGGTTGGTATACTGTGCAAAATTAAGTATAGGACCAAAAACAGCCAAGACATTTGAAAGTTGGAAAGTTGATGGTAATGGTTTCCTGGGATTGGAAGGCAGACCTCCTCCGCTGATGAGCAAATAATGAGGTAAACATTGTTCTTTCAACAGGTTTGGTGCTGAGTGGAAGGAAAGAGTCTGAGGATAATGCATAAGGTCATGTGTTCCATTTTTGTTGTCCAAAGATAGAGGTTTAGACATTCTGTAATTTGAAGAGAGGCACGTAAGGAGGAGAGAGATGAAAGACACAAACATAGAGCAAAATGGAATGGGTAGAGGGTTCAAAAGCTCAGATGGAATATTAAGTAGACTTGGAAATGAGAGACCATTCCTCCGAGTAGGAAGACAGGGGTTGAATATGCCAAGAGCTAGCAAATTAGGAGGTTAGGAAAAAGGTGGCTGAGGGAATATGCTGGCTGTCTCCCTTTCACAGCGCAGCAGCCACCCCTCCCCTCCCCCACCTCTAGCAAGTAGCCACTTTTTCAACAGCTTAGGCGGCTCCTTTTTCCAGGAAACTTCCCTTCAGTTCACCGGCCGTGCCTCTCTCTATCCTTTTCCTCGGAGCAGGCTGTGCTATGATCAAGGCATTGTGACCCCTGTGACCCACACGTACACATCCAGAAGGTCTCCTGGAGCCAGAAAGTCTGGGACAACAGGAAAACCACAAAAGAAGAAAAACAGCTCCTGTCTTAGCTGATTAGCCAACCTTGCGACCTTCTACCATTGTAACATGCTCTACCCTAACTGATCAATCAACTTCGTGACACTGTGCTCTGTGACCCCTCCCACCTTGTGATAATGTACCTTGTGACATTCTTCCCTTGCCCGCAATAAACGGGCCCTTATTGTATCTTTCCACTGCTTACTCCTAACCTATAAAACTAGCTGCAATCCCACCACCCTCCGGTGGTGGGACTCCCTTTTCGGACTCAGCCCGCTCGGACCAGAGTGAATAAACAGCTTGTTGCTCACACTTAGCCTGTTCAGGTTGTCTCTTCAGTTAGACGCGCGCATAACACTAACAATTCACTTAATAAATATTTATTGAGGGAACAGAGGTCGCAAATAAAATGTAATTAGTATTGCTCAAGATTAAACTTCTTTCAGCACGTTTGCCTTTTCTTCTTTTATCTAGTGAGATGTTGAAACCCATACCTAGAGTTCTGCTACAGAAATAAACGTATCCCACAGTGTTCTTGCGATTTCCTTTATGAATTTGAGAAAAATATGACCCCATTTTAGGTTCTAAGGAGTGTTTCTGTATTGTAGAAGGAAAATTCCATATTTGTATTGCCGTGGGCACAAAAAACCGAGCGCTCTCATGCCGAAACCCGGGATCGAACCAGGGACCTTTAGATCTTCAGTCTAACGCTCTCCCAACTGAGCTATTTCGGCTCCGCCCACGCCACTTAAAAATAAGGCTTAATGAATTTATTACTTATGTTTTTTATTTACTATTAGGTATTTATTAAAAAAAAAACCCACAATGACAGGTACTCCGAAGGAACCAAAGACAAATTAAAAAATTATTTCGTTCTTCAAATGGCTCACCACTTTATGCAAAGAAAAGCAAGAAGACAATTACAAATTGATGCTACAATTTATTCTCGGTTGAATGCACACATCGAAACAGAGCACGTTCCATCATCCAGTTACGAACTTCCCAAATTACTCTTATGGCATTGCCACGCCCTCTGCCGTCCAGATTTTATTGGTTGGTGCAAAACAGGAGGTCAGTGAATACGAGAGCATGACCGTGCACTAACTCGTCGGAAAAGTAGAAGTCAACTGTGTGCGTATGTGTTGAGTTCTCGCTTCATAAATATGTTTTAATAAACCTACTTCAGCTTCCCTGGTGGTCTAGTGGTTAGGATTCGGCGCTCTCACCGCCGCGGCCCGGGTTCGATTCCCGGTCAGGGAATGAGGTTTTTCTGTTTTAACCTCCAAATTCTTTCATCCAGGAACGAAATCTCTGAGTAAACAGCAAATTGTGGATAAGTTAACTTTCAATTTTCATAGGAGGCATTTTCTGCATAGAAACCCTGTTCCTGTTTTAGTATTCCAGGTACAAAATGACAAGCAATGTAATTTTCAATTATTTTAAAACATTTATTAATGAATACTTAATCTAGCGTAGACCGAGTGTCCGGCATTGTTCTAAGTAAGCGCTTTAACATTTTTAACTCAATTGGGTGATTCAGTAAGCGGGAAATTCCGGAGACAATCCATTAGGAGTTAGTTGAGATTAGCATAACCTTTTGAAAAGACAGTTATGAAGATGACAGAGAAGAAATGGCGAAGTCATTTCTGGGAGATTTGATCGCTGTGTTCAAGCTTCTGAAGCTGCTAGAGCCTCGGTGGTTTAGACACCTACTCTATCTTCCTCGGATTTCTCTGTAAGTTTCACGCTGCTCCAACTGGGCGCTAGGGGATAGCCCTAGAAATACCTACACAGTAATTTAATATTCTGGGCCAAAGCAGTTTCAGGACTGCTTCATCTCTCCAGCGCTTCAACCTTTTTTCCCCTATGAAGGTACAAATTATGTTTTTTTCCTAAGAGAGGATAGGAGAAGGTCATAAACATGAAATTAAAACCTGCTGTCACAAAACTGAGAAACAGGCAAACAATGAATTCAGCACCATCTCTGAATGCACATTTGGTAAATTTACCGAGAGCTACTGGAGAAAAAGCAGACTTTTTGTTTCTCTCCTGACAAGGTTTGGTGACCCTGTGCTAACTGGTTCCTGTCTGACAATATCGGGGCATGAATCTTTGTTTCTTGGTCTGTCTAAAGAGCAGCTATTGCTTATTATTTCTTTCTTATATCTGCTAAGAGTTTGGGGCACGTATGACTTCTCTACAAGTTTCCAAACAAAGATCGTGGTGCTCCTGATCTTATTTCACCAACAAATGGAATATGTGATTTTTTGTTTGTTTTTTGAAATGGAGTCTCTCTTTGTCGCCCAGGCTGGAGTGCAGTGGCCCGATCTCAGCTCACTGCAACCTCCGTTTCCCGGGTTCAAACAATTCTCCTGTCTCGGCCTCCCGAGTAGCTGGGATTAAAGGCACGTGCCACCACTCCAGGTTAATTTTTGTATTTTTAGTAGAGACGCGGTTTCACCATGTTGGCCAGGCTGGTCTCGAACTCCTGATCTCAAGAGACCCACCCGCCTCAGCCTCCCGAAGTGCTGGGATTACAGGCGTGAGCCACCGCTTCCAGCCAGGATGTGATGTTGTTATGATCCAGTTAAATGAAGCAGGACTTTTTCTAATTAATTGCACTTTCTCTTCTCTTCCCTGGCTCCATATATTCACAGTTTCCAAAACTTCCTTGAGATGGGACACTCTTTTGTCATCTTGTCAGTTCTGTCCTTGAATTAATAAACTTTGACACATACATAAGATCAATTTGACTAAGAAATCTTATTTTGACATAGACATAAAAGTAATATGGTTTGTAAAATTCCTGTATATACGGAAGCCTTTTAATCTAATGTTTCATAGGAATTCAACCCTCTAGGCCTGCTGGTGATCAGTTCTTGAAAAGCACCCTCTTTTCGTGATATCACACGTTGTCTCCTCTATGTGCAGCAAGAATCTCTTGCTTCATTAGTTTTTATGCCTCTGCTTTCAGAAAACAGTCTGGTTGGGACCCCTGTGAAAGGAACTGTCTGGCTTAACTTATCTTGATTAATGCCTCTTTTTTTCTTTTCTTTTCTTTTCTTTCATTTTCCACATAAAGCTAATTGGATTAGAGAAAAAGAACTCTTCTTCGAATGCTACCAGTTTCTTTCCTTCTCATCTGAGCTATTATTCATTGTCCATAGGAAAAAAAATTCCCTAATTTTGGCACGGTAGGTTCTGTTTATTCACCAGACTTGCTACCGTTTACTCGTCAGCTCAGAGAGAACGTCGAAAAAATATAACAAAACCAAAATATGCATCAAGACAAGAGGAGGAAAGAGAATGTGAAAGACTACTAAAAAAAAAAAAAAAAAAAAAAAAAGTCAACAGCTAGGGTCAAGGAATCAATCTGCAAATATTCAGAGCCAGTAGGCTTGTACTACACTAGTCACTATGGAAAATGAAAAATGACCAAGACAGAAATCTCACCTCTTAACACCCCCCAAATCCCAATTTTCTCAACTGTAAAATGGGAATAAAAGTATTACAGTATTTACTATATAAAGTTGCGATGAGTCAATAACATAATACACAAAAGCAGTCAGCCAATTATCCAAATCCGTGTTATTAATATTATCATCATCATCATTCTTCTCACCGTACTTGGGGAATGAAGGAGACAGATACTGTGAGTAAGTTTTCCTTTTTTTTTTTTTTTTTTTTTTTTTTAGACAGAGTCTCGCTCTGTCGCCCAGGCTGGAGTGGAGTGGCGCCATCTCGGCTCACTGCAAGCTCTGCATCCTGGGTTCACGCCATTCTCCTGTTTCAGCCTCCAGGTAGCTGGGCCTACCGGCGCCCGCCACCACGCCCGGCTAATTTTTTGTATTTTTAGTAGAGACGGGGTTTCACCGTGTTAGCCAGGATGGTCTCGATCTCCTGACCTGGTGATCCGCCCGCCTCGGCCTCCCAAAGTGCTGAGATTACAGGCGTGAGCTACCGCGCCCCGCCAAGTGAGTAAATTTTCTATTGGGCACAGAGTTACCTGCTAAAATGAAGTGTGGAAAAATACAATGGGGTGTGTGTATGTGAGAGAGAGAGGGAGATTTGGAGGTGGGGTGGGGAAGACCCTATTTGAAGTGGGCTTTGAAGAATGAACAAGATTTTTATTAGGGAACAAAATGGAAACCAGCATTCCAGGACAAGCGTCTCAGGAGAAGCAAAAGCGCAGAGTTGTGAAAGCTCTTAGATTTTCAGAACTTTGAATTCTGAACTATATATAAACCTGGAAAATCTCGGTTAACTATGGGATGGCATCAAGATTTCAATTTCAAGCTTTCTGGTCATGCACAGTAAAGCTGGAATTAGAGTCTCTTACGTATGGCAGTTGTTGACAAGTCCGTACAGGTACCTAAGTGCTTCCCAGAAAATTCCTCAAGTTGGTAGGTCCTGGGGGAATCAGTTTAGTTCTAAAGAGAGGACTCATCAGAGATCTGTTCAACTTCCAGGAATCTGTGAGGATAGCTCCAAATCTCACTCTCATGCCCAGCCTATCAAACAAAGCAAACCGGTTGGACTGAAGCTGTGGGATCGGGACTGAAATAGAACCAGCGAGAAAGGCAGTCCTCCTCGATTCCTAGAGAGAACACATTCAGCCAGCAGTTGGATAGAGGATACTAGCAAGTCCCTCGCCAGGGCGGGGGAGCAGAGACACATTCCTGTCCCGTTTACATTCTTCCTCTGGCGGAGGCGGGAGGGTCGCTTGAAGCCTCGGATTTCGAGATCAGCCAGGACAAAAAAGCGAGACCCCCGTTTCTACCAAAAAGGGGGGGGGGTGGGCGGGGGGAAGAGAGAGAGAGAGAGAAAGGAAAAGAAAGAGAAAGAAAAGAAAGAAAAACTAGGCGCGGTCACGTGTACGTGTAGTTCCAGCTGCTCGGAGGTTGAGGCGGGAGGATCTCTTGAGCCCAGAAGTTCGAGGCCGCAATGAGCTCTGATCGTGGCAGAGCGAGGCCCTGGCTCAAATACATACATACTTTGTTCTGACTTTGTGTGCCCTTACTCTTTCCTCAGGTGCACGCTTGGGCTCGTTACTGCTCAGAATTTTAGAATCACAGATCCAGCAGTGATCAGGCAGCTGCAGCTGTCAGGGACCACCACCACCTACGCGATTGATCCGTGGGAGAAGCCGTCCTACTCTTTTCTTTCTCCTTTGTCCTTCTCATTCCTGACCCCTTCAGGATTCTCAGTCTTCCCTCCGGGAGGTAGGGATTCTACGGAGAGAGAAGGGTTGTGGGGCTTGTTCTGTTGCGGGTTCAAACCCAAATTGTCTTTTTCTTTTCAGACTTTTGGCCAGTCTTGTCTCGCTCCAACCTCCTACCCCCACCCCATTCCTCAGTGCATTCGTGAATTTCTCCAAGCAGGCCTTTCCAGATCGACACTAAGTTCCAATCCCGAGCTGTGTGACCCAGCACCAATTCAGTCACGATGATGACTTGCAATTGCTTAATCAGTTGGCCTTTCCTCCTAGCTGTGAAGGTGAGGACCGCCGGTGTCAGCGTTCGTCCTGAATACTCAGTGCCCAGGCACAGAGTAGGCATTCAGTCAATACTTGTTGAACGGGTTAATGGATTCCTGATGTTCACTGGTTGATATCGTCACTTTCAAATAATTTCTCCCATTTTTCTGTTTTGTTTTCACCCTCCTAGTTTACCGTGCAGGATTGCAAACACCAGAGAGAAAATCAGTCTCTGGAATGATGCCTTTGATGGACCAAGATGCAGCTGATGAAGCATTGAACCAATTAGCACCTAGCAGGAGGGCACCCTTGCTCTGTGTCCTTGAAGGTTAAAGCTGTCAAAAAGTGGTCTCCCTCAAGTTCGGCCATCTTGCTCTCAGAGATCTAGAACTGGTAGGAGAATATAGCCTTGATAGTGGAGAGGAAACTATTGCTGTTGTGAGGGACTGAGAGAACCAGGCAGAGAGCCCAGATTGACACAGCAGGTGACAAAAGAGGCGCGCCTACCTTGGGGAATACGGAGGAACAGAGGAAAGTGAGACCAGGAGAAAGAGCAGGGGGGCGGGTGTGCAGGCCGGGCGCCGTGGCTCACGCCTGTAATCCCAGCACTTTGGGAGGCCAAGGCAGGCGGATCACAAGGTCAGGAGTTCGAGACCAGCCTGGCCAATATGGTGAAACCCTGTCTCTACTAAAAATACAAAAATTAGCTGGGCGTGGTGGCGAATGCCTGTAGTCCCAGCTACTCGGAAGGCTGAGGCAGGAGAATCGCTTGAACCCGGAACCCGGGAGGCAGAGGTTGCAGTGAGCCGAGATGGCGCCATTGCACTCTAGCCTGGGCGACGGACTGAGACTTCGTCTCAAAAAAGGGAGTGACTGTGTTGCTTTTGCTTTCTTGGAAATCTTTTTTCTTAGTAATTTTCCTAAAGTAATTTCCTTAGGAAATAATGTATTGCTAAGAGTATTGCAACTTTTAGTATTGACGAGGTACTTTTACTGAATCAGTATAAGTCAACAAGCAACCACCAGAAGCTGGAAAAGGCCAGGATAGGATTTTACTCTAAAGTTTCTAGAGGGAGCTGGACGCAGCCCACACCTTGATTTTGGCCCACATACTGATTGTGGATTTCTGGCCTTCAGAAATACATATCTGTTGTAAGAGAATACATATCTGTTGTTTTTAGACAGTTTCTGATAATTTGTTACAGTAACCACAGGAAATTAACACCAGGCACTATGCAGTAAATTCCGTATGAACAACTCAAATATAAGAATTTGTAAGACAGCCGGGCGCGGTGGCTCACGCCTGTAATCCCAGCACTTTGGGAGGCGCGGTGGCTCACGCCTGTAATCCCAGCACTTTGGGAGGCGCGGTGGCTCACGCCTGTAATCCCAGCACTTTGGGAGGCCGAGGCGGGCGGATCACCTGAGGTCGGGAGTTCCAGACCAGCCTGACCAACATGGAGAAACCCCCATCTCTACTAAAAATACAAAATTAGCCGGGCTTGGTAGCGCATGCCTGTGATCCCAGCTACTCGGGAGGCTGAGGCGGGAGAATTGCTTGAACCTGGGAGGCGGAGGTTGCGGTGAGTCGAGATCGCGATATTGGACTCTAGCCAACTCCATCTCCAAAAAAAAAAAAAAAAAAGAATTCTAAGACAGCATAGTTTCCACTGGCATATTGGATAAAAACTTCCGTCAGCAGTGATTTTAATGAAGATGAATGACAAAACAATAAGAAACTCCAGCGCTAGTTAACTTTCTTTATTATGATCTTATTTGTCATAATTTTTTGCACAATGCGTTTTTATTTTAGGACTCAGTCAAAATTTTGGGCCAAGGAGACCGACGCGCTGTCGCCTGCACTAAGAGAAACGCAACGAACAACTTTGTCAATGCATTGCATTATACTATAGCAGCAACTATACTTTTAAATGATTCGAATCTTGAGGTTTCAAACTGAACCGTCTTGTGCCTTTTGCCCGGCGGGCATTTCTGCGGGGACCGCGGGTCACCTTCTGAATTTTTACCTTCATAAACAGCAAGGACTGCGCTCTTTCGCACGGCGCCCCGTTTTTTCGTAGAGTTCCGTCGGCCAAAACCACTTGAAACTCGCTCAGCGGCGTCGGGGCTCCAGCCAGGCGTCACCTTCCACAGCGAACCTGCGAACCACAGCGTCCCCTGGGGGTCTCCGTCCGCGTGGCCGCTTCCTCTTACATCGGTGACGCAAGGGAAGGGCGTCTAGGATCCGCCGGTTTCCTTCCTCACTGCTCCCATCAGTGCGAAAGCAACGTGTTGGGGGTTCGGGGTGTGTGGCGGCTGAACAGCTGCCTGAAGTTCTCTGATGGCGCTGGAGGGAGCTCCAGAGAAGAGGTCATGGGGAGAAGGCACACCTTAAACGCCCCGGGGTGGGGGGGGGGGGCGACATTCCCTAATGGGAAAAAAGACACACCTTAAACGCAGTAGAGGGCGACATTCTCTACTAGGGAAAATGCGGAAGAACACAGTTGTAATCAACGGTAGCGTGGCCGAGCGGTCTAAGGCGCTGGATTAAGGCTCCAGTCTCTTCGGGGGCGTGGGTTCAAATCCCACCGCTGCCAAGTACTTTTCATTCTCACTAGGGACTGTTTTTAGGAGAATCCCTTTCCAAATGTTCAGTATGAATGGTTCTTACGTATCAATCCCATTCTCCTCTTCGACTTCTGTTTACCACGGAGCCAGAGATAACCGTCCCCAGAACAATGTTCCCCCATTATTTAGAGGACAGTGTACTCCAGGCGCCTCAGATACAGCAATGAGTGACACAAGCAAAAAAACCCTTAATGGCACATACTTAGTGAGGTGGCACGATCTCGGCTCACTGTAACCTCCGCCTCCCCGGTTCAAGCCATTCTCCTGCCTCAGTCTCCCGAGTGGCTGGGATTACAGGTGCGCGCCACCACGCCCTGGCTAATTTTTGTATTTTTAGTAGAGACGGGGTTTCGCCATGTTGGTCAGGCTGGTCTCGAACTCCTGGCCTCAAGTGATCCTCCCTCCTCGGCCTCCCACAGTGCTGGGATTACAGGCGTGGGCCACCGCACGCAGCCTGAAGGATTAATTTATGTTTGGAATCAGCTGCTGTTCTTCCTCCAGCCTCTCTGTAGTGTGCTCACTTCACACTTGGAACCATAGTTATATGGTATAGAGAAGAGACAACTCTAGGGAAAGTGCCAGTGCCTTGCCTTACCTTACAACTGCCAGACACACCCAGTCAGGTACCTTCTCTGTGGGCTTCTCAGTACCCCGTATCTCTGTGGTTGCCGGGGGAGCCCTATCTCTCCTCGGAGCAGTTCTCTCTGCATACTTCTGGTCTGTCTCTCATTCTCTAGACCTCAGCTTGGAAGTTGTTTCTCCTTGGAAGCCTTCCCTCATCTCCTTCTCTTCCTCTTTCCAGCTTCATAAAGTTTGGGAGGGTATGGAGAGGATAAGGAAGGGAACAGCACAGAACGTCCTTGCCCCACGGAACTCAGAGTTTAGTGGGGTTCTCATGGGGGTTCACAAGGATTAGATAAGTTATTGCCCTAATATGGGGCAAACTCTACTAAAAAGGAGATAGCTTTCTATGTGTAGATTTTGAATGATGTTCCAGATTTAAGAGAATAAAAAGAAAATAATATGAATTGTATGTTAGAAAGAAGGACTGTCACAGAATTGTTCCCAACTGGGATTACAGGTGCAGGCCACTAGGTCCGGCTAATTTTTGTATTTTTAGTAGAGAGGGGCGTTTTGCCATGTTGGCCAGGCTGGTCTCAAACTCCTGACCTCAAGTGATCCTCCCACCTGGGACTCCCCAAGTGCTGGGATTACAGGTGTGAGCCACCACGCCTGACCACCTTTATTGATTTTTGAATGCTAATCCAACTTCTCCATGCTAGAATAATCTTAACTTGTTCAAGACATGTAATCTTTTAAAAAATGTATATTCCTGGATTCAGTTTGTTACTATCTCAAGATTTTTCTCACTACATTCATGAATGATAATAGCCTGTAATTTTCTTTTTTAAAAAATTTCCTTGTGTTGTTTGTTTTTCCTCATCGTTCCCTAATGGTTTGGTATTAAGGTTATACAGGCCTCATAAAATGAGTTTAACATTGGGATTATTTTCCCTTGCATGTTTAGTAGAATTAACTGGTGAAAACATCTGACCCTTGAGTTTTCTTTCTGGGAATATATATTATAGGTTCTATTTAAATAATTGGTATCAGACTATTCAGATCTTATATTTTTTTCCTGTACTAGTTTTAGAAACAAGAGTCTTCCTAAGGAAATATACCAGATGAACCTGGAAAATCTTTTCACCAGAAAGCAAGGAGGCTACTGAAGACTACTTTAGTCATGTTAAACAAAAAAGGCTTGTGCTGACACCTATGAAGTAGTCTTACCCAAATCAAATCTAAATATAGAATTTGATAAAGCCCTTAGATCTAACTATTAATTTTTAGGACATGCAGGGGCAGAGGAATGTGTTAAATACTACCAAAGGTGTGCAATAATTAAAATCCAAACTGTGAAACTCTGCAGCACCAGCAACCTAGTTAATCATTAAATAAATTTCAAGAAAAAAGAGATATAGGGAGAACTTATATATTAAAATACTTAAGATACATACCAACTAATCACAATGTATTGACCTTATTTGAATACTTTTTTTTTTTTTTTTCTGAGACAGTGTCTCACTCTGTCACCCAGGCTGGAGTGTGGTGGCACAATCACGGCTCACTGCAGCTTTGACCTCCCAAGCTCGTCTCCCGAGTAGCTGGGACCACAGTCATGCACCACCATGCCTGGCTAATTTTTGAATTTTTTGTAGAGACAGGGTCTTGCTATGTTGCCCAGGCTGGTCTTGAACTCCTGAGCCCAAGTGATCTTCTTGCCTTGGCCTCCCAAAGTACTGGGATTACAGGTGTGAGCCATGGTGCCTGGCTTGGTTTTTTTTAATGTTAAGAAAAAATGGCATTAGAGAAAAATTTGAACAGCGAATGAATCTTTGATGATGTTGCCAAATAGATAATTTTGTTTAGGTGTGATAACTGTACTAGTGTTAGTTTACTTATATTTTTGGTTTGTTTTTTAGAGATGGGGTCTTGCAATATTGCCCAAGCTAACCTCAAACTTTAGGGCTCAAGGAGTCCTCCCACTTCAGCCTCTTAAGTAGCTGGGACTACAGCATAGGCCGTCGTGCCCCTGGCTCTATTATTAGTTTGTTAGTTAGTTTGTTTGTTTGTTTATTTATTTATTTATTTATTTTGAGACTGAGTCTTGCTCTGTCGCCCAGGCTGGAGTGCAGTGGCGCGATCTCGGCTCACTGCAACCTCTACCTCCCGGGTTCAAGCAATTCTCCTGCCTCAGCCTCCCGAGTAGCTGGGATTACAGGCGCCTGCCACCACGCCTGGCTAATTTTTGTATTTTTAGTACAGGCGGGGTTTCACCATGTTGGCCAGGCTGGTCTTGAACTCCTGACCTCAGGCAATCCATCCACCTCAGCCTCCCAAAAGTGCTGGAATTACAGGTGTGAGCCACCGTGCCCGGCCCATATTGTTAGTTTTTTTAAACAGTCATTATCTCCTATAGACAATTAAATACTTATGGATGAAACACAATTTCTGTCATTTGCTTGAAAATAATCTTAAGCAGAGGGAATGGGTGGGGATACAGATGAAACAAGATTAACCCTGACGTAATAATTGTTGAAGCTGAATGATGTGTACATGGAGTTCATTTTTCTATTGCCTTAACTCTTGCATGGGTTTGAAATGTTCTATAATAAACTTTATTTTTTATTTATTTATTTTTTTGAGATGGAGTTTCGCTCTTATTGCCCAGGCTGGAGTGCAATGGCACAATCTCGGCTCACCACAACCTCTGCCTCCCGGGTTCAAGCGATTCTCCTGCCTCAGACTCTGAGTAGCTGGGATTACGGGCAAGCGCCACCATGCCTGGCTAATTTTTGCATTTTTAGTAGAGACAGGGTTTCTCCATATTGGTCAGGCTGGTCTTGAACTCCTGACCTCAGATGATCTGCCCACCTCAGCCTCCCAAAGTGCTGGGATTACAGGCAGGAGCCACTGCGCCCGGCCAATACATTTTTTTTAATAGAGGAGGACTATAAAACCTATGGGAAGCTCTGATGGCACGACTATGACTTGCTGATGTTCACTACAGGTTATCTGGCTAGGCCACTTGCTGAGAAACTCCTGATGTATCTTCAAGTCTATTCTGGTTGGATTTCTCACTGAAAACTGCGTCTTTTGTCTGGGAGGTGAAAGCCAGACCCTCATCTTTCTGGGAGATAAGGAAAGTAGGCTGGAGGCGTTGACATTCAGTATGCTCCTTTTTCAAATGGAATTCCTGTCCTCCATGTGTCTAGCCCACATATCCTTTGTTTAACCTTCTTCAGAAAATAAACCTCCAGTCTTCTTTGGGCTTGAGGACCTAGGACTCTGCTTGCTTCCTAAATAGCCTCTGACAGACTCTCCTCGTTTTAGTCTATTCATTCTCATTTCCAGGGGTACATGGTGCCACCAATTCTTGAGTCGCTTAAAGATTCTATGATGTAAAATAAATGTCTTTTTTTTTTTCTTTTCTTTTTTAGAAGGAGTCTCACTCTGTTGCCCAGACTGGAGTGCAGTGGTGCAATCTCGGCTAACTGCCACTTCCGCCTCCCACTCCCCAGTAGCTGGGACTACAGGCACGCACCACCAAGCCCAGCCAATTTTTCTATTTTTAATAAAGAGACAGGGTTTCACCATGTTGGCCAGGCTGGTCTCAAATTGCTGATCCCAAGTGATCTGCCCATCTCAGCCACCCAAAGTGCTGGGATTACACGTGTCAACCACGGTGCCCGGTCAGATTTGTCCTTTACTTGCCCCCTTCAGGCTAAAATTTAGCTTTCTCAAATTCAATGTCATTATTACTTATCCTTTTTTCAGTTTCCAAAATTTTGTAGTTGCCTCTTCTGCCATTCTTCCTGATTATGAATGGTTTTACTGTAGCATTAGTGTAGTTCTGAGGGGGAGCAATACCAAATACACGTAGTCAAGCTACAATCCTTACCAAGAAGTATCTTATCATCTTTCTTAAACTTAAATGAAATTGGCATTCTCCATTTCTTTTGTGAAGGTAAAAATAATCTCATATCAGTGTTCTGGTAAAAATTTTGTGTTTGCACGTGGAATGTAATTCGATTTAAAAAGTGAGTTTTACCTGGTGATTTTTGTATGTAAATTATAACTTAGACTAACTCTTGTTTGGTAACTCTTCAGAATTAGAACTACAGATATCTTAGGGTTTCAAGCAACATGTTTTGTCATTCAACTATGCACCTGACCTTCGAATTCCTTCAGTATTATTCTTACCAAACTTATTACCTTATGGCAGAATCTGTTCCAGTTGAGTATCTCCTAAATGTACAGATGTCCTGTAGCTTCTACTTGTGGATTGTAATTCTATTCTGGGATAGTTGCAGAACAAGATTAACCCACTGTTCATAAAGTAGTCCTTCAGAATTTTCAAGACATATCTTTTTCACCAGGTAAAAATCTAAAATTTATTCAAATACGCTCTCAAAATATTCATTTTATGTGTTTAGGAAACATCAAAAGACTTCTGGAGGTCAGACTAGTAATTTCTTTTTTTTTTTTTTTTTTTTGAGATGGAGTCTTGCTGTGTTGCCCAGGCTGGAGTGCAGTGACACGATCTTGGCTCACTGCAACCTCTGCCTCCAGGGTAGCTGGGACTACAGGCGTGCACCACCATGCCTGGCTAATTTTTGTATTTTTAGTAGAGACAGGGTTTCACCATATTGGCCATGCTGGTCTCGAACTCCTGACCTCGTGATCCTCCCTCCTCAGCCTCCCAAAGTGCTGGGATTACAGGCATGAACCCCCGTGCCTGACTCTTATCTGTGATTTCTAAACCTGTTCTCTCCCTGCCTCCCTTTTCACTTTGAATCTTAGCAATCCTGATACAATATGGAGAAGTACCATTCTAGCTTTATGTTAAAAAAATTGCTAAAAATGATTGGTGTTTATAAATTACAAACTGTTTTCTGCTGAACTGAGGTATAACTTCATGTCGGAAAGATGTGGTGCACGCATATGGGAATTGCCTAGGAAAGCCTGAGCACAGAATTTACTAGTTACGTGATCCTGGGCAAGTTTGTTAATCTTTCTGTGCCTCAAATTCCTGATCTCATAGGGATGTTGTATGGATTTAAAAAGTTTAAATGTGTAAATCCCTTAGAACAGTGCCTAGAACACAGCAAGCACTAATAAGTGTTTATTAATATTAGGAAGTGATTGATAAACTCTTGGAAGTAAATGTGCTCACTGAAAAAATAGTGAATAAGAAGGTAAAGGACAATGTCTTTGGGGAATCTCACAATTAAGGGTCAGGAAATCAGGAATAACTAATATAAGAGACAGAAGGACCAGCCTAAGAGGTAGGAAAAACAGAAAGTAACACCAGAATCGTTATACTCAGGCACTGGTCAAAATACTGACTACTGAGGTCTGAGAAACAGTCACTGGAGAGAGGGATTTCCTACTCCCATCAAGTTCATGGGTACTCCATACTTGATGTTTTCTTTTCTTATGTCCAGTAAGATTTGAGCTCACTCTAAAAGCTTTTCCACATTCCTCACATTCATAAGGTTTCTCCCCAGTATGAACTCGCTTATGTCCAATCAGAGCTGAGCCCTGACGGAAGGACGTGCCACACTCACTGCAGGTGTATGGCTTCTCACCAGTGTGGATTCTTTTGTGCTGCCTCAGGACTGAACTATGATGGAAGGCCATTCCACATACCTCACATTTGTGAGGCTTCTCTCCAGTGTGAATTCTTCGATGATTGGTCAAGTTTGACTTCCCACTGAAAGCTTTCCCACACTCTAAACATTTGTAAGGTTTCTCTCCAGTGTGGATTCTCTGATGGATGGTAAGGCAGTGCTTATCTTGGAAGGTTTTCCCACAATCCCTGCATTGATAGGGCTTCTCCCCTGTATGCTCTCGTTCATGAGCCCTGCGCTTACAGTTATGACGAAAGGCTTTCCCACACTCCTCACACCTGTAACGTTTCTCTTCAGTGTGGATCCTTCTGTGTTTGGTGAGTTCTGCCTTGATGCTGAAGTCTTTTCCACACTGGGGACACCCATAGTGTTTCTCCCGAGTATGGATTCGTTTGTGTTTGCTTAGGTCTGAGCTCCGACTGAAGGCCCTTCCACACTTGCTGCACTCATAAGGTCGTTCCCCAGTGTGGATTCTTATGTGTTTGGTGAGGTCTGAACTCCCACTGAAGGCCTTCCCGCACTCCTCACATTCATATGGCTTCTCCCCAGTGTGGATTCTGCCATGGATGGTAAGGGAATGCTTAAACTGGAAGGCCTTCCCACAGCAGTTACATTTGTAAGGCTTCTCCCCGGTGTGGATAAGCTGATGCATACAGAGACGGTTCCTGGTCTTGAAGGCCTTCCCACAGTCCCTGCACTCGTGAGGCTTCTCCCCACTGTGGGTTTTTTTATGTCGGCAAAGAGCTGATCTACTGTTGAAAGCCTTCCCACACTGGGTGCAATTAAAAGGTTTCTCCCCTGTGTGGATTATCCGGTGCATAGAAAGCTGATTTCTGGTCTTGAATGCTTTCCCACACTCATTACACACATGGGGTTTCTCACCAGAATGAATTTGCTCATGGAGAATTAGATCTGAGTGCCAACTGAAGTTTTTGCCACACCTGGCACATTCATGGAGTTTCTGTGCTATAAGAACTTTATTACATTGACTATGTTTTGAGTTTGGATTCAAGTTTTTACTAAGCACTTTCTGGTTCTTTCCTTTTTTGCAGGTCACTTCCTCAGAGCCTTCTTTCTCTTCTCTCAGTTTCTCCCTTATAGATGTTTCCCATTGATTCTCTAATTTGACATCCTGAACACAAACTTCTCTAACCTTAGGATCCCGGGAATCAACTTTTAGGAGACTGTTAAATTTCATCCAGTAGGCTTCTCCATTTTCAAAAATCTCTTGTTGTGAACTTGCCTTTTCATTCTCAGGCCACATCTTGTCAGCTGACACTTAAACAAGAAAATACAAATGTCAGAGGGAAGGAAATAAGTGAGATGGGAGGCGTGAAGCAATGTTAAGCTGTTTGAAGAGTAAATAACTTTTCCATGCTGGAAAAATTACTAACGTTGTGGCCAAAAGTCAGAACAGGCTGAAATAATGAAAAGTATTGAGATATTTTACACTCAGCACACTTTATAAAAAATCCTTAAAAACCTATTCCTCCTCTATAGTCTCCTAGTTTAGTGAGTGTAAACTCTATACACCTAGTCATCTAAGCCACAAAACAAAATAATCTTCAACTCTGTCTCCCTTGTATTTACCCAGCTAACATTTTACAAATTCTACCTGTGAAGAGAGTTACAGAGGAGGTGCTGAAATGCTGATGCAGTCCCTTTTCAAGGAACTGTCTGCTTTGCTCCCAAGGGTGGGCCCTGGAGAGCCATATTTCTGTTATGTGACTCAGCCCATCTGGTTGGGGCAGATTAGATCTGTGCAATACCTGACCCAAACCAGGTCAGATTCTCTAATCCTGGACTTTAGAATTGTGATCTGACGGCAGGTAAGGCCAGCTCTAAGAGTAGCTCAGTCTTTAGCACTTAAATTTGAGAACTAGTGGTGGTGGGATGGTATTTGGTACAGAGGAGGGAATGTTCTGCCATCTGGTCCGAGAAGAAGAGAAGGTCAATTTGCCTAGAAAGAAGAATGAAGCTGACTCACAAAGAAGCAGGGAATACAGTTGGAAACCTGATGGTTTTGAGTCTCTTCTAGGGCCTGACACATAGCTGCCCTTAGGTCCCATGACACATCCTGAATAATAAATAAATTCATGTTTTTCTGCTTAAGCTAGCTTGGGTTAATTTCTATTGCTGTCAACCAAAGACTCCAAATACATCTTATTAATATTATCTCTGAACTCTATCTCTTCCTCTTTATTTCCACTGCCAGTGCATTCTCACTAATTGCTATATCCCTCAAACATCCTTTACCCTGAATCCCTTCTAATCCATCCTCTGCACTGCTTCCAGATTATTCTCTCTGAAAATCAAGTCTAATCATGTCACTTTTTAGCTTAAAATACTTCAATGGCACTCCATAGTTAACCAGACAGGAAGAAAGTAAAGCATACGGTCAAGAGTCCTGGCTCTAGAGTGAGACTGCCTGGGTTCAAATCCTAGTATGACAGTTAATAAATCTTAATACCTGTGTGAACTTGGGAGGATGACTTCACTTCTCCTTTGCCTCAGTTGCTTTATCTAAATGAGTTAATGTATGTAAAGCACATGCCACACTGAAGTACTTTAATCAATATTAGCTGTTATTGTAAGTTCAAGTTTTGTAGTTTAAATTCCTTAAGAAAACTCCCAAAAAACAGACGTCATATCATGATCTTGCCCCTTTCTACTACTTATGAACCTCCCCAAAGCTATTCTAAGTCCCCTGCTCTACTCACACTGAACAATTCATAGTTCATATTATTTTATTCCTCAATGCTTTCTCACATGTTATTCCTTCTGCCTAGAATGACTCTCACCTGTCTCAATTTATGAGCACTGCAGTAACTGACACACAGAAGGGTAATAAATATTCTGAGATTTTTTTTTTTTTTTTGAGGTGGAGTCTCACTGTGTCCCCCGGGTTGGAGTGCAGTGGTGTGATCTCAGCTCACTGCAACCTCTGTCTCCTGGGTTCAAATGATTCTCCGGCCTCAGACCTCCCAAGCAGCTGGGATTACACCCAGCATGCACCACCACACCCAGCATGCACCACCACACCCAGCTAATTTTTGTATTTTTAGTAGAGATGGGGTTTCACCATACTGGCCAGGCTGGTCTCAAACTCCCGACCTCAGGTGATCTGCCCATCTTGGCCTCCCAAATTGCTGGGATTACAGGCATGAGCTACTGTGCCCAGCCTCTGAGCCTTTTTTGAGGGCCAAATTGCAAAAATCTATTAGATAGGTTGCAAAGAACCAATTAGATAATAACAGAATAATTGCCCAAATAGTTTGTCACTGTTTCAATTTTCTTTTCCTTAAGTTTCCTAAATGGGTTTCCTTTCTGGGCCCTTCGACTGGATGATCCACCACTGAGAATGTTCCATAACCATTATGCCACATGGAAGATCAGAGGGAACTGAAAGTTTCTCTATTACTCACCTGGGTAGGAGCAGCTTAGGGACTCCCTGTCCTGTGGATCCTGCACACAGGGGTCTACTTCTCGCTCCAGATGAGAGATTAAAGGAGGTTTAGGAAATGGAAATCCTGGTTGCAGAGAAGAAATAAGTGTGTAGAGTAACTTATAACTTAATAACTTATAACTTAGCTAAGCAGCCCTGATCCTTCTGTTTGTATATGAAAACAGGAAAGAAATGTTAATTTAGATAGAGAAAAGGGTTTTTCAGGGGTCTAGTAACATGTAAAAGAACATGTTTGGGGACTTTCTCAGAAAAGTCACACTCAGAAGGAAAGAGAAGTTCTGGGAAACAGTCATTTGGGTGTGCTCTCCTGTTTTTTTTTTTTTTAATTTTATTTTGTTTTACTTTAGGAGAATGGGAGTCTGGTATAGGAAGACTATCAGTTTCAGGCACATAGAAGGCAGTTCTTGACTAGGAGCGGAATATAGAACACCCCATAAAAAAATGAGAGGCTTGAGGAAGCAAGAACCCAGGGAAAACAGAAGGTAAATGTCTCCTTTTAACTCATTCCAAATCAGAAAACAGCAACTAGGTTAGCCAAAAAATTATCTTGCTATGTAATAGAGGCAACTCAAAACTCTTAATTTTTGGGCAAGATCCTGATGATAAAGAATAAGGACTCTTTCAATATGAGACCTTATATACATCAATAAATAAATCAATTAAATAATAAAAAAAGAAGGTAGAAAGCATTAAGTGTAGGGAAGGTCCTTACCAAGTGATACCATGTTCCCATAATTTTCCAACATCACATCCTTATAGAGATGCCTTTGAGCGTAGGTCAGACACTGCCACTCCCTGTTAGTGAAGTTCACAGCTACATCCTCAAATGTCACTGACTCCTGAAATAATATGCTCCTGCTATCCTGGAGAAAACGCCATAGTTTCCTCAGGAAACAGAGGCAGAAGAAAGGAATTTGCAAGGAGGAGGTTTATAGAAGTGAAAGGCTCTTCCCTTTTGGTGGGTATGTACAAATGAGATGAAAGGGAGCATGGGGTTTTGATAGCAAAAAATAATGAAAGAGAAAACAACCCACAAGTGGTTTATCATGCAACAAAATGTTCCTTATGAGAGGGAGAACATTGATTTAGGAGTTGCACAGCCAGAGAACGCAGTGAAAACAAGGCCATATTTTGGAGGTAGTGATGTATTTTCAAGGAGGAGGAAAGGGGCCTCAGCTCACTTGGGCCTGGCTCATTAGTGTGATATCTGCTTGCGGCAGGTTTCCTTGGCTTCCATCTTTAGTGAAGGCAGGATATGGAGCAGGTAATAGAGCTGAGGGAAGATAAGTAAGCCAAGAGTCAATATAGCACAGTATTAATGAAATCTCCTGCATTCGTCTTCTCTTCCTCAAATGTAGAAGCTTCTGCAGCTCTAACCTAGGGCTTTAGGCTACTGCCTTACAGTATCCTTCCTCTTCATTATTTTTCTAGTCTCAACTTCCAGTGTTGGGCATCAGGCCCTGGCACAGCAGCCAAGGCAGCTCTTGGAAATGCACTCTTTTCCTGTCTCACCTACTGTTTTCCTGTGGTCTTTGTCCTGGAATAAACTTTCCCCCTCCCCAAACAGATCTGGTAAAAAGGCCCAAATCACTTATTCCCTGGTTTTGAATAGACCTTCTTCCTGTATTTGAATACTGAAGTCATTTCTTCCAAAATACTTGGGGTAGAAGGAGGGTGAAAAAGAGTGTGTGCATGCACGCGTATGTGTGTGTGTGCATATGTGTTGAACAGAAGCATCCAGGGATAGGACCAAAGCTTATTTTTTCAGGTAACTTAATGGCTGGTCTACCTCCAGTTAGTTACAAATTTTTTTCCTTATTCCTCTTAGAGAAGAATCATTCTTCCCGATTTTGCACATTTTTCCTACTAATTCCCTAGTACTGAGTTATCCTCCCTATGTCAATATAGTATAGCACACAGAGCATTTTAAAATGCAAAAGAAACTTTATAAAGAGTGTCCAAGTGTTCAGGTATAATCCATATGATTGGGTGAGAAGTAGTTTCTTTTTTTTTTTTTGAGACTTAAGAGTCTCGCTCTGTCTCCCAGGCTGGAGTGCAGTGGCGTGATCTTGCCTCACTGCAAGCTCTACCTCCTGGGTTCACACCATTCTCCTGCCTCAGCCTCCCAAGTAGCTGGGACTACAGGTGCCCACCACCATGCCTGGCTAATTTTTTGTATTTTTAGTAGAGATGGGGTTTCACCATGTTAGCCAGGATGGTCTCCATCTCCTGACATCATGATCCACCCGCCTCGGCCTCCCAAAGTGCTGGGATTACAGGCATGAGCCACCACGCCCAGCTGAGAAGTAGTTCATATTACTAATTAATAGGGCCTGACTTTATTCCTTGCAGGCCAGCTCAATCTTTCTGTAGCTTCAATGTTTAAGGTGCCTTATTTTTCTTGATAGTTTATCAACACATCGCCAAGTCCAAATCTGAATAATTGCTGTCTGCTTTTAAGACACCAGCAGGGTCAAAGTAATCTATTGGTAAGATTTTATAATCACCCTTTGGATTTAGACCTCCAAGACTATCATTCCATTTTTACGAAAAACCGATTTAGAACCAAGCTGATTTCTTTTCACTGAAATTGCCCAAGAAGACTCTTCTTTAGTTTCAGCTACTTATAGCTTTTGACCAAGACCAAGGCTGCATCTCAGTCATGGTGGTTCCATACAGTTTTTCCACTGTCTCACTCTAAAAGCTCCGAGCTCCTTTATAACTGTCTCAAAAAGTCTAAACTCATCTGGATGGCACACAACTCACAGCAGACACATGTTTGTGCCTTGTTAATGTTACATAACAGTTCTTTTCCTTATAACATTAACACACTTAAAGCTCTCAATTGGATGTTTTCAACCATTATTTTATTATGAATATTTTCAAGTATATAGAAAAGTTGAAAAAATTATATAGTAAATATCCATATACCAATCACTTACATTCCACAATTTACGTTCTGCAATATTTGCTTTATCACATACTTATCCATTTATCTATTCCTCTCTCTGTTCATTAATGTATTTTATTTTTTGAATCATTTCAAAGTAAGTTGAAAGCATCAGTACACCTCACCCCTAAACAGTTTAACATGTATATCATTAACTGGAAGTTCAACATTTGTTTACCTTCTTTTTCGAGGTAAAATTTACATATAATGAAATGCACATGTCTTAAATGTACCCTTAGAGAAACTTTGACAAAAGCATACCCCTATGTAACTCATTCCCTACTGGTTTTTACCATATCTTCTTCACAACTGGGAAAGTCTGTCACTCATAGTGATTCATAAGCTTTATTTTTTAGCTTTAGCTTTAGAAATTGAAAGGTTATTCCTCTTAAGTTAAAAATGAATTTAGGAAACAGGCTACATGAAAAAACAACATAAAACTTTTTGTTAAAGCAGTATACAGATATCTTGTGGGATAAGATTAATACATTTGTATTGTATTATATGATAGGTGGCTACAGAATTTCTGACCCTGAAAATCCACCACAGCAGATTTCACGACCATTTGAGAAAAAGAAGACTGGGAGACTCGTGCATCCGAGTTTAGCAATAGCTATTATTTTTTATTTCTAAATCTATAAAAAATTTATGTTCTATATTATTAATTCTCATTTGTGATCCCTTGTACAGCAGATATCTCAGGATTCCTCCTCTAGATGTTTCAACACTATATCTAGAAACACATTTTATTTTTATTTTTTGCAGGTAGCATATACTAAAAAGCTTACTTTTGAATGTGCCTACTCCTCTGTCCAAAAGTCTATGCCTTTCTGGGTTTGATTTTATGACTCCTGAATTGCTATATACTATCTCCTAGGTTGCACCTCCAACAGCAATTTTTTTTTTTTTTTTTTTAGACAGAGTCTCACTCTGTTGCCCAGGCTGGAGTGCAGTGGCATGATCTCAGCTCACTGCAACCTCCACCTCCTGGGTTCAAGCAATTCTTCTGCCTCAGCCTCCTGAGTAACTGGGGTTACAGGTGCATTACACCACACCTGGCTAATTTTTGTATTTTTAGTAGAGATGGGGTTTCACCATATTGGCCAGGCTGGTCATGAACTCCTGACCTCTAGTGATCCACCCACTTAGGCCTCCCAAAGTGCTAGGATTACAGGCATAAGTCACCGCACCCGGCCTACCATCAGCTTTTATACAAATCTTAACCACTTTTCCTCCTCACATACGCCACCAAAGAGCACAAGGCTTCAATGGGAAAACTTTTGCTTCTTCTTTTGTCACTGCTTTATTTTATATTTTGGAGATATCTATACATCATTTAAAAGTATCAGGGCTCCAGAAAGGTCTGCAGAAGTAAAATTGTATATATTCAAATTTTACATGTTGGCAAAATTATGTTTGGGTAGGAATTACTGAATTATACCACAAGTTTTATAAGTGTAAAATATGTGCAAATATGTACGCTATTTACCATATATCTCAGGTTATACAAACAGTAAATGCCTGACTGCATTGATTCTTTCTGATAAATTGCTTTGTAGAATCTTTTACACACTGATTTTTTTCAAAATTTAAGATACTGACAGAAACTGAATATTTAGTTCCTCTAGATATTGATCCAAGCCTCGTATAGAAACAAAATAAGACTTTCTATAAATGCTCATTAATGAACAGATTTTTGGGCCCCAGTGTGGCATTTTCCACCCACTCTGTGTCCTTACTACATTCTCAGCTGCCGTGACTCCTGCCACAATCTCCTGTGTATCTCACCGCTTTCCTGAGGGAGCTGGGTATCCTGGCGGGTCCAAAGCAGCTGGCTTGGTGGTCCTGAACTCTCATCCAACAGCACAACCTATTGCAAGACACAGAATGAATTCAGGAAAGTTATGAAGGTGAGAAAAATACATAGGAAGATGCAAGCAACCATACAGGTCTATCCACAGAAACTGTCTCCCAGAAATACCAAAAGAAGGGAGAAAATAATGGACTCAGTTCCTAATACCTTATGAAAACTAGAAATGGCATCTACAACTACAAAGCTTTAATGATCACCAGGTCAAGCAGCAAAAACAGTATCTAGGAGGAGACACCTCCAACAGTATCTAGAGTCAGACACACCTCCACTCACACTGCTTTCCTTCTTTCTTGGACTCACTTCTCCTTCTTCCTCCTTGTGATGTATCACAGACCCTCCTCTTCTTACCTCCTGCATCTTTTTACTCAGGTTTCTTTAACAGTCTTCCACTGCTGTCCTGGTTTCTTCCTACTGGTCAGATCCAGTTCTCAAACAAGCTGTGAAGTGGCTCCAGTTGATGCCAGCCTCCTTTGGAGAACACATGTTTTGGTGGTGCCAGCCAAAGGGCCCTTCTTGACCCACAGTGCCGCTACTGTTTGGCTTAATGTGTCAAACACTGCCCTGGATTTGGGGTTCATTAGCAACACTAAACCGCTGTGATCTCACATCTTGTTTCCCTGCATATTTGGTGAAGGGAAAAGAGGAATGTGACCACAGGAAAAAATAGGGAGTCACTGAGAACCTGAGGCACGAAGTCAAACTGAAAATGTGAACATATCCAGAATACAATCTCAACGGCTACCACCCTTGTCTGAGCCACCATCACCTGCTATCTCCCCTCCTTTCCATTACTGCGGTAGTCTTCTAACTGGTCTCCTTTCTTCAATCCTTGCCTTCCTCCTTTCTTTTTTTTTTTTTTTTTTTTTTTTTTTGAGACGGAGTCTCGCTCTGTGGCCCAGGCGGGAGTGCAGTGGCGCAATCTCGGCTCACTGCAAGCTCCACCTCCTTTCTTAATAGGGCAGTCTGAGTAGTCCGTTTACAACTTGAGTTGGATCATTTCATCGCTCTGCTGAAAACTCTCCAGTGGTTCATACTTAAAATAAAACCTGAAGTCCTTACCGAGGTATACAAGGCCCTACTGAATGTGCCCGTGACTTCTAACTTCCTCTCCTGCTCACCCAAAATAAGAGCTGAAGTCTTAAGAGTGGCATACAAGTCTACAGGATGTGTCATTCTCAACACCTTCTACTCTTCTCCCACTCCCTCAATCTTCAGCCATACCGACCTTCCTTCTCTTTCATCTTAGGGCCTTTCCATTGGCTGCTCCCTTCACCTTAAGCGATCTCCATGGCTAATAATCTTGCCTCCTTCAAGTGTTTTCTTATAGGTCATCTTCCCAAGGAGGTCTACTCTGAGTGCCTTATTTAAAATTGCAGCCTATCCCCTCCTTCCAATCCTGATGGGCCTTACCTTGCTTTACATGAATTCTTCTTTTCCTCTATAGCACTTTATAATTTTCCAGTATGGTGCATAAGTTACTTATTAATATATACATTGTTTACGGTGGTTCTACCTTCGCTAAAATCTAGGCTCTTAGGCTCCATGAGGGCAGGAATTTTTGTCGTCTTGTTCACAGTTGTATTCTCAACGCCTAAAACAGCGCTTGCAATAGTATGTGCTGGATTAAAAATTAGCTGACTGAATGAATATATGAATGGATGCTGTAGAGAAGAATAAAAAGAATGGGTCAGGAGGCGACAAGAGCAAGACTCCGGTCTCAAAAAAAAAAAAAAAAAATGGGTCACGAGCCCCTGGGAGGAGGTAGGGCAAATGGGCGGGAAATGCTCATTTTGGGGAATGGCTTCGAGGGAGGAAACCGCAGCCGACTCCCTCCTCAAATCTGGCCCCAAAGACCCGCCCCTGCCTGCAACCCCAGGGGCCCGGGTATTTAGGTGAGGGGGGCGACGGCGGCACCGGACTCCTCTCCTCTCAGCTGCAAATTCCGACCCACGACGGCCCAAGGCACAGACCTTCCCGCCGGTACTCTCCCCAAGAAATGAGAAACAGAAATATACAGAAGCTCCACTTCCTAGTCCGCCAATTATCATTTCCGGTGATTTTCTAGGAAAGGCGTCAACTCTCTGGTCTAGGCGTTCCCTTAAACTCTCCGCCCTCCTCCTCGCGGCTCAGCCTTCTAGGAGTTTGCGTGCGTTTATGGCCTGTGCAAAGGGGTTGCAGAAATATTACCCTTTTGCTCCTTTTTTCCCATGTAGAGGAACCTCTAGATAGGAATGGACAGAAGTTTTGTGACAAATATATGAAAAAGTTACTTTTAAATATTAACTAAGAACACAAATAATTGAATGTCTTTTTCAAAAGTAAAGACTATTTTAAGCCTATGCAGAAGTCGAAAGAAGAGTATAATTAACCCATATATACCCATCATTTACATTTAAAAATACATAAAATTCTGCCACACTTGTTTCATCCATCTCCATTTTTTCTTGCTGAAACGTTTTAAAGCAAACCCCAAATATCTTACTTTCAACTTCATTATGCATTTATTTTAAAAAGGATATTTTCCTACAGAATCACAATACCATTATCCCATTTAACAAAATAATTCCTGGTTATCATCTAATACCAAGTCCATATTATATTTCCCTAAATATATACATATGCTTCTTACATTTGTTTTCTATTTCATTCAAGATCTAAAGTTCCAGTATTTAATTTGGGCATGTGTCTTAATTCTTTTAAAATTCACATCTGAACTAGTTCCTCCTTCCATCCTCCTCTTCGTCTTCCCCTCATATAGTCAACTAATTGAACAAATTGGGACATTTGTCCTGAATGTTCTACATGCTGGCTTTGTCTATTTGTGTCCCCATTTTATTAGTTTCTCTAGCCTCATATTTCCTGTAAAACTTGATGTTACCTCTAAAGGTTTGATTAGAGTTAGGTTTAACTTTGTTAGTAAGAATCCTTAGGTGGTGCTATGTACTTTTTGCCACACATCAGGAAGCATATAATGTTTTTGATGCTAAGATTGACCAGTGGGTTTAATACTTGATAGCTGAATCCTTCCATGTAAACTTTCCCACTGGCTTTTAATCTGATAGATTCAGCCACCCCATTTCATTAGAGTTTGTAAAATTGTAATTTTTCTAATTCAATAATTTTTTCACATTTATTAGTTAGAACTCCTCTATAAAGAAAAACTTTCCTTCATCAATTTAGCAATTTAGGGCTATTTGGTTATCCTGAAATGTAGTTTGTACAGGAAAGAAAGACTGTTTAATTTTCAACATAATTGCCAATTTTCAGAAAAAGCAGTTGTGCCTTAGGTGCCATCAATGGTAACCACCTTACAAAATGTGATAGCCATCCTATAAAATGGCTAGCTGGGCCCTACTGTCCAGCATTCACATCCTTGTGTAGCCCCCTTCCACATTGTACCAGGGTTGGTTTGTGTGACTGAATGATCTGGTAAAAGTGATGCTATGTTTTGTTTGTTTGTTTGTTTGTTTGTTTTGTTTTTTGAGACAGAGTCTTGCTCTGTTGCCCAGGCTGGAGTGCAGTGGCGCGATCTTGGCTCACTGAAATCGCCACCTCCCGGGTTCAAGTGAGTCTCCTGCCTCGGTTTCCCAAGTAGCTGGGACTATAGGCATGCATCAGCATGCCCAGCTAATTTTTATATTTTAGTAGAGATAGAGTTTCGCCATGTTGGCTGACTGGTCTTAAACTCCTGGCCTCAAGTGATCTGCCCACCTTGGCCTCCCAAAGTGCTGGGATTACAGCCATGAGCCACCGCACCTGGCCGATGCTACATTATCTCTAATATTAGGTTATAAAATAATCTACGGCTTCTGTTTTGGTCTGTTTTTCTTTCGTAGATCACACACCCTTGGGAAAGCCAAATGCCATGTTGTAAGGAGAGGCCCAGGTGGTGAGGAACTGAAGCCTCCTGCCAGCAGACACATGAGTGAGTTTGGAAGTGGATCTTTCTACCTTAGTCAAGCTTTCAGATGACTGCAGCCCTGGTTGATGTCTTGGGTGCAACCTTATGACATACGCAGGACCACCAGCCAAGCTGCTCCCAGATTTCTGGTCTTCAGAAGCTGGGGAATGGCTTTGAGGGAGGAAACTGCAACAGATGTTTGGTTCTAAGTTTTATAACTAATGCAAAATTTTGTTTTCTCTTTTTGTGCATCTAATGTGCACTAATGTAAAATCTTTTTGTGCAACTAATGCAAAATTTTGTTTTCTCTTTTTGTGCACAACATCAAGTGTTCTGCATCAGTTGATAACTAATGCAAAATTTTGTTTTCTCTTTTTGCATATCAATATGAACACATGGATTTAAAAAAATACATTCAATGAGTCTCAATCAATTGCAGTAGTTATTCTTTTTAATGTTCAAATTATTTCATCTTTGGTCAGTGGGAGTCCCTTTATTTTATCTCCTGTGTCCTTTTCATCCAACTCTAAGCGTCTTTGCTTTTTTCCTTTATGGCAAGATAAATGTTTCAGACACATGTCATACATTTCCTGCCTCAGACCTGGAATCAGCCATTTTTCCAAGGTGTTCTGGTGCTTTCAGTGGGGGCAAGGATTGCATACCTTTGTGAATAGTCATGGTTAGCTGTTTTAAAAATGTATCAAAATGAAATAAAATTTGCTTAATTATGAGATTAAATCCTGGCTACCCCACTCACAATGTGTGTGTATCATACCTTAGACCCACCCTAGTTTGTCTATCTGCAAAATGGGTCCAGTGTAAATACCTAAATTTCAGAGCCGTTATAAGGATAAATTAGTTAATACGTGGAAATCACTTAACACATTGCCTGGCATCAAATTTCATGATGAGAATAACTGCAAACCTGGAAGATACTATAATGGTAATGAGGTATACTTTCTTCATTTTATACTTGAGAAAATTGAGGCCCAAGAGATTAAAAACTTGTTTGTACAAAAGAGGATAAAATTAGAAGAGAATCTAATGATTTCAGACTCTTGGATCTCATACCTAGACTACTTTGGATATAAATGCAGCCTTTCCAGCCCAGTCGGGTCTTCTATTTATTCAAAGACAAAGGAGGTAAGAAAATACTTGGCACAGTAGCAATAAAGTGGTATTATGGGAAGTGCAGAAACTTTATATTGAGAAGATCTTGTTCCTGATTCTGCAACTTGTTAGCTATGATACTGTGAGCAAGTTACTTAATTTCTCTGTGTCTTAATTGCTGCATCTGTAAAATAGTGAAAACAAATCCCTTATGCACAAATTCATTGTGAGAGGGTTAATATACATATATTGTATATGAAAATGCCTGGCCATATTGCTTGCTGAATAAAAATCATTATACAAAAATAATTTCTTCAATCCCCCAATTTTATAAAATTTTATTCTCATCTAATGGAAATTGGCATTTTAAGTAGAATGATCCCTAAGGATACTAAGTCTATAATTTTGTAAAGGACTTTAGTGAATACTGTGCAAAGGCACTGTGCAAGGAGCTACAGGAGAGATGCTATGCGTGGTCATCTACCTTCCAGGCTGACTGGGTACAGTCTTTCTTCCCAATATTAATCTACTTAATAGTAATAATGTCCAGTTCACATATTTTTGTGCAATACATTCATGAAAGACTGCTATACCCTTTGCTGTTATAAAGATACTTCCACAGTAGACTGTTAGCATATACTTTAATAATCTAGTTGGATTAAGAGACATTTATTTACATTATTTCCTCTAGGCTAACCACAATCGCTCATAAAACATCTCCTAAAATAATTAATACTGGAATTTTACCAGGGATCCATGTCAAATTTTTCACCCTGTTAATTCCACAGTTCACCTTCTTACTTTTTGAAAATTTGGATATTTGTCAGACTTGGGCATTTGTTGCACTACTCAAAAATGGGCTTCAGGGGTCCTGTGGCCAATCCTCCTGAACTTTAGTATGCTTTAAGCTGGGCATGAAAACTTGTAGTTACTGTTTAACTACCTTCCTTATGTAAATGTTTGTCCTATCATTCTCAACTTGAAGGTCACGACACTTGATGGAGATATGAAAGCCTGATAATGTTAAGTAATTTTATGGCCCTTCTGCCATCTGTCAAAATTACAAAATTCATTTCCTGGGGCTTTTGAAAAAAATAGCAAATATTTCAGGCATACTAAAGAGTAATATAAAGAACACTCAACATCTAGCTTAAGACATAAAAGATTATATACACAATTAAATCACCATGTCTACTCCTCACCAATTCCTTCCCCCTTCCTTCCCAGGTTAACTACTATCTTGATTTTGATGTTATTATTCCCATGCATGTTCACATATTTTTAGTACATACGTGGGTAGCCACAAATATTATATAGTATAATTTACATGTTTTACAAATTTTATACAAATAGTTTCAGTTTGTACATATCCTTTGAGCTCTAAATACTTGATTTCATTTTGGTTCAATATTTTTGGCAAGAATACATTATAGGGGTTACTATGTAATTTGTACTCAACTTTACATGTAGTTTTGAGATTTATCCTTCATGAAAAATGTGGCTCTAGCTCATCCATTTTAACTGCCATAGACAGGTCTTCCCATTTTCCTTCCAATAATCTTTTTAATTAACCTGATTGTTTTTCAGTTCAACTCAGAACTTGCTAGCAAGTATTTTTTTTGTCTTTGATATTTCATTTAAAAAATATTGGCAATCTTTTTGAAATAATTGTTTTCTTGGAATTTTCCCTTCTAAAAGGGTAATTTCCCATAATTTTTGGTAGAAAGTTTATATTCTAATATGGGAAAGAACAATCTAAAAAGTATTTACTATGGTACATAGAGGAAACTTAAATGCATATTATTAAGTGAAAGAAGCCAATTTGAAAAGGTTACATTCTGTATGATTTCAACTATATGACATTCTGGAAAAGGCAAAACTATGGAGACAGTAAAAAGATCATATATGTAGCATCTTAACCAAAGAAAAAAAAGTTCAGTGGTTGTCAGGGGTTGGAAGTGGAGAAGGATGACCAGGCCGAGCACAAAGGGTATTTTTAGGGCAGTGAAAATACTACGTATGATTATGTAATGGTGGATACATGCCACTATACATTTGTCCGGACTCCAGGTGATTGTCAATGTAGGTTCACCCCTCCGGTTGGGGATGCTGAGAGTGAGAGAGCTACACATGTGTGGAGCAAGGAGTATGGGACATCTCTGTACTTTCAGCTCAATTTTGCTGTGAACCTAAAACTGCTCTAAAAGATAAAATCTAGTAAAAAAAGTATTTATTACTTCCCCAAACTTTTAAATATATCTTTTGTGTTTAACCTTATTACTTACATAGATGGAACAATTTTCTGTTCAAGGTTCTGCTCATAATCATTATATTGAAACATAACATGATAAAAATATATTATAGAAAAATACCATATATTGGAAATATATTCTTGAAAATACAGAATACATTACTTATAACGTATGCTTGTTGGCCCTCATGATCCTAAAAGTTATAGCACATTTAAATGTATGTGACTTATGGTTCTTTTTAAAATAAAGCTACTGAGAACAGTCAAATGGTGATAGATCAGTCAAAGCTGCTTTGCGTCCATTTTGTTCAGACTCATTTCAATTCATTCTTCAACAAATATTTCTAAAAGCAACTGTACTAAGAGCTTGGAATAACATGAATGTACAAAACGGTTAAAGATCTCTGCCCCGTGGAGCTTATATTCAAGTAATTCTAATTGACTCGTGCTTTCATTTTCTTTGTTTTTCTCTTTGTATACTGAAGAGGATAAATTTCATATTCAAGCTAATCTGTTCCTCCCAAATGGTAACAGTGCAACACTGGCCAAGCTGATTCAGACAGCACAGCTTCCCGGTGTCTGCAGGGCTGGACCAAAGAGAAGAGTCTTCCGCGGGTGCTAGAAAAGCGAAGCACGCGTTACCATGGAGACTGCGGAATGGAAAAGCGTTCGGTTTCTTGTTTCCTAGCCGCGAATGGGGTCGTGGTTCCTTCGACCTCGCCTGGGGAGAAAGGGGACGGAGGGCTTCGGGCTATACTTGGGCCACACAGCCGGGAAGCTGAGGCCGCGGGGCAGGTCTGCGTGGCGGCGTCGAGTCCGAGCGGGGAAGCCCCTTTGCGGGAACTCTGGGGCGGGGCGGGGCGGGGAGGTGGGTAGGGAGGGTCCCGCCAGCAGAGGCATCTTATTTTTAACCTCTTCTCGGCTGTTTTTCTCTCGTCCATTTGCTCTCCTCCTTTAAGCCATCCTTTAATATTAAACATTAAAAAATATATTTGGCAAACATTTGAATAGAGCGCGCTTATTCTGGGTCAGGTGTCGTTTTAAATGCTTTATGTGTGCTAACTCATTTAATTCTCAAACAATCCAATGGGGTAAGTATTATCATTATCCCAATTTTTAGATAGGCCTGGAGAAGATAATAAACTTGCCAACAGTGTCACAGCTGGTAAGTTGAGGGTGGGAAACCCCGGCCTAACACATATATTTTCTTTTTATGTTCTGTAAGGATTGGGATCCTTTTCATTTTATTAGACAGAAAAGGACAGTTAGCACTGTCATTGAACCCTCAACATGGTATGATCTCTTGAGAAGATTAAGCAGCCATTTGGTGGCAGATTGATCACTTTGAACCCTTTCTATTAATACCTTGCAGTGGGCAGAGACTCATCCTTATAGGGATTTGTATGTATTCCAGGTATAATTTTGCTTCCCTGTCTCCAATGCCCCTGCTAATACTACCCAAGGACTCACAATGTCTGATGTACTGACATGGAACCTTGCCTTACATCTCAGACCAAGGGACTCACTTTACTGTGAAGGATGTGTTACAAAGGGCACATGATCATGGGATCTACTGGTCCTACCTTATTCTATATTACACAGAAATGGCAGCCTGTTTTTCCCCAGCTTTGCCAACATAATAATTAGCAAAACTTTTTAATTATATGATAATATATTTCAGGAAGAAAACACTGACAACCGTGAAATTCAAACTAGATAGTAGAGAAACTGGAATTGGGGAGACCAGTTAGAAAGCGGTTTGGAAACAAAGATACACATGAGTTTTAAAGCTGTGGGCTAATGTAGATGTTGATGTGATTATAAGTCTCTGTTAAAAGAGTTAGGGTGAGGTTTGAGGTGGTTTTAGATTATTATTTTTGCTAAAGAACCCAGAAATGACTAAGTTTATCCCTGTCAATCACTTCTGACACTCTACTCATATCATGTTCCTAAGGAAGTTGAACAAAAGGAGCGATAGCCAAATGGGACTAACTATAATAGCTAATATTTATTGAGTACTTATTAATACTGTACTAAAGATATTGTGTGCTACATTTTACTTAATATTCTATGGGGCAATAAGCAGAACTATTCAGAAATGATCCTGGGATCTCACTCTAGATTGCCCAGGAAATGTGCTAGCTACAACTGGAGTTTCCCGTTCCTCTTGGAAAGAGGGGCTGCACCTACGTATAGCTTTGCATGAGACCAGCTGCTTACACTTTCTAACACGAAGGGGCTGCAACTGTCCATAGGATGCATGGTCTCCAGGTGTTGGGCATCTGGTCCTCAGATGCTTCCTCAGCTCTGCTAGCATCTAAACCCAGACTGCCCGGCAATCAAGTAGTCTGCTTGTTGTCTTACTGAAAAGTGGTGTTCAAGTTTATCCTTGACAAGATAGAATAATTGGGTCAGGACCAGAGCCCCAACCTATTGCATGTGAAATGGCTTGTTCTTGCCCCTGGTTCACCTCTCCATGGGATTATGAGAGGATTGAGAACTCTATGCCTCTTGTGCCTGACTCTTGCTTTCTAAGTTTCCCCAGTAAATCTTATTCCCATTCCTTCGTTCATACTATGTGATGTTGTAGAATTTATTGCAAGGCCCATTGTACCACATCCTTGCAGCAAATTTATGACTCAGAAATTACTATTTCTATCTTAGAGATGAGGAATATGAGACAGAAAAAGTCACATAGCAGGTAGGTGGTAGGATTTGAAACCAAGTCATCTAGTTCCTGAGCCCATGATCTCAAAAACTTTGTTAAACTAAATGGAACTACTAATTTATAAAGAGCTAAGTGAGTGCTCAGATAATCAAATAATCACCCATGGAGAAGTTCAAATCTCTTGCAGAAGTTCAGATCTCTGTTGGAGCATGTAGCCTAGATTTAACCTCCAGTGGTGCCTTTAACTTTGTCCTAAGTCTTAGGCTTGTGTCAACTGCTGGCCAGCTACATGGAGGAAATAAGTTGAGAAAAAGCAGGAAGCAACATGGCTGGGTCTACAGAGAAGATCCAAGTTTAGCTGTCTCATGCTCTTTGGGCCCAGAGGAGAGGAAAAGCAAGACAAAGTCTTAAACTTTCCACCAGATATCAAGACCTTGTTGATGTCCTAGAACATGACCAATCAGATTAATGATGGCTCTACCTGGGAAGAGTAGCTGAGAAAGGATTAAGTTGAGGCAGGCCTGGTGTGGGCAGATGTTGTTGAATGTTTCCCACTACCCCTTCCAGCCCACTGGAAGAATGGGTTTTTTAAAAAAACATACACTCAAGATGAGCTCTATTAGTCATTTCCTCATCTCACTTATTATTCCAGTTAAACCAAGGCTGAAGGACAGAAAGATCACAAACTTATTAATCTCTGGACAAACCTAGCTCAGGGCCAGAATCAGGAGGGTGAATCTCAGGAGGCTGTAACCCAACTGATTGCAAATAGGATTTTGGAATAACAGTTTCTGAGGTGTCACAAAGAACTGTCAGCCCTTGTGTCTGTTCTCTAATAGAATTTTTACTTTCTTCTATGATCCCAAATTTCATAAACTCATACTATAACTAGGAAGTAGGCAGAAATGTCCTTTTGATGAACCAAATAATCAGAAACTTTTCTAATAATCCTCTTTGTGTATTTTTCCAGCCACAGAACTGAGTCATTCATTACCCAAAGCTAAACCCTGCCTACATGGTAACGCTTTTGTAAATGGGATTCTTTCTCTCTGACATCCCTTTTTCCTGCAGTCCCTTATACCCTCTCAATACCAGTGTGGCTCAAGGGGCCTTCAGTTCTGTCCTAATTCAGTCTCACATTCAAGCTGCACCTCCTTAGGCACCAGAATGCGAGAGAAGGTTGTTCCTTCAGGGAATATTTTCTTTTGGCAGGGCCATGTCACTGAGTCAGGCTTACTAATTATGTCCCAAGGTGGGCTCAGCCTCTGGCCCTTCAAGGAGCTTAGAGAGCTCTGGAGAGCTAAAGGACGCAATTCCACTCAGTTCCCCTAGGGACTTGTTTTGTTACGACCCTGTAGCGGTTGCCGCCAGCCTCCCGTCCCCGGACAGCGCGCCTCTTTCCTCCGCGCGGAATCTCGCCTTGCCGAGAGGTGACAGCGTGGTGCCAGGCCTCGCTCGCTCTCCGCGCCTCCTCGGCCTCGGCGCCCACTCTGGCCGCGCTCGAGGAGCCCTTCAGCTTGCCGCTGCACTGTGGGAACCCCTCTCTGGGCTGGCGAGGCCGGCTCCCTGTTTGCGGGGAGGTGTGGAGGAAGAGGCGGGAACTCTCTTGCGGGCCAGTGCGAGTTCCGGGTGGGCGCGGGTTCCGGGGGCCCCACACTCGGAGCGGCCGGCCGGCGCCACCGCTCCGGGCAGTGAGGGGTTTAGCACCCGGGCCAGCAGCTACGGAGGGGGCGCTGGGTCCCCTACCGCTGCCGGCCCACCCGCGCCGCGCTCGCGTGCTTCAGCCGCCTCCTCGCGGGGCAGGGCTTGGGACCTGCAACCTGCCATGCCCGAGAATTCGCGGTGGGCTCCTGCGCCGCCGGAGCCTCCCCGACGATTGCCGCCCCCTGCTTCACGGCTTCCCGTCCCATCCACCGCCCAAGGGCTGAGAAGTGCGGGCGCACGGCGCGCGGGACTGGCGGGCAGCTCCGCCTGCGGCCCGGGTGCAGGATCCACCAGGTGAAGCCAGCTGGACTCCTGAGTCTAGTGGCGACTTGGAGAACCTTTATGTCTAGCTAAGGGATTGTAAATATACCAATTAGCACTCTGTATCTAGCTAAACTGGTGGGGACTTGGAGAACCTTTATGTCTAGCTAAGGGATTGTAAATACAGCAATCAGCACTCTGTGTCTAGCTCAAGGTTTGTAAACAAACCAATCAGCACTCTGTGTCTAGCTAATCTGGTGGGGACTTGGAGAACCTTTATGTCTATCTAAGGGATTGTAAATACACCAGTCAGCACTCTGTGTCTAGCTCAAGGTTTGTAAATACACCAATCAGCACTCTGTGCCTAGCTCAAGGTTTGTAAATGCACCAATCAGTGCTCTGTGTCTAGCTAATCTAGTGGGGACTTCGAGAACTTTTGTGTCTAGCTCAGGGATTGTAAACACACCAATCAGCACCCTGTCAAAACGGACCAATCGGCTCTCTGTAAAATGGACCAATCAGCAGGATGTGGGTGGGGCCAGATAAGGGAATAAAAGCAGGTTACCGGAGTTGGCCATTGTAATTTGTTTTGTCCTGTTTCACATTGTGGTGGTTTTATTTTTTACTATTAGCTGCTTGGATCTGCATTTTGTTTTGTGAGGTGTAACACTGTGAGGGCCTGTAGTTTCACTCTTGAGGTCAGCGAGGCCACGAACCCACCTGGAAAAACAAACAGTTCCAGATATGCCGCCTTAAGAGCTGTAACACTCATTGTAGAGGTCTGCGGTTTCACTTCTGAAGCTAGCTAGTCGACGAACCCACCAAAAGGAACAAACTCCAAACACGTCTGACTATCAGAAGGAACAAACTCCAGACACGTTTTTTAGAACTAACACCCTGAGGGTCTGCAGCTTCATTCTAGAATCATGCCAAGAACTCACAAATTTCTGACACATTGCTTTTCCGCAGGAGGTTGCGGGAAGACGTACAAGGAAGGGTCGGGATGGTGCTTGAGGTGGTCAGAGCCACACCCAGGGCTGCATTCTCATCAGAGACACCTCTAAGTTACTGCGAAGTCGGAGACACCAGAAAGGAAGACTCCAACGTATTCCGAGAGGAGTGGAGGCAAATGGGATAGACTAGCCCTCCCGCCCGGGATCCCGCGTCTCGGGGAACGGAGACCCGGGCACACGCCACTTGCTTGCTGGGAGGTTCCTTACAAGTTACATAGAGGGGGAGCTTTTCCTGGCCAAACGTGGGTTATTCTCGTTCTCCCTTCCCCACACTGTCGCAGAGGAGGAAGACGTCTTGGTCGCCGTTAAGAGCTAAAACGAACGCCAAGGCTCTAAGTGGCCCTGGGGTCCAGGCTCGCCGGAGGCACCAGCGTGTGCAGGCCCGGAGCGCCGTCTTCTGGGCGAGGAGTGTCATTAGTAACACTTTATGTTGCGGATAGGTGAAAGAAAAACTGACGCTTCGGAGATGGGGTTGCCCAAAGAGGAAGAGAGAACAGCGATTAGGGCCTTAAACCTCACACCCGAACAAATTCGGCCGGAGTTACTGAGCGGCAGGCTCTCTGATGGAGATGGGTGCTTTCAGACTTAAGACGTGAAAACAAAGATCAGCCACTCATGAACGAACTCAAGGCTCACTGAGATGCAACTGCCATGAAGAAGTGGGTGCAGGGTGAGAGGTCTGTCTACCTCCTTAGAAGGACCACTGTGGCTTGTGCAGAGATCCGAAGTTTGTTCTCATTACAATGGGGACGGTGAGTGCTAGTAATGTGGACCATTTTTCAATAGCGCCACCTTGTGGCAGTGACAAAATGGCCGTAGTGGACTTGGGCTCAGGTGCTTTCTTGAGTGTGCAAACTGGTAAGAACTAATTTTTTGAATCAGATTTGGGGATTATTCAGGCAGAAGGGGATCCCTAAATGGAAACACTGACATTTTAATACTGCAAGTGGGGGATGATGAACAGACAAATAACAAGCAATGGGGGGCCACATTTGTGTTCAGAATTCATGGAACTTTTTTTTTTGATTTTTCTATTTCTCATTTTTTTAATGTATGTATTTTGAGGGTACATGTAATATTTTGATACATAACGTATAAAGGTCAAAGATAAGGATAATTTGTGTGTGTGTGTATATATATGTATAAACTTAAATGTCCTTTTTGCTTGGAACGTTCAAATTTTTTTCTAGTTATATCTAAATATATATCAAGCAATCTTTTAGATATTTTGAAATGTCTAACATTATTTTGAGACAGAGTCTAGCACTGTCACCCAGGCTGGAGTGCAATGGCGTGATCTCGACTCACTGCAACCGCTGCCTCCTGGGTTCAAGCGATTCTCCTGCCTCAGCCTCCCAAGTAGCTGGGATTACAGGCATACGCCATCACACCGGGCCAATTTTTATATTTTTAGTAGAGGCGGGGTTTCACCATGTTGGTCAGGCTGGTCTTGAACTCCTGACCTCGTGATCGGCCACCTCTGCCTCCCAAAGTGCTGGGATTACAGGCGTGAGCCACCGCGCCCAGCCAGAAGTGTCTAATAGATTATAGTCACCCTACTGATCTATTGAACTCTGGTTGTCTTTCTTCTACCTAATTGTATACTTATACCGTTTAACCAACCTCTCTTTATCCCACGTCTTCCCTCCTCTTTCCAGGCCCTGATAACCACCATTGTACTCCCTAGCTTCATGAGATCTTCTGTTTTAGCTCCCACATAGGAGTGAGAACATGCAGTATTCATGAATCACACTCATCATGAGCGATCTTCTTGGTTGTTGAATTGGGGTTGCTAGTTATTTTGAGAATTTTTGTATCTATGTTCATCAGGGATTTTGGCCTGTAGTTTTGTTTTTGATTTGATTTCTGACACAGATTTTGCTGTATCCTTGTCTGGTTTTCACATCAGGGCAATGCTGGCCTTGTAGAATGAGTTTAGAGGAATACCCTCCTCTTCAATTTTTTTTAAAAGAGTTTGAGTAGAATTGGTATCAGTTCTCTAAATATTTGCTAGAATTCAGCAGTGAGGCCATAATGTCCTGGGCTTTTCTTTGATGAGAGACTTTATTAAGGCTTCAATTTCATTACTCATTATTGGTTTGTTAGGGTTTCTATTCATGGTTCAATCTTAGTACGTTGTATATGTTTAATAATTTATCCATTTTTTCTATGTTTTCCAATTTGTTGGTGTATAGTTGTTCATATTCTCTGATTCTTTGTATTTTTGTGGTCTGTTATATCTCTTTTTTTTTCTTTCTGATTGATTTATTTGGGTTTCTCTTTTTTAGTCTAGGGAAAGGTTTGTTAATTTTGTCTATCTTCAAAAAATCAACTTTTCATTTCATTGATCAAATGTATTTATGTTTTAGTTTCAATTTCATTTATGTCTGTTCTGATATTTATTTCTTTCTACTAATTTTGGATTTGGTTCATCCTTGCTTTTTTGAGTTCCTTGAGATCCATTTTTAGGTTGATTATTTGAAGTCTTTTCCCTTTTTTGATGTAGGTGTTTATTGCTATAAAGTTATTGTTATGCTGTATTCTGTAGGCTTCGGTATGTTGTATATCTATTTTCACTAGTTTCATGAAATTTTTAAAATTTTCTTAGCTTATTCATTGACCCATTGGTTGTAGGAGCATGTTGATTTCCATGTGTTTGTATAGTTTCCAAGGTTCCTCTTGTTGATTTCTGGTTTTATTCCATTGTGATCAGAAAAGATACTTGATATAATTTTTACTTTTTTGAATTTGCTGAGACTTCTTTTGTGACTTAAGATATGGTCTGTTCTGGAGAATGTGCCATGTGCAAGTGAAAAGAATGTGTACTCTGTAGCAGCTGGGTGAAATGTTCTATAAATGTCAGGCCTACTTGGTCTAGTGTGTAGCTTAATTCCAATGTTTCTTTATTGATTTTCTCCCTGGATAATCTGTTACTGAAAGTGAGGTGTTGAAGTCCCTACTATTATTATATTGGAGCCTATCTCTCCCTTGAGATTTATTAATGTTTGTTTTACATATTTGGATGCTCTGGTGTTGGGTGCACAGATATTTATAATTTTTAATATCCTCTTGATGAATTGACCCCTTCATCATTATATAGTGACCTTTTGTCACTTTTTACATTCCTTGACTTGTAGTCTGTTTTATCTGATATAAGTATACCTAATCCTGTTCTCTTTGATTTCCACTTGCATGGAATATCTTTTTCCATAAATTCACTTTCAACTTATGTATGTCCCTATAGGCAAGGTGGGTTCTTGTAGCACCACATAGTTGGGTCTCGTCTCTTTACCCATTTAACTTCTATACATCTTTTAATTGGAGAATTTGGTCCATTTATATTCAGTGTTATTATTGATAAGTAAGGACTTATGACTGCCATTTTGTTGCTTGTTTTCTGGTTGTTTTGTAACGTCTTTCTTCCTTTATTCTTTTGCTACTGTATTTCTTTGTGGTTAAGTTATTTTCTCTGGTAGAATGCTTTAATTCACTGCCTTCTATTTTTAGTGTATTAATTACAGATTTTTGCATTGGGGTTACCATGAGGCTTACAAAACATATCTTATAGCTACTTTGTTTTATTATTACTTATTATTCTGATACAGGGTCTCTGTCACCCAGGCTGGAGTGCAGTGGTGAGATCTTGGCTTACTGCAGCCTCTACCTTATTGAACTCAGGCAATCCTCCTACCTCAGTCTCCTGAGTAGCTGATACCATAGACACATGCCACCATAGCCAGCTAAGTTTTGTATTTTTTGTAGAGATGAGGTTTTGCCATGTTGCCCAGAGTGGTTTTGAACTCCTGAGCTCAAGTGATTAGCTAGCCTTGGCCTCCCAAAGTGCTGGGATTACAGGCATGAGCCATGGCGCGCAGCTGATATTTTACAAAGATGACAACTTAACTTTGATCACAAAGAAAAGACTAGAAACAAACAAAAAAACTTAAATAACCCCCACAAAACCCTGCCCTTTAACTCTATACCCCTACATCTTGACTTTTTGTTGTCTCGGTTTACATATTTTTATATTGTCTATCTCTTAGCAGGTCACTGTAGCAATTATTGTTTTTGATAGGTTTGTCTTTTAGATTTCATACTACAGTTATAAATGGATTGCACACCACAATTAGAGTATTAGAGTATCCTGGGTATGTCTTGTACTTAATGTTACCAGTGGTTTTTTTCCTCAAATATTTTCTTTATGCATGTTAGCATCTTTTTCTCTTAGATTGAAGGACTTCATTTGCCATTTATTTTAAGATAGGCCTGGTGGTAGTGAATTCTCAGCTTTTGTTTGTCAAGGAAAGATTTTATGTCTTCTTCATGTTTGAAGAATAGCTTTTCTGGTACATTAATCTTGGATGGCGGTTTTATTTCTTTTAGCACTTTGAAAATGCCATCCCACATCTACCTGGCCTGTATAGTTTCCATTGAGGAGTCTGTTGCCAGAATAATTGGAGCTCTTTGTATGTTATTTACTTCTTTTCTCTTGCTGCTTTTATTTTTTATTTTATTTTATTTTTTTTGAGACTGAGTTTTACTCTTGTCACCCAGGCTGGAGTGCAATGGTGCTATCTCTGCTCACTGCAACCTCTGCCTCCCGGGTTCAAGCGATTCTCCTGCCTCAGCCTCCTGAGTAGCTAGGATTACAGGCACCCACTACCATGCCCCACTAATTACTGTATTTTTAGTGGAGACAGGGTTTCACCATGTTGGCCAGGCTGATCTCGAACTCCTGACCTCAGGTGATCCACCTGCCTTGGCCTCCCAAAGTGCTGGGATTATAGGCATGAGCCATGGTGCCCAGCCAACTTTTGTAATCCTCTTTGTCCTTGACCTTTGAGAATTTGATTATTGTATGTCTTGGGGTGGTCTTATTTGGGTTGAATCTGTTTCATGTTCTCTAATCTTGTACCTAGATACTTATATATTTCTTAAGTTTGGAAAGTTTTGAGTTATTTCTTTGGATAAGCTTTCTAATTTTTGCTCTTTCTGAATTCCCTCTTGAGCACCAATCATTCTTAGATTTGTCCTTTTGAGGTACTTTTCTATATTATTTAGGTGATCTTCATTCCTTTGTATTCGTTTCCCTTTTTTCTCCTCTAACTGTATTTTCAAATAGCCTGTCTGAGTTTACTAATTCCTTCCACTGTCTGATCCATTCTGCTGTCGAGAGTCTCTAATAAATTTTTCAGTTTGACAAGTATATTTCTCAGTTCCAAGATTTTTGTTTGATTTTAAAAAATTATTTTAATCTCTTTGTTAAATTTCTCTGATAAATTTTTGAATTGCTTTTGTGTGTTATCCTTGAGTTCACTGAGTTTCTTTAAAACTGCTATTTTGAATTCTTGGTGAGAGAGCTCACATACCACTGTCTTGCCTAGGGTAAGTCATTGGTTCCTTGCTTTGTCTGTTTGGGGAAGTCATGTATATTAGTCTGTTCTCACACTGCTATACAGAAACACATGAGACTGAGTAATTTATAAAGAAAAGAGGTTTACTTAGCTCATGGTTCTGCAGGCTGTACAGAAAGCATGACAGCATCTACTTTTTTTTCGCCCTCTTGGTCTTGCCTTCTTTCTGACATCACATGGAGTCTGCAGTCCAGGTTTTCCTTGGCCCTAGTAAATGACTGGAGCACTGCCGGACCCAAATGTAGAAGGTCTTACGGGGGATATCCCAATAGGGTGGGAAGTCTGGCTAGAATTTCGTGCTCAGGGAACCTGTGGAACATACCTCCTATGGTGTGTCGCTGCTGACCAGCTTCGCTGATTTGGCGTCTCCTTTGGCTGAGTTAAAGAAGAGTGTTTCTAGGGTTGGGGAAGGAAGTCCCACCTCCCCACTTTTTCTCTGGTTGTCTTTGGGAATATTTCTCCCTTTAAGTACTTAGGGACAGATCTCTTGCCAGGGAATCCAAGATGGTGGGGAAACTGGTTATCCACTTCAATCTCACTTTTTCCAGTGTAGAAACTGGCGGTGAGGTGGGGGAAGTTTTCCACATGCTTGGTGCTAGGCAGATTTGGGAGAGGGATGTCACGGATTTGGAAGTCTGATTCTTACAGCGTCTGCTTGAAGTTTTTTACTTCTTTGTTGCCACGGGCACTGTTCCATCTTCATATTTGAGTTCTGGGATATTGCTGGTGATAATCTCAGCACCGTGTATTTGTTGTAGGTTTTCTGTGGAGGAAAAATAAAGCCAGCTTCCTTATATGCAGCCATTTTGGAACCAAACTCTCACACATTCCATGGAACATTTCTAGCCAGCAAGGTACAATGACTAGCAAGGAAACAAACTTTTTTTTTCCTTCAGTATTTCAGTTGACTCACAAGAACATGAAATGTGACCTATCTTTTCATGTGGCCAACTTTAAATGTTAACTTAATATCTTAGATAAAAATAGTTTAAAATACACATCCATTTAAGTTAAAAAGAATAATTTAAAGTTTTATTATTCTTTGATAGTTTTTCTTTTGATGCTACACCTAGTGACTACCATATTTTAAAACAGACATGTTCTAATTGCTCTTGAATCTTCAACTCGAAAGAAACTATGGTTTTATAAATTAGTGATAACAGTGAGTGTCCTCTTTAAAAAATATCTGCCATTTCTGACAAATGACAAATAGCTGATATTATTTTTTCTTAAAAGGAACTCTATTCTTTTAACATACAGTCTCTCTTGTTTAATAAAACTGAAAGTAAAGAATAGATAGAAATAGTCCTACCTCAGTTCAGGTCAGGTTTTGTTGCCAACAGAGTTATGAAAACTTTTAGTTTTCTACCTGGGTGTGGTAGCTCTCACCAGTAATACCAGCTACTTGAGAGAACTGCTTGAGGCCAGGAGTTTGAGACCAGCTTGGGTAACATAGTGAGACCCTGTCTCAAAGAAAAAAAGGAAAGCTTTTAGTTTTCTGACCATTTTATTTTTGTTTATTTTAATTTTTTTATTTCAATAGGGTTTTGGAGGGACAGGTGGTGTTTCCTTACATGAATAAGTTCTTTAGTGGCGATTTCTGAGATTTTGGTGCACCCATCATTTGAGCAGTGTACACTGTACACAGTGTGTAGTGTTTTATCCCTCACCAGCCCCCACCCTTTTCCCCGAGTCCCCAAAGTCCAATGTATCGTTCTTATGCCTTTGCATTTCTGACCATTTTAGATTCAGAATTATGGATAAGGGATTTTCAGCCTATACTGATCATGTCTAGAAGTTCTGTTTGTTTCTTTAAAAAAAAGTTCATGTAGCAGCAGATAACTAATACAACCAGAAATAAATGAGATATTGTTTCCTCAAATTCTTTTTTTTTTTTTTTGAGATGGAGTCTTGCTCTGTTGCCCAGGCTGGAGTGTAGTGGTGCAATCTCGGCTCACTGCAACCTCTACCTCCTGGGTTCAAGCCATTCTCCTGCCTCAGCCTCCGGAGTAGCTGGGACTACAGGTGCCCACCACCACGCCCAGCTTACTTTTTCTATTTTTAGTAGAGATGGGGTTTCACCATATTGGCCAGGCTGGTCTTGAACTCCTGACCTTGTGATCTGCCCACCTCAGGCTCCCAAAGTGTTGGGATTACAGGCGTGAGCCACCATGCCCAGTCACAAATTCTTGATACTATATTATGTTATTGTTACCAGGCAAAAGGGGCTCACTGCTGGATGTGCTAGAAGCTAATACTATGACACTGGATTTCTAAGAAAAGAAAAGCTCTTTATTATAGGTTGACCAATAAGGAGACAGGAATCTAGCTCAACTGTATCTCCCTGTGCTGGCTTTAAGATAGTAATTTTATTAGAAAAGGTTTGCGGGTGGATTCTGGGATTAGCAGGTGGTTGGTGGAAGGAAAAGGGAGGTCTAGAAAGTCCTCAAATGCACAGTTATCTCCATTCCTCTTCATGGGTCCCACATGCAAATTCAAAGGGAGTTAGTATGAAACATGCAGTGGAAATCGGGCTGTGACATTAACAAGCTTGTTCTGTGCAAACTCCATTTGGTCATGTTGGTTCCAACTAATTTTGGACACTCTTGTTATCTCACAAATGGAGGGAATTTCAGCGTTTCAGCAAGTTATTTATTTTCTTATCTGCTATCTGGCAAACTCAAGATTTCTGTTAGTTATTGGTTTCCTATTCTTTGGGGCACAATTTCAGTTTCAACTTTTCAGCAAGTTGTTTCTTTTTTTATATACTATCCTATAAACTCAAGAATTTTATCATTAAAAAAACTCTTTGGGGCATGATTTTTTCATCAAACTTAAAAAAAAAATCCCCAATATAACAGAGAATTTCCAGCATTTTAACCTGAAACTGAAGACCATTACTGAATGCAGTTTTCAATTGCCAATCTAGAAGTTTACTAATTCTGTGTATTGGATGTGCATATCCTTGTCAATCATTTTGGCCTAAGGGAGTCTTTCTTTTAATCATCTTTTCAAATAGGAAAAAGCACCAAATTAAGTGTTTTCTCAAACTTTTTCATTATAGTTATTTCATTTCTAACAAAATTTTAGTGCCACAGTTATATTGTGTAACTGCTTATGTACAGAGGCTCTTTGGAGGACCACCAACCATTGTAATACCAAAGATTTTTGCTACCTCCCCTTGAATCAATTTTGCCCCTGTGGGGATGATATCATCCCTGATATGAAGGCATATATTGAGAGAAATAAGACAAACTATTAAACCAAATTTTAATAGATGACAGTACTTTAAAAGAAAATTAATTTAAAAATTTAGTCATTTCTGGGATAAGATAATGAGCAATTTCTTTTATTTCTCTTATTTTCTAGTTTCCATTATGTACTTATATATACCTCTAGGGGATGTTGTAAAGATTCTATAATATTATGTATGTATTCTATAATATGTATGTGAAAGAAAAACTGTATCTTTTCCTTTGCTAACTCATAGATGTTTAAATATATTACATTTTAGGTGTTAGATGATTTATATATCTTCAGTGTTAACACAAACTGAAGATATTGCTCTAATATTCATCACCCAATGAGAATTTGTGATATTCTGCAGATTTGGTAACATTTTCATGGAGATTTAATAAAAAACATTGACATATTCATTCTACAGACATTTATTGGCTATGTAATTCATGTCAGAAACTGATTCGACACAGCAAAATCACGTGAATAAGAAGGTCTATATTGTTGAAAAGCTTACCAATGCATCTTCTTCAAACACACATACAAACAACTAAATAAAAATGGGATAATGCCCTATACTTATATGGTCAGGGTTTTCAAGGACTATAGACCATAGACTGATGAGATTCATAAATACTTTTCAGTTGAGACAAGATTTCAGCAGGGTATGAAGGTTGAATAGAAGGTTTTTAAGTGATAAATGCCTAGCAAGATTTAGGATCACTCATTTTTAACAAAGGAAAATTGATACTCTTTTTTAGTGGCCACAATTTTATCATTCTATACTTTTGTCTTTCTTCCATAGTCCTTATGACACCATGAAGTTTACAGTGTCTTCATGCTTTCCTTATCCTGATTTCACTGTCCTCTCTCATATTTTTTTATGTTTACCAAGGTATGTACAACTGACAATTTTAGAGTCATCTGCAAAGAAAAGATAACTATTAGGTACTGGGCTTAACACCTGGGTGATGCAATAAGATGTATAATAACCCCCCATGACACGTGTTTATGTAACCTTCACATGTACCCCCAAACCTAAAATAAAAGTAAAAGAGGAATCAAAACCTTGAAATAAAGGTATGATGTTCTTGCTGTGGAAATTTAGAAGCCACAGGGTTTAAGGATTGTAGAGACATCATAAGCCCTATTACTCCCATCTTCCTACTCAATTACTTCATGTAAGCTGTGGCTTACTCTGTCTTTGAAATGACATAGCAAGGGCACTATAGATATGGGGAATCTTTCACTTGCAGAGAGGATTTTCAATCTCTGAAATGGCTGATTTGCAGAGAAGTGGAGTCGTTTATTCTCTAGCACAGGGATTTCCAGATTTTGAATGTATTTACCAGTAAAACAAAGTAAAGCAAAGTAAAAACATAAGCTTGCTAAATTTTCTTTTGTCATTTAAGAGCACCAAGCTTTGAGCGTGAATGTGCTTTGGATAAATGAATTGATTTCACTTCTCTTGATAAATGCCAATATTTCTTTAGTGCTCTACATTCTACTTTTTTCCATCTAATTCATGATTCTGCTGAAGATTTTTTCATCCACAGTATTCTCTTCAGTGCACTCTTTACATCTTTGTTTCTTAAAGTGTAGATGGGAAGGTTAAGGCTGGGTGTGATGATTGTGTAAAAGAGTGAAGAACTTCCCTTCATCTTGGGATATGGTATTCTGTGGCTTCATGTATATATAAATGATTGTTCCATAAAACAGAATTACTACTGTGAGGTGGGAGCCACATGTATTAAGGATCTTTTGCAACCTTGTTGCTGACTTGATCCTCATTACAGCTTGAGTGATAACTCCATATGAGATAAGAATTAGTGATAGAGGTACGAAAAGAAATACCACTCCGAAAGCAAAGACAACAATCTCAATTACTTTTGAATAGACACAAGCCATCTTGATCAATGCTGGCATCTCACAGAAAAAATTATCCACTTCCCGGTGCCCACATCTTGGCAACTTCAAAGTCAAGGAGCAAACAATTAAGGCACTGGCAAGACCACTCAACCAGGCAGTGGCAAAGCTGAGGGTGCATTTTAAGGTGTAGTGAAGAGGTTGACAGACAGCAGCATAACGATCATAGGCCATCACAGCCAACAGAAGACATTCTGTGGCTCCCAAGTCAAGGACAAAAAAGAATTGGAGTACACACCCTCCATAAGTAATAGATTTTTTTGGGCCCCATTGATTTGCCAGCATCTGGGGGATAATGCTAGTTGTATAACAGAGGTCCAAGAAAGACAAATTGGATAAGAAAAAATACATGAAGGTATGGAGCTGGGTGTCTAGATAAGATACAAGAATGATGGTTGTATTTCCTACCAGAGTCACAATATAGATGATGAAGACAACCACTGAGATGATGTGCTCTAATTGGGGTCGATCAGAAAACCCCAGAAGGATGAAATCTGTTCCAGAACTTACACTGCTTGTTTCCATTGTTCCTTAAGAAAAGCTAGCAGGCAATATCATGGTAACCAAAAATAGTGTCAGGTTTAGGTAGAACTGAAAATCTCTGAAGTTTCTCAAGGGTATCCAAAACTCTCTTATTTGCATGCTCTCTCTCATTTGGAACATCTCTTTTAACATTTCCCTATGGCCCAGTGCTCACAACTTGTTCATATTTAATCCAAAATTAATAATATGCTAAATCCAATCAGGCTGAATTGTAAATCATTGAAAAAACTTAATTTGCTATGTCATTCATTGTTCTATGTATTTCAATTAAGTAATAAAATCATGAAGTCAATTATGTGATTTTAAGAGAGGCATATGTATTGAGGAGTTGTTCCTCTTTGAAGCTATGACATAAGCATCACTTGATCATGATAAATCCTTGCATTATTGAAGGAGTTAAGCTTGAGGTAAAAAGTTAAATGACATCTTTTTTTGGAATAAACTCCACCATTTGATAGCAGAATCACTTTCAATATTTACTTGCAAATATCTACATTTCAGCCATTATAATTATAATTATCCTCACCACCAACTTACTCCTCCTCCTTATATTTTTTTTACCCCTCAACATTGCAGGCACTGTTGTTATTCTATCAATTTTGGTGTTCCCTACTACACTGCCTTTTTTTGTGAGTGTGTTTTTTGTTGCCAGGAAATAATTATCTTTCTTATTAATATTTACTTACATGTATAAAGGCCTATATGTTTTTTAAACAGCTTTAATGACTAATATTACACCATCTAAACAGCCTTACTGATTTGTTGCAGTTAAATATTGAGGTAATTCCAGAACTATTTGGCCACCACGTACAACGATCTGTGTCCAATCCTACTTACCAGCCATTCAGCAGAATTAGCTGGGCGCTGGGCAGGTAATTCAAACAAAAAGCAGTTCATTAAATAGCCAGAGTTGTTTTAATCTATGGAATTTACCAATCCAACATGAGTGGATGTTCTGATTGCTTTGAAATCCTTTAGGTAAAACCATCACCCCATTGGGCTCTAAAAGAATACAGATACAGATAAAAATGTCATCAATCTCACCATTTCTGATTATTGTATCATATCACTAAGTAGACAAAATATTTAATGACTGACTGAGTTAGTTTTTTTTTGTTGTTGTTGTTTGTTTTTTTTAAAGATAGATTCTTGCTCTGTTGGCCGGATGCAGTGGCTCATGCCTGTAATCCCAGCACTATGGGAGGTTGAGGTGGGCGGATCACTTGATGTCAGGAGTCCAGACCAGCATGGCCTACGTGGGGAAAAATTTTGTATTTTCTACTAAAAATACAAAAATTAGCTGGGCGGTGTGGTGCGTGCCTGTAGTCCCAACTACTTGGGAGGCTAAGGCAGGACAATTGCTTGAACCTGGGGGCGGAGGCCACAGTGAGCCGAGATCGCACCGCTGCACTCCAGCCGGGGCGACAGAACGAGACTCTTGTCTCAAAAAAACCAAACCAAACAAAACAAAAATCTTGCTCTGTTGCCTAGGCTGGAGTGCGGTGACACAGTGACAGCTCATTGCAGCCTGGACCTCCGGTGCTCAAGTGATCCTCTCAACTGAGCCTCCTAAGTAGCTGGGACCACAGATGCATGCCACTGTGTCCAGGTAATTTTTAAATGTTTTTGTAGTGATGAGGTCTCACCATGTTGTTCAGGCTGGTTTGGAACTCCTTGGCTCAAGCAATCCTCCTGCTTCGGCCTGAGCCCTGGTGTCGAGCTAATGGCTGAATTAGTTTAAACATTTTTTCTGCTGATAATTTCTGACCACGAAATTCAGACCTACCATACTTTACATTTATAGTGTCCTTGAGGCCATGGAATAGAAACCTCATTTGTTTCTGGTATATAGTAAAACAAGGGGAAGATAGATCATTTATATATGTCATTGTTATAAGTGTTTCAGTTAGAACAGAATAATGTTATAATCATAAAGAAGGAAATGTTATCAAGTAGTATGAGATAGAGGTGTAGTTTTTCACAGCACAAAAATGGAAATCTAATTAATAAGTGTCCAGTTTTTTTATTTTTCGCAATAGGTTGTCAACTAAGGAATGATAGTGCTTCATTGCACAGATTCTGAACTCAAAGTCCCTGGCATCAAATTCCAGCTTCACCACTTGGAAGCTGTATCCTTGGGCAATTATTTAACTTGTTTGTGTAGGAGGTTCTTTATACATGAAGAAAATATAATAAAATTTCCTTCCTCAAAGGGATGTTGTGAGGGTTAATATTTATAAAAGCACTTGGAACTGAGCTTGGTTCATCTTTAATTCTAAAAATGATAACCTATATTCACCTGTCATTGTTATTCTGTCTACCCCTTAGTCCATTAATTTTTCACACTAGTGATTTTACCGCAATGACCTAGAACTAAACTGGAATGTTTTTTAAAAAATTTGTGTAACTTTAAAATTTAGAAACATTTTTATATACACAAAAATATGCAGAATCACAATATGCACATTGAACTGAAAAGCTTCAGGAGCAGGAGATGACTTGAGGTCTCCAAATGCTTTGATTAAAAAATTCACTCAAATTCTTTTGACTGCTGTTGGGTTTGTGTTGGGAATTAAAAGGTCATGAATTTCAAAGTGGAAAAAAACCTCAGAAGTCATGAATCTAGCCTTCTGCTCTGCATAGGAGATCCTTCAACAGAATCGCTACACAGCTGCTACTGGCATAACTTCAGTGACAGGGAAGTCAATTACACTTGAAGCAGCCTCTCTCCTTTAGTCAATGCTGCTTATATTGAACTCAAAGATGATTCCTTGCCCAGCCCTGGCTGATTTTCTTTATTCTGAAAATAACACAGAGTAAGTCAATTTAACATGGCCTCATAAAAACCCCAGTATTATTATATGAACAGTGCATGGATACAACAAATAAAAAGTAAAGCTTGGTGAGTTTCAGTGTATATTCTTGTAACTATCACCTAAATCAATAAATAAAACATTGATGATTACCCTAGGAGCTTTTCTTTGTGCCTTTTACCAATGATAACTCTTCCCTATCCCCTGAAGTATCCACTATGCTGCTATTTATAGTAATCCCCTCTTTGCATGTTAGTAGGTTAATTACCCAAATGTGCACCTCTAGACAATATTGTATAGTTTGGCTTACTAAAAATTTTTTATATACCTTTTAACTCTCTTTTAATATTAGAAACTGTTACCAAATATATGCTTAGATTTCTCTTCCCAGACAAAGCACATTGTTAGCTGTTCCTACCACTACATGCTCTTTTATTACCATGCTTTTTCTTGTTGCTCTCCCTGGACACACCATGATTTGTCAAGTGCTGCAAATTAGTGAGTATAAAAGTAAGCACGATACTCCACTTATGCAACACTACTGAAGAGAATAGTGAATGTCTATGATCTGCATAATTTTCTAAAATATACGTTGGTTATTTTTAGCAGGTATAAGACATTACTGGCTCTCTTTAAACTTTGGATCACGTAAAGCCCTAGGCATTCTTATTAGAAATGCTGCCAAGTCAGGCATGACAATTTATGTAGTTTAATGTTGTGAACTCAAATACAGGACTTTTCATTTAATACTTTTTAACATTTTCATATTGATTTAAGCTTTGGATCTCAAACCAGATATTTTAATTTCAATTTAAAAGTGAATGTGTTATTTGAAATGAGACTTACAACACTCCAGCTGAAGAAATAGATGGCAAAAAAGAGGCATGCTACATTTTAATCGAAACTCAGTTTTTCATTTTTCATAGTATGGACTTCAGAGCCCAATAATCGCGCATAACTTAACATTTTGCTTTCTCCAGTGAAATCTGAGACAAATGAACCAAACATATTTCAACATAATTTATGATATTGAGAGAAAATTAGAAGCACAAAATTTCAAAACTGTCTAAAATTTTATAAAAAGTAAAAATATATGGATCTTTTATTATAAAGCATGAGGTATATTGCTGTAGTCATACAAAATTCAAGATGAAAGGACGAAATAAAAATAGGTAAGACCCTAGACTGGTTCAGACCGCCTGTGATTTTTGTTACAATTGATCTCAGCCATTTCCTTACTCTGTGGACTTGAGCAGGCTAATTAACTTCTTTAGCCTCTGATTCCTCATCTGTAAAATAGCTATTCTAATAGCACCTGCTTTGTAGGATGGCTATGAGGAGGATTACATGCTATGCTAAATATTTAGCATGATGCTTGGTGCATAGAGAGCATTCAGTAACTTCAAAATCCACTAACTGCTCTTGTTGAAGTTTAATCCTCACTCCTGAGGATTAAATTTATATTTAATCCTCAAAATGTTAGTATTATTTATATCTCACATACCTTTCACATTTTTGCTTTCATGTTAGACTGAGTCTTACGCTATCTAGGATCTGTTTTCTACCTGGAGTCATCCTCTGTTAGAGATAGCAGAGAATACTTACCAGAAGCTGAAAAGATTAGAATATATTTTCATGAAGGAAGAATTCAGAGCTGTCATGTTCTCATGTAGTCCAAACATACCCATGTTCCCATTATGACGTTTCTTCATTTAATTAATAAATTAGAAAAAAATTCTTGTTGGATGAGTTACTAATGCCCTGAAGAATTGGATTAACCACTGGTCATACTGACACTACAGTGCCATTCACACTTAAATGCAACAGCTGAAATAAGATTTAATAGAAGTCTCTATTTAATGTGGATATTGGAAGTAAACTAAATGTGGGACTGGTGAAAATCCTTAATTAGGTTTGGTTAAATATATTTTCGGTTGGCTATTTGATGTCTTTTTAATGTATACTCTTGTTATTCATATTTACAGCTAGATTTTTGCCTAATTAAACAAGGAGAACACTGTGTTGGTCAATGTATATTCCAAGAATCATTAACATGTAGCAGGGAAGTATTTATTTACAGCTCTAAAGGCTACCTATGTTGATATGGTTTAGACCTTGAGGACTGATGCCCCACAGAGGTGATTAAGTAAAGCTATGACTGTGGTCAGAGGCATATCCAAATAATAATTTCATGAAAAGTTCTCTTAACACATTAGGTTTCGGCCAGGCACAGTGGTTCATGCCTGTAATCCCAGCACTTTGGGAGGCCAAAGCGGGTGGATCACCTGAGGTCAGGAGTTCAAGACCAGCCTGACCAATGTGGAGAAACCCCGTCTCTACTAAAAACAAAAAATTAGCCGGGCATGGTGGTGCATGCCTGTAATCCCAGCTACTCAGGAGGCTGAGGCAGGAGAATCACTTGAACCTGGGAGACGAAGGTTGCGGTCAGCCGAGATTGCGCCATTGCACTCCGGCCTGTGAAACGAGCGAAACTCTTGTCTCAAAAAAAAAAAAAAAAAAAAAAAAAAAGACGTTGGGTTTCATCTTTTCTTTTTCTTTTTAAGTTTTTAAATTTAAAAATTTGGAGATTAATTATATATTATATTAAATTTACATTGAAAAATGAATATATGATGTAAACTATATAAAAATGAACACATTTACTTGAAATTTGGTTTATTCAATTGGTAAGATCAAAATTGGATAAATTAAGTTATGTAGGTGTTGTGTCTATAGGACAAAATATTTAGTTTTAAAAAATTTATGGGATAATCATAATTCTAGGTTTATGAATTATTATCATCGTTCTATTTTCAGCAAATTAAAAATAGTATGAACACTCTGGAGCTTATCCCTCAATTTATGGTCTGGAAACTTACCACCATCCCCAGCTTCTGGTAATTACCATTCCACTCTCTGCTTCTATGAGTTTAAGTTTTTCAGATCCTCATTTAAATGAGATCATGTAGTATTTGCCTTTCTGTAACTGGCTCATTTAACTTAACATCATAGCTTCTAGGTTCATCCGTGTTGTTGGAAATGACAGGGTTTCCTTTTTTTGTTACGAGTGAATAGTACACCACATTTTCTTGATTTATTCATTCATTGATGAACACAAAGTTTGATTCCATATCTTTGCTATTGTGAATAATGCTGCCATAAACATGGGAGTGCAGACATCTCTTTAACATACTGATTTCAATTCCTTGGATATATACCCAGTGGTGGGATGGCTGGATCATATGGTAGTTCTATTTTTAATTTTTGGAGTAACCTCCACACTGTTTTATATAGTGGCTGTATTAATGTACATTCCCACTAACGGTGTGCAAGGGTTCCTTTTTTTCCCTACATTCTCACCAAGCTGTTATCTTTGCTTTTTATGACAATAGCCATTCTAAGAGTATGAAGTGATATCTCACTGTGCATTTAATTTACATCTCCCCATTGATTAGTGATGTTGAGCATTTTTCATATACATGTTGGCCATTTGTAGGTCTTCTTTTGAGAAATGTGTATTTGGGTCTTTTGCCCATTTTTATTTTCATTTTTAAAATTTTTAAATTATTTTATTTTATTTTTTATTTTTATTTTTGAGATGGAGTCTCTCTCTGTCTCCCAGGCTGGAGTGCAGTGACACAATCTCGGCTCACTGCAGCTTCCACCTCCCAGGTTCAAGTGATTCTTGTGCCTCAGCCTCCTGAGTAGCTGAGACTAGAGGCACGTACCACCATGCCTAGCTAATTTTTCTATTTTTAGTAGAGACGGGGTTTCACCATGTTGGCCAGGCTGGTCTCGAACTCTTGACCTCAAGTGATCCACCCATCTTGGCCTCCCAAAATTCTGAGATTAGAGATGTGAACCAACACAGCCAGCTCCATTTTAAAATAGAATTATGTTTTCTTGTTTGAGCTTCTTATATATTTTAGATATTAGCCCCTTATTAGATACATCATTTGCAAATATTTTCTCCCACTCCATAGGTTGTCTTTTCATTATTTTATTTGTTTCCCTGACTGTACAGGAGCTCTTTAATTTGATATAATCTCATTTATTTATATTTGCTTTTGTTGACTGTGCTTTTGAGGTCATATCCAAAAAATCATTGACCAGATCAATGTCATGGAGCATTTCTATGATTTCTTTTAGTAGTTTAATAGTCTTATGTTTAAGTCTTTAATGCATTTTGAGTTGATTTTTGTATATGGTTTGAGGTATGCATGTAATTTCGTTCTTCAACATGTGGATATTCAGTTTTTCAACACCGTTTATTGAAGAGACTGCCCTGTCCCCATTGTGTGTTCTTGGCACCTTTGTTGAAAATCAATTGATTGTAAATGTATGGATTGATTTTTACGCTATTTTGTTCCATTGGTTTTTGTGTCTGTTTTTATGCCAGTATCCTGTTGTTTTGATGACTATAGGTTCACAGTAGATTTTGAAGCCAGGTATTATGATGCCTCCCGTTTTTTTTTGTTTGTTTGTTTTTTGATTCAAGGTTACTTTGGCTATGGATTTTTGTGGATCCAGACAAATTTTAGAATCGTTTTTTCTATTTCTCTACAAAATGACATTGGTACTTGGATAGAGATTGCATTGAATCTTTATTTGGGGTAGTATAGGTATTTTAAAAATACTAATTTTCCCAATCCATGAACATGAGGTATTTTTCAATTTTTGTGTCTTTTGTAATTTTAAATATCAGTGTTTTATAGTTTTCAAGTGTACAAATCTTTCACCTCCTCGGTTAAATTTGCACCTAGTTATTTTAATTAATTTATTTTTTAATTATGATTGTTTACTTAATTTCTTCTCAGATGATTGTTAGTGCATAGAAACACTACTGATTTTTGTATATTGATTTTGTAACCTGTAACTTTACTGAATTTGTTTATTTGAATAGCTTTTTTTGTTGTTGGAGTTCTTAGGGTTTTCCAAATAAAGGATCATGTCATCAGAAGAGACAGTTTCACTTCTTCATTTCCAATTTGTATGCCTTTTTTTCTTTTTCTTGCCTAACTGCTCTGGCTAGGACATTCAGTACTATGTTGAACAGAAGTGGTGAGCGTGGGCATCTTTATCTTGTTCTGGATCTTAGAGGGAAAGCTTTCAACTTTTTATCATTATGATATTAGCTGTGGGCTTGTAATATATGGCTCTTATTGTGTTGGCAAAAATAGATTCTCAGAATATAATCTCCAGATTTTGTAATCCACTGATACAATTACATACTGATTACCTACTCTGTAATATGGAATTTAAAAAATTCCATGTGTGATTTTCTAACTCTATCATAGGTCGGTAACCTCTATACATCTGGAAAGGCTAGATGTGGCAAATGTTTCCTTGTAAAAGTTTTGGGGGAAGCTGAGAGCAGCTTTCTCACATTATACACGCAGGTCTCCTATAAACGCCGGTACATCCTCCCAAAGCGTGATGGGAATCTCCAAATCGCTAAATGTGTCCTGTTACTCCGTTTCTCTTTTCCCACATCAACGTCTGGTAGAAGGAAGGCCAACTGCCCCATGGTCGCTACCATTCCACCCGTCCTCATCCGGGACTTCGCTGACCTTCCGGCCGTTAAGGCTGTTGTCTGTTGTCATCAGGACCAGGTAGGTCTCACCCAATTGGGACAGAGAGGTCCCCCGAGGACAGCATCTGCGCGGCGCCGTGGCCTAAAGAGGAGGCCAGGCCTCTCCCTAACTCCGCCTTCGCGGGCCCTGCACCCCAGCAGCCTCTGCGTGTTTCTTCCCGCCCGGCACACCCGCGGCCATCCAAAGGTGCTGTGTGCCGGCGGCCACCAGGTCACCGAGGTGGGGTGGGGAAGACAGGTTCGCCGCTGCTTCAGGCCTGGGATCTCTGCTGGAACTCTCTACATTTTTTAATCAATTTAAAATTTATAATAATGTATGTTTTTTAGGTATTGTTTTTACTGACAAATTTTATTTCTAGATCTTTCATCAGTTTTCTCACGCTGGTCAACAAATAGGCCTTCATCACACACTAATTTGTAATGTCATTCTTTTCATATTTACTGTTGTAATGTAAAACACACTAGGGTCTGTTTTGAGGCAATGTTGTTTCAATCATATGCAAATCAAACTCTTTTTCTTTTTTGAGACAGAGCCTCACTCTGTCACCCGGACTGGAATGCAGTGGCACAATCTCTGTTCACTGCAGCCTCGGCCTCCCAGGCTCACGTAATCCTCCCACTACAGCCTCCCGAGTAGCGGGGACTACAGGCACAGGCCACCACGCCCGGCTATTTGTTTGTTTTTTGTGGAGACAGGGGTGTCTCACTCTGTTGCCCAGGCTGGTCTCCAACTCCTGAGTTCAAGCTATCCTCCTGCCTAGGCCTCCCAAAATGTTGGGATTACAGGCAGGAGCCACTGCTCTTGACCCCAAATCAAACCCTTAGTAATATTTGATAGTATTTCAGTGCTGGCCAGAGCAAATCCTTGCTTATTATTCGTTTATGAAAATGGCTTGACTCTTCTAAGCTGTAATTTGACCAAATAAATCTTGAAATAAATTTGTTACAATCCAAACACAATGCAGACAATTATTTGAAATGTCTGCATTTAAATTTATATTTAAAAGTTATTTTTTGAAGAATGTGGCATGTCTCATTTTATTTGTTTTTCCCTTTTTCTTGGTAAAGATTAATAATACCTTAAAAATGTTCAACATATGTTAAGTTCATCTTTATTGATATCATTTTATTTAATTGCTCATTGCTTATTGTTGTTAGGAGAGCTATATATGTATTTTTTAAATTAAATTTTTTTTTTTAACTTTTATTTTAGGTTTAGGGGTACATATGCAGGTTTGTTACTTGAGTAAATTGTGTGTTGCTGAGGTTTGGTGTTCAAATCATTTTGTCACCCAGATAGTGAGCATAGTACCCAATAAGTAGTTTTTCAATCCTCACCCTCCTTCCTCCTGCCACCCTCAGGTAGGCCCAGGTGTCTGTTGTTCCCCTCTTTGTGTCTGTGTGTACTCAATGTTTAGCTCATACTTATAAGTGAGAACATGTGGTATTTGGTTTTCTGTTTTTGCATTAATTCACTTAGGATAATGGCCTCCAGCTGCCATCCATGCTGTTGCAAGGGACATGATTTCATTCTTTTTATGGTTGCATAGTATTCTGTGGTGTATATATGTCACATTTTCTTTATCCAGTCCACCACTGATGGGCATCTAGATTGATTCTATGTCTTTGCTACTGTGAATAGTGCTGTGATGAACATGCGAGTGAATGTGTCTTTTTGGTAGAACAATTTTTATTTCTTTGGGTATATACCCAGTAATGGGATTGTTAGGTCAAATGGTAGTTCTGAGTTCTTTGAGAAATCTCTAAACTGTTTTCCACTGTGGCTAAACTAATTGAAATTCCCACCAGCCGTGTGTAAGTATTCCATTTTCTCTGCAACCTCACTAACATCTGTTATTTTTTGACTTTTTAATAATGTCCATTCTGACTGGTGTGAGATGGTATTTCATTGTGGTTTTGATTTGCCTTTCCCTAACGATTAGTGATACTGAGCATGTTTTCATATGCTTGTTGGACATGTGTATGTCTTCTTTTGTGAAGTGTTGGTTCATGTCTTTGCTCATTTTTAAATGGGGTTGTTTTTGCTTGTTGATTTGTTTAAATTTCTTATAGATTCTGGATATTAGACCTTTGTTGGATGCTTAATTTGCAAATATTTTCTCCTATTTTGTAGGTTGTCTGTTTAATCTGTTGGTAGTTTCTTTTGCTGTGCAGAAGATTTTAAATATTTATTCTGTATATTTCTTTTTCACGGAGTCTATAGGGATTTCTAATAACATAATTTTTTTGTGTTAAAAATGGAGTGGATTCTGTTATCTTAAAATAATGATAGTTTTCTTTCTTCTTATTTTTTGGGGGATATACCTGTATTTTTCAGCTAATGTAAAACAACAGAGTAGAAACTCTAGTTGATATTTGCTCTTAAGCATTTTAGTTCAGAGGGACTAAAAGCAAGGTGCAACAAATTAAGAAGTAATGAACAGTGTCTAATGAGAAAAATAGAGTGTGTTTTGAACTAGCCTAACCCAATTTGGTCATGCTCAGCAACAGGGTCATTTTTGGTAGTTAATCATAGTGGCTGAAAAAGGTGAAGTGGGCGTATGGTTAGCATTTACCACCACAATCCTATGTCCCAGTTATGATGAAAATGACTCTGATCAAATTCTGCCATGAATATAGAGATTAGTTAACCAGACATTAGCATAAGACAGTTTATGTCATCTTCTCTGTAAATTTAATAAATCCTCAGCTCTCTGCCCTTTAAAATACTCCAAAGTACCTTGTAGAAAGGTGTATTTGAAGAAGATAAGACAACAGAGGTAGGGTTTTACTTTCATGTCAGCATTGAGAAAGTGGAACTTATCCATAGTAGGACACAGGCCCATTTAGGGAACAAGTCTTGGGCACTACCCCTAAAGTTTAGGCTACACATCTTGCTAGGTTCTTATGCCCTTCATAGAAGAATAGGGAATGTTTCTAAAATATGTTAGATGACCCTCATATATTTGGTACCACTAATTTCAGGATGATAACTGATTTAAACCTCAATTATTATGTGAGTTGGCTAGGCATCAAATGTTGACCAAGAGGTAGATAACTGAAGGTCCTGTGGTAGCTGCCTTGGAGGGCAGCCTTTCTGGCTAAATGCTAGTTGACCTCCCCATCTAATAGTGTACATTTACTGATTAGAGCCACTCATGTCCATAAAATGTTATATATATATATATATTTTTTTTTTTTTTGAGACGGAGTCTTGCTGTCTCCCAGGCTGGAGTGCAGTGTCATGATCTTGGCTCACTGGGCTCACTGCAAGCTCTGTCTCCCGGGTTCACGCCATTCTCCTGCCTCAGCCTCCCGAGTAGCTGGGACTACAGGTGCCCGCGACCACGCCCAGCTAATTTTTTGTATTTTTGGTAGAGACGGGGTTTCATCATGTTAGCTGTGATGGTCTCGATCTCCTGACCTCGTGATCCACCGCCTCGGCCTCCCAAAGAGCTGGGATTACAGGCGTGAGCCTCTGTGCCCGGCCCATAGAATGTAATATTTGAATGAATAAATGCACTTATATCAATAGCCTGACAAAGTGTTTTAAAGTATACTACAGTTACCATGACAAAGTGTTTCTCTGAAGAAACTTGTCTATGAAGAATAATGAGATTGGTAAGAAAACATAAATAAAAAGAACTACCAAGGAACATTTCCATCCAACTGATTTTAAAGAGAATAAATTGACCTGGAGTTAATTACCTAGTAGAATTAATTTCTACACAGTGATTTGGAATTTGGGAGTACAATTAGTGAAAACAGGTACTGGAATTGCTCCAGTGTTGGGAATGGACCCACATATTCATAAATGGGTACTTATTGGTACTAGAAAATTTTCTACACAATTACTCTACATTAAATATTACTCCAGGTTTTCAGGACATGGAAGTAGCTTCTTTTTAAAAAATCCTTTTCATGTTACTTCTCCACCTAGATAGTTTCAAAAAGTGTATTATTTTTCAATTTCAAAATTTTATTCATTGAAACATAAACTTGGTCAGTTCTATTCAAGACATCAATATAAAGAGAAATCACTGAATTGTAGAAAGGTTTGTATAAATTAAATTGTAAAAGTGTGAGCTAAAAATATGCATTATTAATACAGAAAGCTTCTTAGTAATAATACCAAATATGTGCTCCTTATAATCACATGGATCAAAATTGTATACTCTTTAGTTAAGGGATGTAATGGGGAAAAATAGAAGATTGGAATTGTTTTAATTGCATCTGTGTTCTGAGGAATGGAGCAGCAGCAGCAGAAGAAAAGGTGTTCTTTTACTTAAAACAACAAATTCTATTTTCTAATGCAAGGTGAGTGTATCTTTACCCCTTATTCTAGTGTTTATAGAAGATAGAGCCAGACAAATATTTCTCTCTAAGTGATAGTGACATTATTCCTTCACAGACACTACAGTTGAAAGAATTGGAGGTCCTAGGTCAGAGACAAAGACAGATTGGAATAGAAGTTGGGACCGAAAGTAAATAAGATCTTCCAAAACATGGAGCAAGGGGGACCTAAAAAAGCAGACATCCAGAGAGCAAAGCTCTGTGGTAGGGATTGCTAAGGAATTTTAAGAAGTCAAATATTCATTAGGCAATGTTTTCCTTTTTATCCTGCAGTATAATCCTCCTTTATTATTCCCAGTTCTTTATGAAAATCCCACTAACTGCATTCCCCACTTGTTAGTGGTACTTTAGAGAATAAAAGAAAATAGGCTTGGTTCACTGGCAAGAGGACAAGAAATAGTCTTTAAGTGGAGAAGAAGCTGTTTCGTACAGTAGAAATTGGTAAGGACAGTGGCCACAGGGACTCAACTGTGAGAGGAGGTTAAAAATTTATCAGGAGCAGTATTTTAAACAAAAATCCTCAAAAATAATAGAATCCTTCTCCCATAGAAAATAATTTTCAGAAATACAATGGAGAGTGTCAGAATTTCTTCAGAAAGTAGAAAGAATTTTAAAATTTAACTTATGCAGGTTGGGCACGGTGGCTCACGCCTGTAATCCCAGCACTTTGGGAGGCCGAGGTGGGTGGATTACCTGAGGTCAGGAGTTCGAGACCAGCCTGGCCAATATGGTGAAACCCTGTCTCTACTAAAAATACAAAAGTTAGCCGGATGTGGTGGCACACGCCTGTAGTCCCAGCTACTCGGGAGGCTGAGGCAGGAGGATGGCATGAACCCGGGAGGTGGAGGTTGCAGTGAGCTGAGATTGTGCCACTGCACTCCAGCCTGGGCGACAGAGACAGACTCCATCTCAAAAAAAAAATTAACTTATGTATTAATACAAAAACCAATATCAGAAATGCCAGAGACCTGGATGAACTGATATCTATAAAAGTGATAAAATGAATCAATGTACTTCAGTAAGTTGGGTACATATTTAGACTTATAAATTATCAGCATCTATACCCAGGTATTGCTTGAAAAATGTTACCAATTAATAATTAGCTTAATTTTTACAGCATGTTTGAAAATTTGATATGCCATATCATTTTTATGCAACATACTTCAATAATACATGTCAGTAAATTTATTTAAGATATAAATATTCATTGTAAAGTAGGTAAATGTATGTACTTGCAAAGATACCCAAACACATCAATTAAAATAATGGGATTAGAATTGGATAATAAGTGCATATATATGTATTTGACCTCTAGAGGTTCCTGTACTTCAAAATTCATCACTATATGACAATTGAGTATCATAGCATCTTCTGCTTGAATCCATTTATAAGTTTTTGTTTAAGAAATGAGAGAAAATTAATAATTGTTATGAATATAAACAGATACAGTAAAAATGGCATTTCATTTTCTCTAGATATTCGTGATTCTCTGAATTTGAATAATGTATTTTTTAGATTATAGTCTTCTAAAGAAGAGAAATATTGAAAGAATTAGCTATTTACTTGCACTGAGGGGAGTCATTATGTGCATTTTCTACTATGGTTTTCTTAGTCCACCACTCCTCAAGTTATGATGGTTGACTCAGAAGGGTTGCTTTTATCTTTAATCATAAATCATTATGAATTTCCTTGTCTGAACTAGTCAACATCTACCATGTTGTGGTTAATTGGTACCAATCAGAGTTGAACTTCTTGTGGAAGAATCTGGAGATGTCCATATGAAAGGAAAATAGGCAATAAACTAGATTGTATTATATTGCATTTTTCCAACACTAGGCATATGTGGTTTTGAAAATTACCTATTTACTGAGTGTTTTGTGAGTGGCAGAAACATTTTCCTGCCCTGGCCAAGGGCTAACCTTAGAAAAAGATAAATGTGATGGGTATAAAATCTAAGAGAGCTGACTTAGTTTCAGGATATTGTTAAGCCCGTTGAGACTGGTGCTCCACAACAGTAATTAAGCATAATTATGATGCAGGTCAAGGTAAGACATTTCCGAAATTTTCTAGGACATGTTTTTGAAGGCTTGGGATATTCTGCTTAGCTCATATTTGTGTATGTTTTTTTTAGTTAAAAATGATAACAAGATGATTTTTGCTCTGTTTACAAACATTTGCATGAACACTGAAAAATTCATCCAAATCGTTAAAAATATTCAATGCCTACTAAGAGTCATGGAACCCTATTATATGATGGTGAATCGAGAAAGAACTATACAAAATTATGCTTTCAAGAAACTTATAATTACATTGGCTAGAGGCTTATCAGTTCTATAAATAATATTTACAAAACAATGCAATTCTAACCTTCATAGAGATTTGTATGGCTTGTTAAGAGAACCATAGTCTAAGACAATGGGCTTCAACGGGGGGGCACACTCTGGGATGCAGAGACTTTTGTAGGGTTATAAAGTTAGTTTTAAGGAAATAACTTCCAGATCCTCCTTGTTCCTTTGTTTTCTTCGCTAACATTTTCTTGAGGAAATGCCAGGTTGAGGAGTTAGACAGGTTCTCTTTCCAGCCTTCACTTTCAAAGATCCCTTCTCCTCCTTCACAAAAGAAAGGCATAATTACCATCTCTCCTGATCTTACTGTAACATATTATCCACATTGTGAAAACCAGTGGTACACCAAAGAAAGGGACAACTCAAAATGCTAGTGGTGTGCTGCTCATCATTAAAGATGACATGATGGAAGAGAAAATATATATTTTTAGATTCTAGCAGTGTGTCTTTCTAGATCTATCTAGATTGGCTACTATTATTAAATAATGGGCACTTTTAGAGAAAGGTATCAGATCATGGCAAAAATAAAAGTTTAATTAAAAAGTAATCACATTGTCCCATAAAAGCTAAATATTATATTATGATAAATAGAAATAAAAAGATTTATTCTGTTATGCAATTCCACTACATATAAACATTACCACATTTCTAAAAATTCACGTAAATCCGCCAGTTCCACAGATGTATGTCAAAAGCCTAACTGGTTTCAAACTAGTCATATTATCTTTCCATTAAGTTGAGACAATCATGGAATAAACATTTAACGAATGAAAGAGAAATTGATAAGACTGTGTCATTACCTTTAAAACCCTTTAATTTGTGGCTTTATATTACGATAGAGTAGTAATAGACTTAAATAGCAGAGACCCTTTACTCAAGATATCGATTTGAAATTTCATTGAAAAAAGAGTGAATTGTTTTAAATGGGGCTTATGACAATTACTGTCTTATAAACTGCACTGTTTGCATCAAACACAAATAAATATTTGGGTGGCATTACAAAAGATTGGGTGTACAAAATCATTATTGTGTATATGTATATTTTTTCTCAAGCTCCAATAGAATGAACATTATGGGTATATTATTTAATATACACACCATAATGTATATGAAACCATTTGCTCAGGTCTATACTTTGGAAGAGGCAAGGATTAACATTGAAAATACAAAACTAGATAACCAAAACAGTTTCTATGTGGTTTTAGAATAAATTAAATGCATTCAAATTTATGTTTACATCCCATTTGTGTTTTATTTCAAGCAAAAATAAAATTTCTAATGATCTGTTTTCTCTGATGATATACCAATGATCAGGGACATAAAGGAGCTAAGTAGAATGGTTGTAATTTTGTTTGCATCTACAAAATGTTTGTATATAATAATTATATTTATGGATCTCCATGACCTAGGAATTACTTGCATTTGTAAAAATTAAAGAAAATTAGAAAACATATTTAATTGCCTTATTCACTCTAGTCTTTATCTATGACTTGCAATTCCTCTTTATTTTTGTAGATTTGTGGTGAAATCTCATCAGTTTCTTCAGGGCATCCTTCATGTCCTTATTTCTTAAGGTGTAAATGAGCGGGTTGAGACTTGGAGTGATGACGGTGTAAAAGAGGGTGAGGAACTTGCCCTGGTCTTTGGAAGCCCTGTTACCTGGTTGCAGGTACATGTAGATAATAGTTCCATAGAACATAGACACTACAGTAAGATGAGATCCACAGGTATTCATTGCTTTTCGCTGGCTTGCTTTTGACTTCGTTCTCAGCACAGCTTTGGCAATGTAGCCATAGGATATAAGAATAAGGATGAGAGGTGTGAGGACAATTATAATGCCTAAAGCGAAAACAGACATTTCAACTGTTGTGGTGTCTACACAAGCTATCTTGACCAGAGCTGGCAACTCACACAAGAAATGATCCAGAATGTTGTTTCCACATGTGGGCAAATTCAGAGTGAGTGTACATAATACTACAGAATTGGCCAAACTAATACTCCAGATCATGATAATCATCTTTAGACATAGATGTGGGTTCATGACTACAAAATAATGCAAGGGCTTACATATAGCTGTAAAACGATCATAGGACATAACAGCCAGGAGAAGGCACTCAACTGAGCCCAACCACATGTAAACATAGAGTTGGATGATACAACCCACATAGCTGATGGTCTTATCAGGTCCCCACAAGTTGACCAGCATCTGAGGGATGATGCTGGTTGTGAAACATAGATCTAGGAAAGATAAATTTCTGAGGAAAAAGTACATTGGTGTATGAAGCTGGGAATCCAGGAGAGATGCAAGAATGATGGCTGTGTTACCCACCAATGTAATTAAGTAGAAGATGGCGACAACTCCTGACAGGATCATCTCCATTTTTGGATGGTTAGAGAAGCCAAGCAGAATAAAACCATGTAAAGAACTATAATTGCTTTGGTCCATAGTCCTTCAATGTCTAAATCCTAGAGTGAGAAAAGGAGGAGGAGGAGGTAGATGATGATACAAGGATAAGGAGAAGGAAGAAGAAGGAAGAAGAGGTAGAGGAGGAGAAGGAGGAGGGAGAGGAAGAAGAAAAGGAAAAGAGGAAGAAACAATTTGTCAACATGAACTATCTAAATAATTTGATAAAATTAGAACTAAACAAAGAGAGATAATTTATGTTACTAATTGAAAAAATTTAATGGATAAAAGTAAAAATTACAGCCAAGAAATCTGCTATTTGTCATAGATTCTTTTATGGCAATGAGTTTAATATTAGATTTTTTAAAAAAAATCCAGGTGACCTTGGGGAGTTCACTTTTAAACTTGAGGTCTGAATTATCTAACGTGTAGATTTGAAAGTTTGAAATAGATGCTGGTTCTAAAATGACCCTATGATTCTTTATAAGCTAGTTAGCTTGATAAAATGAACATATTCTTTTATTTGATCAGTAAATTCACCTATAAAATTTAAGTACTGGGCTAATGGTAGGATGAGGAAAAGATGTGATAACCTGGAGGATGAACCTGGGGACATCATGCTAACTGAAGTAAGCTGAAAGACAAATATTGCATGATTTCATTTATATATGGAATCCAAAAAAGTTGAACTCATAGAGGTAGAGAGTGGGGGCAGGAGATGGATGGGAAAAGGGGAGATGTTGATCAAGGGTACTAAGTTTCAGTTAGAAAAAAGGAACCAGTTTTAGTGATCTCACAGAATGGTGACTACAATAAACAATAATGCATTGTTTATTTCAAAATTACTAAGAGTAGATTTTAAGTGTTTTCACCACAAAAAATAAGTATGTTAGGTGATGGGTTTGTTAATTAGCCTGATTTAATCATTACACATTATAAACATATATTAAAACATTATATTGCACCCCATAAACATATACAATTGTTGCTTAATTAAAAATAAACCTTAAAAAAGAGTGAGGAAAGATTGTTCTTCTTTTTTCATATCTTAGTGACTAAGCACCTTTGATCTCCTAGTTTGTTATGTAGGACATCTGGTGTTTACCCTTGGACGCCTTGTCTCTCTCATTCTTAACGCCTTATCACCAAAACTGGTAAATTTGGATGCAAATATATATGCTAATTATCCTATCACTTTAAAAAATCCCTACCACCACAACCCTAATTCAAATCACTATGATTTCTTTTCTGGATTCTGGCAATAGTCTTGCATCCAGTCCTTGCATCCAGTCTTATGCCTTTACATTGTTACAACATTTGATGAAATCATGTCATCCATCTCCTTAAAACTTGTCAGCCACTTTACACTACATTTAAGAAATACTATATTGTATACTTAAAATTTTGCTAGGAGGGTAGATCTTATGTTAAGTGTTCTCATCACACGCACACACATACACAACACAATAAAGAAGGTGGGAGGAAACTGTTGGAGGTGATGGATGTATATATGGGATAGATTGTGTTGATGGTTTCACAGGTATATACTCACCTTCAAACTCATCAAGTTGTATACATTAAATCTGTACTGCTTTTGTATGTCAGTCATACTTCAATAAAGTGGTCAAAAAGCTAATATAAAACATTTGGTTAAAAAATAACAGCCATTAGCCAGGTGTGGTGGCGTACTCCTATAGTCCCAGCTACTCAGGAGGCTGAGGCGGGAGGATCACTTGAGCCCAGGAGTTTGAGGTTGCGGTGAGCTATGATTGCACCACTGCACTCCACCCTGGGTGCTGGAGCAAGATCCTGTCTCAAAAACAAACAAAACCCAGATAAATATCAAACTGGTGCTTCTTCTCTCTCTTTATATAGATGTAGTACAAAAAGTTGTGCTTTTTTTGTTTGTTATGCCATTTCAAATATGTTTTTTTGAATGTTATTAAGAAATTACTTCCAACTGTGGCCATGATTCAAAAGTGGATACATTTGTGAGACTAACCGGAGATGGTGGTTGAAATAGCCGTTTTGAGAAAATCATTTTGTGATTTCTTTAGCATTAGCTTTTCAAAAATTATGATTTGATTCTGAGTTTTGCCATTAATCAAATTGGATAGAAAGAAAAATAATTCTCTGAAAGATATTTCAAGCTGTCACACCCCATTAAAGTTCCATAATGTCTGAGCAGGGGCATCAATAATTAATGCTTATTTATTTTAACAGACTCGTTGATGTGTATAATTGTGCCTAACTTCTGAATAAAATAGGGCTTCAGTTAAAATTATATAAAAACCTGAAAATTCTTTTAAAATTAAAATCAATATTATGCTGTTAATTTCTTAACTATTTCATTATTACTACAGTCCATAAAGATTAACTCAGGAAAGAATAAAAATCCTCCTTCTGCCTATTAAAAAGTGACATAGAAAAATCTTCAAATAAATTTTCATGCACAGTATGAGATTTAGAAATGGATACATAAAATCTGAGTCCTTTATGGCTCCACAACCTTCAAGAATAAAATATTTTGCTGACAAGTTTCACAAATGGCATTAAAAAACAAAACAAAACAAAATTAAAAACAAGTATCTGAATTCTTCATTTTCAATTTAATCTATCTTTCTCGCTTTTGTTTCTGCTGGATCAATATTTATTCTCAGACTTCTGAAATAAAACCAGCCCATACAGATCTAAGTTCTTTTTCTTCTACTTTCTACAAATTGTTTTACCAATCCAGGCATACTGTTTCTCCAAGAGATTAAGGATGAACATTACTGTGATCCAGAGGGAGTTCCTTTGCCATTCTACTTCTCGACTTTTGTAGAATCCACACTATGGAAAATAGATCCCGGTTAAGCATTTTTTTCTCCAGGGCTGTAAATTTCTCATGATTTCCCTGCAGTGCCACGGAGAATTCTGCTTTTCCCAAAGTGTGTTAGGGTAGAGATTCTCAACAGGACTCCTCCTTCTCGAATATATGACTTCAAGTAAGAGGATGAAACCTGTCACAAATTCTTACTTCTTGTTCTGAGTTTAAATCAACCTGCAAGTAGGTCTTGACCATAGAGAAACATTAGGAAAAGCAACCGGATAATTCAGAATCAGAATTGAACAAAATTTCCCAGTATTACCTGAAGACTCAGATAATCAAAAAGATTATCTAAACCATTGGGACTGCATCCAATTAACTTTACTAGAGTACAGTGTCATAGAAAATGCCAGCCTAGAATTAGACCATACCCTAATATTTCACTAGGGCAGGTTTAGTAGATGTAAAAGTTATTTAATATGAAGGAAAACTATAGGACAAAGAAATAAGAAAATGTATTTTCATATTTTTTTGGTTGTGAATGTATTATAATATAAAATTTACTCTTAAATAATGTAGATTTCCAACACTACAATTATACTTAGCTACAGAAAAATCTTACCATTCAAAGCACAAATATTGATTGTGGAACTAAACTTGCTCTGAGCAGATATCATTTAAATGAGGTACCTCTAGTGGTTATCTCTGATACCCATGGTCAGAACAGTTGTATTTGAAAGAGATGTTTAATCCCCAAAGCTCTAAACAGTAAGACCAGAATCATAAGATTTACATTTTTTCTCAGTTGTTTTGGTGACCATGAGGGATGATTCAAATACTTCATTGTCTACGACAATTAGTTTTGTTATTGTCTCAGAGGTCACTATTTACACATTAAATTCTAGAGTAAGTATATACTATGAAAATTTTTGTGAGTTGGCTTATAATCATAGGTTTTAACAGCTTCCTTAAATTAAAATTACATATCAGTAATAATTGGTTTTAATAAAATACATAAGCACGAATTGGCTGCCTCATGATACATGTTCAAATGTGGATGACATTACTGATCAATAAAATAATTTTAACTATCTGCTTCTGTACGATAATCAATATATTTTACACTTGAGATATAGTATAGTGTAATGGTTAGATGGATAGATTGTGGAGCCAGACTTTCTGGGCTGAAATCCTGGTGGCTACAGTTACCAGATGTGTGAACTTGGGAAAATTACTTAACCTTCATTGCCTCCGATTTCTTATCTATAATAGGGGATATTATAATACATAATTTAAAGGGCGAATGTAAGGATTCAATAAGTTTAACATATGTAAATACTACAGTACTGGTTGGCACACAGCATCCAAATAAGTATTAACTGTTACAATTTCAATCAGTTCAGGGTGTCTGTGTGCTGCAGAAATATTTGGGGAAAGTTTATGCTGATATTTGATAAAACATCTGGAAAATACTCTCCTTATAAGCACTTCCTTTAGGATTTTATATATAATACACACATATATGAAATATATATACTATATACATAGTATATACATATGTATGTGTATGTATTCTTTATAAATGCTATAATAATGATGATAAAAAGAAACATAACATCTACTAATGGTACATTTTTGTCTATCAAGATTCTAAACATCTGAATACTTGAAACTGTTCACTTTGACTGGAGATCTCAGTTTCACTTATGTATTTTTCTCTTCCCCTTTAGTCAAATTTTCTACAGTTCTCCTTTTTCTTTTAAAAACCACTTTAAAGTTATAATTGAATTTCACAATTTCAATTCAACCATAGCAAATATTCAATTTTCATTTGAAAAACAAAAATGTATATAAATTGTCATGCCCACCCATGTTTCTGGTTTAAATACATTCCTACACAGTGACTTTTCTAGTCCCTTGCTCCTTATTCTGTGATTAAAATCCATGGGTTTGTTACTCTGGAGAAATTATAGAGAAATCCTTTGGATTTTTGAATTAATTTTTAAAAAGGTTTTCATTTGTTATCAAAAAATGGATATACCCAGCTTGTAAAGCAGATGCCCTTGCCTTAAACTTTAATATAAGACCTTTCCATACCCCTTTGAATAAATCAAGACATGTTTTCCTGTTTCCTTTTTATTTAACAATTTTTTCCCTTGCTTACTTTAGCCCTTAACTTATGGAAACCATTTAAAGTGAAGTTATTAGCAGTGCTTCCACAACTGGCCGCATATCAGAGTAACTGTATTGGCTGGCATATGTAGAAATTTTAGAAATACAGTGTCCTGAGATTCCTATGCCCTTGCCAAAGGCTCAATTCTTTTCTGTTTATACTGTGTCCCTAGATAGAATCTTAGAGTTTTAAGGATTTGAATCCCATCTACATATTGATGGCTTTCAAGTGTCTATTTCCAGTCTTCTACATTGAGCATGGAATAGGTAGTTCCAACTGCCTAATTTCATGCACAAAATTATGAGTCTAAACATAGCTAAAATAGATCTCTTGATTGCACTGAATCTGCTCTCATTCCAGTCTTCCTCATTGTAGTAAATGATATAAACATGTACCTATTTCTGGCCAGAAACCAGTAATTAAGGAGTTATCCTTAATTACTAGCCTGCCCTCATCTTGAAAATCTGAATGATTCCAAGCTCGACTTCTCTCCATTTCCAGAATGACTAACAAACTGGGCCACCCTATTTTTCCTGGATTACCCAATGGATTACTATCTTGTTTCTCTGCTTTAATTCATTCCCCTTTCAATCTATTCTCCATATGGCGGCCAAAAGCGTTCTTTAAAAAAACCACACGTTGGCTGGGCGCGGTGGCTCACGCCTGTAATCCCAGCACTTTGGGAGGCCGAGGCGGGCAGATCACCTGAGGTCAGGAGTTCGAGACCAGCCTGATAAACATGGAGAAACCCCGTCTAACAATACAAAATCAACAATACAACAATACAAAATTAGCCGGGTATGGTGGCGCATGCCTGGAATCCCAGCTACTCTGGAGGCTGAGACAGGAGAATCGCTTGAACCCGGGAGACAGAGGTTGCTGTGAGCCGAGATCGCACCATTGCACTCCAGCCTGGGCGACAGAGCGAGACTGTGTCTCGAAAAAACAAAAAACAAAACCCAAGAAAACCAAAACCACAAATCAAGTATTTCCATTTGCCAATTTGAAATCTTTTTAGACTTCCTATGCACTTAACTATAAAATTCAGACTCCTTACCAAGAACTACCAGATGCACCTTGCCTGGCTCCTTTTCATCCCTCCCTCCTTCTCCCATTCGTCTCATGCCTTTGTCATTCCAGGGTTGCAGGTGTTAAAGTGTCTTTGCATTGAATTTCATTGGCCTGGCAGATTCTGTCCCCAAATTGAACTCCTTGTTTGTAATCGTTTTTCAGATATAATCTATTCAACGAGATCTTCCTTGACTACTTAATCTAAATTAAAATCCCTCCTCCCCAGCTAATCTCTATCACATTTCCATGTGTTTTTCGTAGCACTTATCACTCTAAATTTTGTTTTTTTTAAATGTATCTCCCCACAATTAAAACCTAAGATCCAAACGAATATGGATCTGATCCCCCTTTTTTGCCACGTAACTGAATGAATCAATTCAACAAATTTGATTAGCAATAGAAATATAGCAAACAACTAAATAGACAAAACAGTAAAGTCCCTGACTTAATGGAGCTTACTTTTATTTGTGAAAACAAGCTCATCAGCCAAATTATATATAGTGTTTTATTTGTTCATTGCTTTTTTTTTCTTTCTTTTTTTATATAACATCCCACCAAATAGAAACATTCTCTCTTTAGGAATAGTGTTCCGTGTAGATGTTGATTTCTTACTATGCAATTTTACGGACATTGTCTTCCAATATTTCCGTAGACTAATTGGTCAGGACCTGATAGCCCTGTGATAATGCTGCACTCAGCATTCCTTGATGATGCTATATTAGCTTCCAGTGGCTGTTTGGTGCCTGGAAGGGAGTCTAGCATGTAACAGGGATCAATAATTGTTTGTTGACTATAAAGCAGTTAGAACAATATCTGATGTGTATATTAAATATCCCATTCAGTCAAGGTTATCTAGGGTGATATATTCAAGAAATATAATGCTAACTCATTTATGTGGTGATGGAGATCCGTGTTTAATGATATTGATCATCAAATAGCCTGGATAAAGAGTATGTTCCCAGAAGAAAGAGATTTCTGAGACTGCTTTTATGTTATCCTTTACATTTCTATTTTTTGACTCTTTTTTTTTTGGCTTTTGGCTTTTGGGTCTCACTCTGTCACCCAGGCTGAAGTATAGTGGTGTGATCATGGCTCATTTTGGCCTCAAACTCTTGGGCTCAAGCAATCCTCCCATTTCAGTCTTTCCAGTCACTGGGATTAATGGTGTGTGCCACAAAACTTGGCTCTGTTTGATTTTTTTTTTTTTGGTGGACCATATATTTTACCAAAATATCTGAAATATTGTAAATGATATTTTTTGAAATATCGGAAAATATTTTTGGTATATTTTGGGGAAAAATACAAAACCAAAACAATCTACCTATTTACCTTCTCGTGAACTTATGAAATCAAATATTTTAAGCCTTATTTTCCCCAAACCGTATATGATTCTCTCAATAGTTGCAGAAAAATCTTCTGATAAAATCCAACACCTCTTCATGTTAAAACCCTCAATAAACTAGGTATCCAAAGAACATACTTCAAAATAATAAAAGCCATTTATTTCAGTCCCACAGCCAACATCATACCAAATAGGTAAAAGCTGGAAGCATTCCCTTTAAGAACTGGAATAAGACAAGAATTCTGACACTACTCTTATTCAACGTAGTACTGAAAATCCTAGCCAAATAAATCAGGCAAGAGAGAGAAATAAAAAGCATCCAGATAGGAAAAGAGGAGTCAAATTATGCTATGATTCTATGACTAGAAAACCCCAAAGACTCTGCCAAAAGGCTTCTAGACCTGATAAAACAACTTAAGTCAAGTTTGAAGATACAAAATCAATGTAAAAAATCAATAGCATTTCTATACACCAATAATGTTCAAGCTGAGAGCCAAATCAAGAATGTAATTCCCTTTAAAATACACACACACACACACACACACACACACACACACACACACAAAATCTAGGAATACTTCTAACCAAGGAAGTGAAAGATTTCCACAAAAAGAACTACAAAGCACTGCTGAAAGAAATCATAGATGACACAAACAAATGGAAAAACCTTCCATGCTTATGGATTGGAAGAATCAACAACATAAACAAAATGTCTAAATTTTACCGCCTAAAGCAATCTACAGATTCAACACTATTCCTATTAAATTACCAACGTCATTTTACACAGAACTAGAAAAAATGATTCTAAAATTACACGGAACCAAAAAAGAGCCCAAATAGCCATAACAATCCTAAGCAAAAAGAGCAAAACTGGAAGCATCACATTACTGGACTTCAAACTATGCTACAAGTCTACAGTAATCAAAACAGCAAGGTACTGGCACAAAAATAGGCACCTAGACCAATGGAACAGAATAAAGAACCCAGAAATAAAGCAGCATACCTACAACCAACTGATCTTGAACAAAGTCGACAAAAATAAGTAATGCAGAAAGGACTCCCTATTCCATAAATGGTCCTAGGAAAACTGGCTAACTATATTCAGAAGGATGAAACTTAACCCTTACCAAGCACCATATACAAAAATTAATTCAAGAAAGATTAAAGACTTAAATGTAAAGCCCCAAACTATAAAAATCCTGGGGAAAAAACTCAGAAATACCCTTTTGGACATTGGCCTTGGCAAAGAACTTATGACCAAGTCCTCAAAAGCAATTGCAACACACAAAAAATTGACAAATGGGACTTAATTAAACCAAAGAGCTTCTGCACAGCAAAAGTACCTATCAACAGAATAAACAGACATCTTACAGAATGGGAGAAAATATTTGCAAACTATGCATCTGACAAAGGACTAATATCCAGAATCTATAAGGAACCTAAACAAATCAACAAGAGAAAAACAAATAACCCCATTAAAGAATGGGCAAAGAACATGAATGGACAATTCTCAAAAGAAGACATAAAAGCAGCTAACAAACATATAAAAAATGCTCGAACACTAATCATTAGAGAAATGCCACTCAAAACCACAATGAGATACCATCTTGCACTAGTCTGAATGGCTATTACTAAAAAGTAAAATAATGACAGATATTGATGAGGCTGCAGAGAAAATGGAACACTTTTATACTGCTGGTGGGAATGTAGATTAGTTCAGCCACTATGGAAAGTAGTTTGGGAATTTCTCAAAGAACTGAAAATAGAATTACCATTCAACCTAGCAATTCCATCACTGGGTATGTGCCTCCCACCCAAATAAATTGTTCTACCCAAAAGACACATGCATTCACATGTTCATTGCAGCACTATTCACAATTGCAAAGACATGGAATCAAGCTAGGTGCCCATTAATGGTGGATTGGATAAAGAAAATGTGGTACATATACAACATGGAATGCTACACAGCCATAAAAGAGAACGAAATAATGTCCTTTGAAGCAATATGGATGCAGCTGGAGGCCATTATCCTTAGCAAATTAATGCAGAAATAGAAAACCGAACACCACATCTTCTCACTTGATTTAAAATTTAAGGAGATAAATCCTGGGTACATACAGACATAAAGATGGAAACAGTAGACACTAGGGATTCCAAAAGGAAGGAGAGGAGGAGAGGAGCAAGGACTGAAAAATTTCCTATTGTATACTATATTCACTGTCTGGGTGACAGGATTAATATAAGCCCAAACCTCAGCATCACACAATATACCCTTGTAATAAACCTGCCCATGTATCCCCCTGAATCTAAACTAAAAATAGAAATTTAAAAAACCCCTTTTTCATAGTAATCATAAAATATACACTTATGCAATTTATGAAAATAATATAGTTTTACCTCTGTTCTTTTCACTGCAGCTTTGTGAAGGTATAATTAACAAGTAAAAATTGCATACACTTACTATGTGTATGATGTTTTGACATATGTATATATTGTGAAGTGATTACCACAAACCAGCTAATTAACCTATCCATCAGCTGACATATTTTTTCTTGTTTTGTGGTGAGAATATTTAAGATCTACTCTCTTAACAAATTTCAAATATTAAATACTGTATTGTTAACTATATTCACCATGCTGCATATTAAATCCCCAGAACTTGTTCGCCTTATAACTGAAAGCTTGTACCTTCTGACCAACATCTCCCTATTTTCCCCTCCCCCAGCTTTTGGAAACCACCATTCTAATTCTATTCTCTGTTTCTGTGAATTCAGCTTTTTAAGATTTCATGTATAAGTGAGTTCATATCGTATTTGTCTTTCTCTGATTCATGTATTTTACTAAGCATAATGCCAACAAGGTTGATCCATGTTGTTGCAAGTGGCAGAATTTCCTTCTTTTTGATGGATGCTTGGTTTGTTTCCAAGTGTTGGCTAATGTGAATGATGCTACATTGAACACAAGAGTGCATATATCTCTTTGACATACTATTTTCGTTTCCTTTGGGTATATACCCAGCAGTGGGATTGCTGGATAAGATGGTAGCTCTAGTTTTGATTTTTGAGGAACCTCCATACTGTTTTCTAAAATGGCTGTTCCAATTTACATTCCCACCAGTAGTGCATAAGGATTCCCTTTCTTTCTGAATCCTTGCCAATACTTGTTATCTCGTCTCGATAATAGCCATCCTAACATGTTGGCTGATCTCATTGGGGTTTTAATTTTCATTTCTCTCATGAATAGTGCTGTTGAGCATTATCATTATTTCACGTATCTGTTGGCCATATGTATGTCTTCTATTGAGAAATGTCAGCTCAGGTCCTTTGGCCGTTTAAAAATCAATTTATTGTATTATTTTTGCTATGGAGTTGTTTGAATTCCTTGTATTTTTTGGATATTAACTCCTTATCAGATTTGTGAGTTACGTAAGATAATGGTTCAATTTTATTATTTTGCATATAGATACTAAGTTTTCCCAGCACCATTTATTGAATCAAGTATCCTTTCTCCTGTATATTCTTGACACATTTGTCAAATATTAGTTAGTTGACCATATATGTGAGGATTTATTTTTGGGGACTTGATTCTGTTCCATTGGTTTGTGTGTCTGCTTTTATGCCAGTATCATACAGTTTTGATTCTTATGGTTCTGTAATATGGTTTCAAGTCAGGAAATGTGATGCCTCAGCTTTTCTGTTGTTGTTGTTCAAGTTGTTTTGGCTATTTATGTTTTTTTGTGGTTCCATACATATTTTAGAATTTTTCCTCCAATGCTGTGAAAAATATCATTAGAGTTTTGATAAGAATTGCATTGAATCTGTCAATTACTTTGGGTATTATGGACATTTTAGTAGTATTAATTCTTCTATTCCATGAGCATGAAATATTTTAAACATTTATTTGTATTTTCTTCAATTTATTTCATCAATATTTTATAGTTTTAAGTGTAAAGATTAATCACTTCCAGGGTTAAATTTATTTCTAAATATTTTATTCATTTTGATGATACTGTAAATGGCATTTGTTTTTCCAGATAATTCAGTGTTACTGTACAGAAACACAATTATTTTATGGCACATGTATACATATGTAACTAACCTGCACAATGTGCACATGTACCCTAAAACTTAAAGTATAATAAAAAAAAAAGAAACAATTATTTTTTCCATTGACAAATAAAAATTGTATTTCTTTACAGTATACAATCATGGTGTTTTGATATATGAATACATTGTGGAATGGCTAAGTTAAGCTATTTAACATATTTATTACCTCCTTTTTTGTGATGAGAATATTTAAAATATAATATTTTGGCAATTTTTAAGAATACAATATATTGTTATTAAGTATGGCCATCATGATGTACAATAGATCACTTGAATTTATTCCTCCTAACTGAAATTTTGTATCCTTTCACTAAGATCTGTCTGTATTCCCCACCCCCCAGCCTCTGGTAAGCACCATCTTACTCCGTTTCTGTCAGTTTAACTGTTTTAGATTCCATTTGTTTCTCTGTGTCTCACTTATTTCACTTAATGTCCTCCAGGAAATACATGTTATAATTAATGGCAAGCTTTCTTTCTTTTTTAAAATTACTGAATAGTATTCTATAGTGTATATAAACCACATCTTCTTTATCCATTTTTTGTTGATGGACACTTAGGTTGATTTTTGCTATTGTGTATATTTTTGCTATTGTGTATATTTTTGCTATTGTGTATAATGCTGCAATGAACATGGGAGTGAGATATCTTTTCAAATAAGGCTTTCTTTGGGTATATATCCAGAACTGGGATTCCTGGATCATATGATATTTCTATTTTTAATTTTTTGAGGAACCCCCTTACTATTTTCCATAAAGGCTATACTAATTTATATTTCCACCAATAGAGTGCAAGGGTTTTCTTTCTCTGCATCCTCTCCAACATTATCTTTTATTTTTTTTGATAATAGCCATTCTAACATGTGTGAGGTGATCTCACTGTGGTTTTAATTTGCATTTTTCTAATGATTGGTGATGTTGAGCATTTTTTATATACCTGGCCATGTCTTTGAGAAATGTCTATTCAATCATTTGTCCAATTTTTCATTGGGCTGTTAGTTTTCTTACTACTGAGTTGTTTGAGTTCCTTATTTATTTTGCATATTAAACACATCAGATGTATGGTTTGCAAATATTTTCTACTAATATTTCTTTGGGTTGTCTATTCACTCTGTTGATTGTTTCCTTTTCTGTGCAGAAGCTTTTTAGTTTGATGTAATTCTATTTGTCTATCTTTATTTTTGTTGCGTGTGCTTTGAGGATCACCTAAAAAAACCATTGCTCAGGCCAATGTCATGGAGGTTTTCCCCTATGTTTTCTTCTTGTAGTTTTAAAGTTTATGGCATTATGTCTAACCTTTTAGTTAATTTTGAGTTGAGTTTCGTAGGTGGTGTGAGATGAGGGTCTAATTTCATTCTTCTGCAGGTGGACATCCAGTTTTCCAAACACCATTCATTAAAGAGACTGTTCTTTTCTCATTATGTGTTTTTGGCACTTTTGTTGAAAATCAGTTGGCTGTAAATACTTGGATTTATTTCTAGGTTCCTTATTCTATTGTATTGGTCTATGTGTCTCTTTTTATGCCAGTACCATACTGTTTTTATTACCATAGCTTTGTAGTATATTTTCAAATTAAGTACTATAATGCCTTCAGCTTTGTTCTTCTTGCTCAAGATTGCTTTGTCTGTTTAGAGTCTTTTGTGATTCCACATAAATTTTAAGATTGTTTCTCTATTTCTACGAAAAATGTCATTGGAATTTTGATAAGAACTGTATTGAATTTATTGATTATTTTGGGTAGTATGAACATTTTAGCAGTTTTAGTTCTTCCAATCCATGAACAAGGAATTTTTTCATTTATCGTCTTCAATTTCTTTTACCAATGCCTTACAGATTTCACTATACATATCTTTCACCTCTTTGGTTTAATTTATGCCTGAGCATTTTCATGTTTTGAAAATAGGATTGTTTTATTGATTCTTTTAAAAATAGTTTGTTGTTAGTGTAACACTACTTTTTTAAAAAAATATAAATTAAGTTCTAGGATACACGTGCAGAACATGCAGGTTTGTTACACAGGTATAAATGTGCCTTGGTGGTTTGTTGCACTGATCAACCCATCATCTACATTAGGTGTCTCTCCTAATGCTAGCCCTCTCCTAGCCTCCCACCCACTGACAAGCCCCAGTGTGTGATGTTCTCCTCCCTGTGTCCATGTGTTCTCATTATTCAACTCCAACTTATAAGTGAGAACATGCGGTGTTTGATTTTCCGTTCCTGCGTTAGTTTGCTGAGAATGATGGTTTCCAGCTTCATCCATGTCCCTGCAAAGGACATGAACTCATCATTTTTTATGGGTGCATAGTATTCCATGGTGCTTATGTACCACATTTTCTTTATCCAGTTTATCATTGTTGGGCATTTGGGTTGGTTCCAAGTCTTTGCTATTGTGAACAGTGCTGCAATAGACAAACGTGTGCATGTGTCTTTATAGTAGCATGATTTATAATCCTTTGGGTATATACCCAGTAATGGGATAGCATGATTTATAATCCTTTAGGTATATACCCAGTAATGGGATTGCTGGGTCAAATGGTATTTCTGGTTCTAGATCCTTGAGGAATCGCCACACTGTCTTCTACAATGGTTGAACTAATTTACACTCCCACCAACATCGTAAAAGTGTTCCTATTTCTCCACATCTTCTCCAGCATCTGTTGTTTCCTGACTTTTTAATGATCACCATTCTAACTGGTGTGAGATGGTATCTCATTATGGTTTTGATTTGCATTTCTCTAATGACCAGTGATAATGAACTTTTTTTCATATGTTTGTTGGGCACATAAATGTCTTCTTTTGAGAAGTGTCTGTTTATATCCTTTGCCCACTTTTTGATAGGGTTGTTTGATTTTTTTCTTGTAAATTTAAGATACTTGTAGATTCTGGATATTAGCCCTTTGTCAGATGGATAGATTGCAAAAATTTTCTCCCATTCTTTAGGTTGCTTGTTCATTCTGATGATAGTTTCTTTTGCTATGCAGATGTTCTTTAGTTTAATTAGATCCCATTTGTTGATTTTGGCTTTTGTTGCCTTTGCTTTTGGTGTTTTACACATGAAGTCTTTGCCCATGCCTATGTCCTGAATGGTATTTCCCAGTTTTCTTGTAGGATTTTTATGGTTTTAGGTCTTACATTTAAGTCTTTAATCCATCTTGAGATAATTTTTGTATAAGGCGTAAGGAAGGGTCCAGTTTCTGTTTTCTGCATATGGCTAGCCAGTTTTCCCAACACCATTTATTGAATAGGGAATCCTTTCCCCATTGCTTGTTTTTGTGAGGTTTGTCAAAATCAGATGGTTGCAGATGTGTGGTGTTATTTCTGAGGCCTCTCTTCTGTTCCATTGCTCTATATATTTGTTTTGGTACCAGTACCATGCTGTTTTGGTTACTGTAGCCTTGTAGTATAGTTTGAAGTCAGATAGCGTGATGCCTCCAGCTTTGTTCTTTTTGCTTAGAATTGTGTTGGCTATACAGGCTCTTTTTTGGTGCCATGTGAAATTTAAAGTAGTTTTTCTAATTCTGCGAAGAAAGTTAATGGTAGCTTGATTGGGATAGCATTGAATCTATAAATTCCTTTGGGCAGTATGGCCATTTTCACGATATTGATTCTTCCTATCCATGAACATGGAATGTTTTTCCATTTGTTTGTGTCTTCTCTCATTTCCTTGAGCAGTGGTTTGTAGTTCTCCTTGAAGAGGTCCTTCACATCCCTTGTAAATTGTACTCCTAGGTATTTTATTCTCTTTGTAGCAATTGTGAATGAGAGTTCACTCATGATTTGGCTATTTGTTTGTCTATTACTGGTGTATAAGAATGCTTGTGATTTTTGCATGTTGATTTTGTATCCTGAGAGTTTGCTGAAGTTGCTTATCAGCTTAAGGAGATTTTGGGCTGAGACGATGGGGTTTTCTAAATATGTAATCATGTCACCTGCAAACAGAGACAATTTGACATCCTTTCTTCCTATCTGAATACCCCTTATTTCTTTCTCTTGCTTGATTGTCCTGGCCAGAACTTCCAATACTATGTTGAGTAGGCGTGGTGAGAAAGGGCATCTTTGTCTTGTGCTGGTTTTCCAAGAAAATGCTTCCAGCTCTTGCCTATTCAGAATGATACTGGCTGTGGGTTTGTCATAAACAGCTCTTATTATTTTGAAATATGTTCCATCAATACCTAGTTTATTGAGTGTTTGTAGCATGAAGGGGTGTTCAATTTTATTGAAGGCCTTTTCTGCATTTATTGAGATAATCATGTGGTTTTTGTCGTTGGTTCTGTTTATCTGATGGATTACGTTTATTGATTTGTGTATGTTGAACCAGCCTTACATCCCAGGGATGAAGCTGACTAGCTCATGGTGAATAAGCTTTTTGATGTGCTGTTGAATTGTTTGCTAGTATTTTATTGAAGATTTTCACATCAATGTCCATCAGGGATATTGGCCTGAAATTTTCTTTTTTGTTGTTGTTGTGTCTCTGCCCTGTTTTGGTATCAAGATGATGCTGACTTCATAAAATGAGTTAGGGAGGAGTCCCTCTTTTTCTATAGTTTGGAATAGTTTCAGAAGGAATGATACCAGGTCATCTTAGTACCTCTGGTAGAATTTGGCTGTGAATCTGTGTGGTCCTGGAATTTTTTTGGTTGGTAAGCTGCTAATTATTGCCTCAATTTCAGAGCCTGTTATTGGTCTATTCAGAGATTCAACTTCTTCCTGGTTTAGTCTTGGGAGGGTGTATGTGTCCAGAAGTTTATCAATTTCTTCTAGATTTTCTGGTTTATTTGCGTAGTGGTGTTTATAATATTCTCTGATGGTAGTTTGTATTTCTGTGAGATCAGTGGTGATATCTCTTTATCGTTTTTTGTTGTGTCTGATTCTTCTCTCTTTTCTCCCTTTTCATAAAGCATTTCATGGATTCATTGACTTTTTGAAGGGTTTTTTGTGTCTGTATCTCCTTCAATTTTGCTCTGATTTTAGTTATTTCTTGTCTTCTGCTAGCTTTTGAATTTGTTTGCTCTTGCTTCTCTAGTTCTTCTAATTGTGATGTTAAGGTGTCAGTTTTAGATCTTTTCCTCTTTCTGATGTTGGCATTCAGTGCTATAAATTTTCCTCTAAACACTGCTCTAGCTGTGTCCCAGAGATTCTAGTACATTGTGTCTTTGTTCTCATTGGTTTCAAAGAACTTCTTTATTTCTGCCTTAATTTTGTTATTTACCCAGTAGTCATTCAGGAGCAGGTTGTTCAGTTTCCATGTAGTTGTGTAGTTTTGAGTGAGTTTCTTAATCTTGAGTTCTAATTTGATTGCACTGTGGTCTGAGAGACTGTTTTGTATGATTTCTCTTTTGCATTTGCTGAGGAGTGTCTTACTCCCAATTATGTGGCCAATTTTAGATTAAGTGTAATGTGGTTCTGAGAAGAATGCATATTCTGCTGATTAGGGGTGAAGAGTTCTGTAGATGTCTATTAGGTCTGCTTGGTCCAGAGCTGAGTTCAAGTTCTGAATATCCTTATTAATTTTCTGTCTCACTGATCTGTCTAATATTGACAGTGGGGTGTTAAAGTCTCCCACTATTATTGTGCAGGAGTCTGAGTCTCTTTGTAGGTCTCTAAGAACTTGCTTTATGAAACTGGGTGCACTTGTATTGGGTGCGTATATATTTAGGATAGTTAGCTCTTCTCGTTGCACTGATCCCTTTACCGTTATGTAATTCCCTTCTTTGTCTTTTTTGATTTAAAGTCTGTTTTATCAGAGACTAGGATTGCTACTGCTGCTTTTTTTTTTTTTTGGCTTTCCATTTGCTTGGTAAATATTCCTCCATCCCTTTATTTTGAGCCTGTGTGTGTCTTTGCACATGAGATGGGTCTCCTGAATACAGCACACTGATGGGTCTTGACTCTTTATCCAATTTATCAGTATGTGTCTTTTAATTGGAGCATTTAGCCCATTTATATTTAAGGTTAATATTGTTATGTGTGAATTTGATCATGTCATTATGATGCTAGCTGGTTATTTTGCCTGTTAGTTGATGCAGTTTCTTCATAATGTCAATAGTCTTTACAATACTGCAAAAACAGTACTGATTTTTTTATGTTGATTTATATCCTGAACTAGTTCATTAGTTTTAACAGTTTTTGGTGTAATATTTGGGGTTTCTATATATAACAATAGGTAATCAGTATACAAAGACCATTTCTTTCCTTCCTCCCTCCCTCCCTTTCTCTCTCTCTTTCTTTCTCTCTCTCTTTTGTTCATTCCGATTTGTATGCTTTTAATTTCTTTCTCTTGCCTAATTGCCATGGCTATAACTTCCAGTACTAGGTTGAATAGAAGTGGTGAGAGTGGGCATCTTTGCTTTGTTTCTGATCTGAGAGGGAAAACTTTCAAATTGATGGTCTCAGCTGTGGGGTTGTCATACATGGTCTTTATTGTGTTGTCATACATTCCTTATAACCAATTTGTTGAGACATTTCTTATGAAGAAATGTTGAATGTTTTTCAAATTCTTTTCCAATCTCAAAGTACCAGAATTCTTCCTGAGGTGTTTTTTTTTTTTTTTTTGGCAGGGTCTTGCTCTGTCACCCAGACTAGAGTGCAGTGGTGTGATCATGGCTCACTGCAGACTTGACCTTCTGGTCTCCGGGAATCCTGCCTCAGCCCCCTGAATAGCTGGAACTATGGAACTATGAGCATGCACCACCACACTTGGCTAATTTTTAAATTTCTGTAGGATAGGTGTCTCACTACATAGCCCAAGTTGGTCTTGAACTTCTGGGCTGAAGCAATTCTCCTGCCTTGGCTTCCCAAAGTGCTGGGATTAGAGGTATAAGCCACCATGCCTGGTCCTTTCATGAGTTTTTATGCTTGCAATTCAGATTAATAAGTGAATGACAGTGAGAATTCAATTCTCCAATGCCTACTCTCATAATCTAAAGAAAGCAAGGCAGAAGTGTTTTCCTGAAAGGAAGAATCTTTGTTTTTAGTTTTTTAAAGATTAGGTTTACTGGATGTCAGAAAAATATGTTTACATTAAGGCAACATTGAGTATTGATGATGGTATGTAAGTTCTTAGCTGTCAAGCCTCTTAAACAGTGTTCTCTGAATTTTACATATGTGAAAAGACATTAATCCTCTTAGACTTTGGGGTTGTTGTGTGAGGCCTAGGAGGAGCACACTAGCAGTGGCCAGTCTTCTTTAATCAAGAACAGCCTTATACATTCCATGTTATGTGTGCTATGATGTGAAAATATTTGGAAAACTCTCTCTTCCCCCATTGCTGCCAGACTTATGGTCTTTCTTTGTTCCCAGGTGGCTGATTTAGGTTCCAGGCAGAATGGAATTGGGTGCCCTGGAAGCCTGAGGTAGATTTGGTACTATGGAGGGTGCACTTGCTGATATGAAGTTTTATTTTATACAAATCCTGGAGAAGCTAAGTGAGGCCATGTCAGTGTTGCCAGAAGACATGAGAATCATGCCAGATCTCTGTGGCTTAACATTGGAACATAGTGGTAAGTGCAGCTATATTTGTGTTTCTTAATAGTTGAAAGCCAGGTTTATATAAATAGGAAGAAAGAGTTTGCCATAGAATTTATGCTTTAGTTGGAGAAAAATGTAAAGTTGTTGATAAATTAGGCTGATTAAAAAATAATGTGAACACTTAAATTACCTTTAATGGAGTGCAGCCTTGAGAAGAAGATACCACGTGGTCCAAGTCTATATCAAATTTGAGTTTAAAATAGATACTTTCAGAAAAGAATCAAAAGGAAGAAAGTCTTAATGTTCACATTGAGTTAAGGTGATGGCTAGCTTTGGAACTGGAGTTCAGCCAGTAGAAGATGTGTTCAGGTCCTTTTAATCCCAAAAGGTGGATGCGAAATAACCATAAATATATGTCAGAAGAGTAAAAAAAGCCAGCAAGTTAAGATAGCAACAAAATATGGCTAAAATGAGCATTGCAATGTCCAGGAAAGCATAAACTACACGCAAAAAAGCTCAAGAATGGGATGACCAACTGAGCAAACAGTGAACTGAAAAGATATGTAAATTATTGTAACAAGTGCTAAATTATAAGTAAGGTCAGAGCAAATATTGAAACACTTGATGAATATTTTCTACTGCACTTGGAGAAGTTAAATTGATGTCAGGGACTCAGGGACTTAGAATTGGGGAGAATGAAGCAATCAGAAAGTAAGTACCAGTCAATCATCAGTCAAAAGGGGCTTTGAGGAAATTGATTTATGCTTCTGTAAAGACTTTTGATGGAGGAAGAAACAAAATATAAATTAAATTATTTGAACACATTATTAAAGGCTTTATTTGTTTTTAACTGATATACGTAATTGTTTAAGATGATGTAAAAATTTTCCAAGTTCGTTTACAATTTAAAGAGTTTGTATTGTTTAGAAGTCTGTAAAGGATGTGAGAGAAACACTGGGTAATTCTTCTTCATGTATTTTTATTTTCTTTTTTATGTAAACAACATAAATTTATTGCTTACAGTTCTGGAGGCTGGGAAGTTCAAGATCAAGGTACCAGCAAATTTCATTACCTGGTAAGCATTCATTTCTTATGGATGGTGCCTTCTGTGTGTCCGGTGTAAAGGGCAAAACAGGCTCCCTTTCCTCAAGCCTCTTGTCATTAAAGCCTGTAAAAATTACAGTAAAAGTATTCAGAATGGGTTAAGCAATTTGACCGTCAGGAAATTCAATTGAAAAGTGAGGTTCAAAACCTTCCTCAGAAAGTTAAAGTTCTAAATTGTATTGAGAAAATACAATAAAGATTCACAGAATATTTATATTAGAATGAATTAATTAAATACAGAACATTTTAAAGGCAACTAAAAAGATCAGCCATGCTCATTAAGTAACAGATACCTACAGAAAATGTCTGTCTTTGTCTTGCATTTAAAAATTGATATATCATAGTTATACATAGGCCAAACTTCTTTTTTTATTTATTATACTTTAAGTTTTAGAGTACATGTGCACAACGTGCAGGTCTGTTACATATGTATACATGTGCCATGTTGGTGTGCTGCACCCAGTAACTCGTCATTTAACATTAGATATAACTCCTAACGCTATCCCTCCCCCCTCCCCCCACCCCACAACAGGCCCTGGCACGTGATGTTCCCCTTCCTGTGACCATGTGTTCTCATTGTTCAATTCCCACCTATGAGTGAGAACATGCGGTGTTTGGTTTTTTGTCCTTGTGATAGTTTGCTGAGAATGATGGTTTCCAGCTTCATCCATGTCCCTACAAAGGAAATGAACTCATCATTTTTTATGGCTGCATAGTATTCCATGGTGTATATGTGCCATATTTTCTTAATCCAGTCTATCATTGTTGGACATTTGGGTTGGTTCCAAGTCTTTGCTATTGTGAATAGTACTGCAATAAACATGCATGTGCATGTGTCTTTACAGCAGCATGATTTATAATCCTTTGGGTATATACTCAGTAATGGGATAGCTGGGTCAAATGGTATTTCTAGTTCTAGATGCCTGAGGAATCGCCACACCAACTTCCACAATGGTTGAACTAGTTTACAGTCCCACCAACAGTGTAAAAGTGTTCCTATTTCTCCACATCCTCTCCAGCACCTGTTGTTTCCTGACTTTTTTTTTTTTTTTTTTTTTTTTTTTTTTTGAGACGGAGTCTCGCTCTGTCGCCCAGGCTGGAGTGCAGTGGCGCGATCTCGGCTCACTGCAAGCTCCGCCTCCCGGGTTCATGCCATTCTCCTGCCTCAGCCTCCCGAGTAGCTGGGACTACAGGCGCCCGCTACCACGCCCGGCTAATTTTTTGTATTTTTAGTAGAGACGGGGTCTCGATCTCCTGACCTCGTGATCCGCCCGCCTCGGCCTCCCAAAGTGCTGGGATTACAGGCGTGAGCCACCGCGCCCGGCCTGTTTCCTGACTTTTTAATGATCGTCATTCTAACTGGTGTGAAATGGTATCTCACTGTGGTTTTGATTTGCGTTTCTCTGATGGCCAGTGATGATGAGCATTTTTTCATGTGTCTTTTGGCTGCATAAATGTCTTGTTTTGAGAAGTGTCTGTTCATGTCCTTCACCCACTTTTTGATGGGGTTGTTTGTTTTTTTCTTGTAAATTTGTTTGAGTTCATTTTAGATTCTGGATATTAGCCCTTTGTCAGATGAGTAGGTTGCAAAAATTTTCTCCCATTCTGTAGGTTGCCTATTGACTCTGATGGTAGTTTCTTTTGCTGTGCAGAAGCTCTTTAGTTTAATTAGATCCCATTTGTCAATTTTGGCTTTTGTTGCCATTGCTTTTGGTGTTTTAGACATGAAGTCCTTGCCCATGCCTATGTCCTGAATGGTATTGCCTAGGTTTTGTTCTAGGGTTTTTCTGGTTTTAGGTCTAACATTGAAGTCTTTAATCCATCTTGAATTAATTTTTGTATAAGGTGTAAGGAAGGGATCCAGTTTCAGCTTTCTCCATATGGCTAGCCAGTTTTCCCAGCACCATTTATTAAATAGGGAATCCTTTCCCCATTGCTTATTTTTGTCAGATTTGTCAAAGATTAGATAGCTGTAGATATGTGGCGTTATTTCTGAGGGCTCTGTTCTGTTCCATTGGTCTATATCTCTGTTTTGGTACCAGTACCATGCTGTTTTGGTTACTGTAGCCTTGTAGTATAGTTTGAAGTCAGGTAGTGTGATGCCTCCAGCTTTGTTCTTTTGGCTTAGGATTGACTTGGCAATGTGGGCTCTTTTTTGGTTCCATATGAACTTTAAAGTACTTTTTTCCAATTCTGTGAAGAAAGTCATTGGTAGCTTGATGGGGATGGCGCTGAATCTATAAATTACCTTTGGCAGTATGGCCATTTTCACAATATTGATTCTCCCTACACATGAGCATGGAATGTTCTTCCATTTGTATCCTCTTTTATTTCATTGAGCAGTGGTCTGTAGTTCTCCTTGAAGAGGTCCTTCACATCCCTTGTAAGTTGGATTCCTAGGTATTTTATTCTCTTTGAAGCAATTGTGAATGGGAGTTCACTCATGATTTGGCTCTCTGTTTGTCTGTTATTGGTGTATAAGAATACTTGTGATTTTTGCACATTGATTTTGTATCCTGAGACTTTGCTGAAGTTGCTTATCAGCTTAAGGAGATTTTGGGCTGAGACGATGGGGTTTTCTAGATATACAATCATGTCATCTGCAAGCAGGGGCACTTTGACTTCCTCTTTTTCTAATTGAATACCCTTTATTTCTTTCTCCTGCCTGATTGCCCTGGCCAGAACTTCCAACACTATGTTGAATAGGAGTGGTGAGAGAGGGCATCCCTGTCTTGTGTACATAGGCCAAAATTCTTAAAGAAAAATTGGAAAAAATTACTTGTTCCTATCAAAGACTCACTATTTCCCATATTTAAAAAGCTTATAGTTATTGACTTATAGTTCAGTTGAACCTCAATGAGGTTCAATGAGTTAGGAAAATCCATATGAAAGACCAGAGATCAGCTAATTTTCCCCACAAGAGCCAGATGGAAAATAGTTCAGGTTTTGCAGGCCAGGAAGCAAAATTTAAATATTATGAAATAATTAAATATTAAATATTATGAAAATAAGTAAATAAAATTTAAATATTATGAAACTATAAATATTAAATATTAGGCAACAAGACAGAAAAATTCCCACATAATGTTCTATTGGCTAAAAAAAAAAAACCCTGACAATAGTGAATGCTAGAAAAAAAATGCAGAACAAGGGGAACTCTTATTTATTACTGATGAGAATGCAAAATGTTAAAATCACTTTGAGGAACCACTTGGCAGTTTCTTATAAAGCTTAAAATAAACTCAACATATGACCCAACCCCATCATTCTTCATAGAACTAGAAAAAACAATCCTAAAATTCATGTGGAACCAAAAAAGAGCCCACATAGCCAAAGCAAGACTAAGCAAAAAGAACAAATCTGGAGGCATCACATTACCTGATTTGAAACTATACTATAAGGCCATAGTCACCAAAACAGCATGGTATGGGTATAAAAGTAGGCACATAGACCCATGGAACAGAAGAGAGAACCAAGAAATAAAACCAAATACTTATAACCAACTGATCTTTGACAAAGCAAACAGAAACATAAAGTGGGGAGAGGACATGCTATTCAACAGATGTTGCTGGGATAATTGGCAAGCCATATGTAGGATAATGAACCAGGATCCTCATCTCTCACCTTATACAAAAATCAACTCAAGATGGATCAAAGCTGAGTGCGGTGGCTCACGCCTGTAATCCCAGCACTTTGGGAAGCCGAGGCAGGTGGATCACGAGGTCAGGAGATCAAGACCATTCTGGCTAACATGGTGAAACCCCGTCTCTACTAAAAATACAAAAAATTAGCTGGGCATGGCAGCGGGCGCCTGTAGTCCCAGCTACTCGGGAGGCTGAGGCAGGAGAATGGCGTGAACCCAGGCAGCAGAGCTTGCAGTGAGCTGGTATTGAGCCACTGCACTCTAGCCTGGGGGACAGAGCAAGACTCTGTCTAAAAAAAAAAAAAAAAAGATGGATCAAAGACTTAAATCTAAGACCTAAGACCTGAAACTATAAAAATTCTAGAAGATAACATTGAAAAAAACCTTCTAGACATTGGCTCAGGCAAAGATTTCTGACCAAGAACCCAAAAGCAAATGCAACAAAATCCAAGATAAATAGGTGGGGTTTAATGAAACTAAAGAGCTTTGGCACAGCAAAAGAACAGTCAGCAGAGTAGATTACTCACAAAGTGGGAGAAAATTTTTCACAATCTATACAATCTGTACATCTGACAAAGGACTAATAATCCAGTATTTACAAGGAACTCAGACAAATTAGCAAGAAAAAATCAAACAATCCCATCAATAAGTGGGCTAAGGACATGAATAGACAATTCTCAAAAGAAGATATACAAATGGCCAGCAAACATATGAATAAATGCTCAACATCACTAATGATCAGAGAAATGCAAATCAAAACTGCCATGAGATACCAACCTTACTCCTGCAAGAATGACCATTATAAAAAATTTTTAAAAAATATATATTGGCATGGATGTGGTGAAAGGGAACACTTCTACACTGCCGATGGGAATGTAAACTAGTACAACCACTATGGAAAACAGTGTTGAGATTCCTTAAAGAACTAAAAGTGGAACTACCATTTGATCCAGCAATCCCCTTACTGGGTATCTACTCAGAGGAAAAGAAGTCATTATACGAAAAATATACTTGCACATGCATGTTTATAGCAGCACAATTTGCAATTGCAAAAATGTGGAACCAGTCCAAATGCCCATCAATCAACGAATAGATAAAGAAACTGTGGTATATATATATATATATATATATACACACAATGGAATACTACTCAGCCATAAAAAGGAATGAATTAATGGCATTCACAACAACCTAGATGGGATTGGAGACTATTATTCTAAATGAAGTAACTCAGGAATGGAAAACCAAATATTGTATGTTCTTGCTCATAAGAGGGAGCGAAGCAATGAGGATGCAAAGGCATAAGAATGATACAATGGACTTTGGGGACTGGGTGGGGGAAAGGGTAGGAGGGGAGGGAGGGATAAAAGACTACAAATTGAGTTCAGTGTATACTGCTCAGGTGGTGGGTGCACCAAAATCTCACAAATCACCACTAAAGAACTTATGTAACCAAATACCACCTGTTACCTAAAAACCTATGGAGATAAAAAATTTAAAAAAACATTCAGCTACAAACCTCTTTTGCTACACTCATTGTTTAGTATATGACACATTTTTGCATGATTCTGTTATATAGGTTTTAATAGTAGGTAATTAGGACAGTGGGTAATACTTATCATTCATTCATTTATTTAAAAAATACTTATTTAGAGCCCATTCTCTCAATACAGGTCAGTACTATGAAGGAGAGGTACACAGTGAAATCAGGCCTAGTCCTTACAGACATGTTGGTATGCCAGGGAGTCAACTTTCCTCCAAAAGAGTGATGTTTCCTTGTCTCCAACAATGGCAAAACTATAATATATAATATTTCTTTATCAGCGGTTTGCACATTGTGTGTTAATAGATTTTGTTCTTGTCATTCAGAAGAGCACAGTGGAAATACATGAAGGATGGGCAGATGTGTGAAGGCCTCAAATGAATGTATGTAGTTGTTAGAAAAACAAATGTTTTTCTTAAACACAAGTTGAAAGACAGGGGAGCAGAGGAAGTATAAGAAAAATTATGGATTTATAATGAGGAGAGTTGATGTTATGGATAAAGTCAACAGAACACTGCCTTCTTACATCATTATCCAACTTTCTACTTTGTCACCTCTATCTCAAAATTGACGGTCTGATAGCTAGTTTATTTTATATTTGCCCCAGGTTGTGCTCTACCTTCTTTTTCCATTTTCCTTCTGCTGAATATTCTGATTTTAAATGATGAGACGATTTAATCCTTCGGTTACCTACCAAATACATCTAATTTTCTCATTCTAGGTAGGTTGTCTTCCCATTGAAGGGTGAGTGGCTCTCAATATTAAGAGACAACATAGAAATTTCTGAAGATTTTAACTTCTCCATCTGATAACCTAGAAATAATTACTTCAGTCAAATACCTCAGAAGGAAGAAATCCCATTAAGATCGATAGGAAAGAGTCAGATATTATTTTTGAATTATTTTATTTGTAAAGGATCAGTGAATTTGTGGTTGAGAGGGTCAGTTATGGAATATGAGATATTAACCTATTTGATCTTGCTGGCAATCCATAAAAAGTTAATTTGCAAATAAAAGATTAGCCTTTAAATCACATTCATAATAACAAGAAGGTAAACTGCAGTCTATATTACTCATATATATTTTTCAAAGTAACACATAAAATGATAGGACTTGATTTTTGCTCTGAGTAAATGAGTCAGTCTATTAACATTTATTTATTGCCCACTTTTTAGATGCCTATGGATATTTCTAGATAAATACAAAGGAATATAAGGACATAGTTCTCACTACCATGCAAATTGCAGACAATCTGAGGATTAGGATTCACACTTGAAATGATATCCAACAAACCCCATTGTGTGGTACAAAAGCATATATGTAGACAGGGTGGGTAGTAAAGAATGCTAACAATTTTGGAGGAGGTTAAATCAACATGTAATTTTAGAACAGGAGATCTTCTGACCTGTATATGAAGAATGTGGAGTATAAAAATAATTACTTTTGTTCTCTTCCTGGTGATACAAAAAGACAAGAAGCCTCCTCATTGCCCCTTTTATGTCCCTGTTGCTCAAAGTGTAGATAAAAGGGTTAAGCATAGGAGTCACCAAACTGTAGAACAGGGACATGAATTTGTTTTTGTCCTGGGAGTTGGCAGAGGGCTGTACATACATGCTAATTACAGGCCCATAGAGGAGAGATACAATATGAGAACCACATGTGTTGAAGACCTCCTTCTTTCCCCCTGAGGACTGAATCCTCAGCACAGTAGCTACAATGAATCCACAGTAAGCAAAGATAATTGATTAGAGAACGAGGGACTAAAATATCCTCACAATGGAGAGCATAGATACATTGAATGTGGTGTCAAAACGTGATATCTTGATCATCGCTGAGACCTCACACAGAAAGTCGTCCACCTTGTTACCGCCTAGTGGCAGCTGGACGGCAAGGGATGACTGAAGTAGAGTTGGCCAAACTGCTTAGCCATGCCATGGCCACTAGGAGGACACAGAGTTGCTGATGCATGATAGCTGGGTACCTCAAGTGTTTGCAGATGGCAATGTAAGGATCCAAAGACGTCACAGCTAAAATGATGCATTTGGTGCTCCCCTAAAATATCCCCTGGGTACCACAATAATTGAGATGTTGTCCACCAGTATGCAGAGATAAGCAACAAGCCCCATTATGAAGAGAAACATTTCCGGCTAGGGGTGGTCAAAGAAACCCCAGAGAATGAAGATCTTTCGAGCAATTGCATTGCCCAGATTCCTGTCATTGCTCTTGTTGGTGGATTTGAGGGAAAGGAAAGGCTACTTTAGTATTGAATTTTTCTGATACTCCACTTATTCAGTTAAGTAAAATAAACTGAGTTATGAAGGGGTTTTCTCTGTGATGTAACTAAACTGATGTGATTTGACACTTGTAAGCATGAAAAATTTTATCTAAAGGCCAAAATGTTACCTTTCTAGTGCCTCTAAAAGGAAGATCAACAAATCTCTGTATCTTACCCAAGAAATGCAATATAGCAAACTTTTACAGAATAATGATTAAGTAATGGGAAACATAATTAATCTTATATTAGAAAAATGAATCAGATGGAGAAATGAATAATTTTAAAGAATGCCCAAGAACTACCCATGCTAACTAACACGTGTTAATTTCTTTCATCCAAAATCTGTTGGCCCTGGTCATGTTCTGGTTCAATTTGTGAGTTGATGTAGGTGAGTTCAGAACTCACTGAGCTCCACGTGGATCAGTCTGATTTGCATAGAAACAACATAGTGCTATTCCTTACCTCTTCTTCCCAAATCCTGGAATGACGATCGCCAACATAAAACTTTTGTCATAAAAGGAAGCACACAGCTGAAAGGAAATGGTTCCTTGCAACACGTTCAGTACTTACAAGACAAGATAATTCATTGCACAGCCAAGTGATATAAGGTCATTAAAGTATCAGCAGTTATACAGTATGATGTATGTTAGTGCTTTTCACACTGTGAGTTGTAATCTATTACGCAGTTATATACTATTTTATTGATTTATTTTACTTATTCTCATCACTCATTTTATATATGTGTTTGTATGACCTGGATTCTGATGTACAATATATTCCTTACTATAGGTAATGGTAAAAAATTTGGACAATACTGGCATAGTAGAAAAGAAACAAGAATGATATTAGAAAATCTAGATTTAGTCCACTTCCCAATTACTAATACATGTACATTTTAGGTCTTGCTTAAATATTCAGAAACTTCTTTATCTATCTTGCTCCGTTGTGGAGATTAATTAGCACCATATGTGTGAACACGCTTTATTAAGTCCAATACTCAATGTTGGGTTGGTTATTTTTCATGAAATAAAGTTCCCTGTTTGATTTTAAGTCTATATCTGATAGTTAATTTTTCTTTGTATCCAAATATTAACCATGTCCTTATATTCCCATAAGAAGTCTTAGAAGGGTTGTTTTTTCTACCATTTTATTTCCCTACATTACTCAGATCCCTTGCCTTGAATCTGATGTTAATGATTTCTAGATTTTAATATCAGTACACATATGTTTTTAATCAGTGGAAATGCTCACAAATGCAAACAGTACCATAGATTATTTTTCAAAAACATGTTTCAATGTTTTAAATTATAATGATTAGTATTAGTATTAATAGGTGTCAATTTATTTATACTTTTTTTAACTGCTCCTTGCCTAGCAGGGCTATCCTATAGGCAGTGTGCCCACAGTAGCCTTTTTTAAAATAGTTTTTTTAGTATGCAAATTTTCATAAGGAGATCACAACATGCATGTGGTTGTATAAAAAGATTAAATCAATCAAGCTAAATAGATCATTTCTACTCATATGCAACAGTTGCCTAAATCAGTGTTGATATTTTTTAGGGGTACCCTCTTTTCTTGCAAAAAAGAACATTAATCTTTTTCTTCCATCAGAATTCAGTGTTAATTGGGGATAAAGATTGAATGTTCTTTCTGTATTCAGTGGTTTTATGTCATATCAGAGGTCTTTAATAGTTATTTATTTGATTGAAAGGATCCCAAATCTTTTGATTTATTGTTTATTTATTTATTTATGCTTTAACTTTTAATTAAAATGCTTAGGATACAGATTGACTTTCTTTTGTAAATGACTGTTTTACTTTTTCTGAAATAGGACATACATGCACTCTGATAAAACAGAATGAAACATCTTAATTCATGAGAATTCCTGTACAAGGCGCTGATCCTGTGTTTAGAGCTGAGCTCCTCACAGCAGCTGCCCTACGTAGAACCGACAGTTTTCTAGCTTGCAACAAAGTTACTAGGGACAAATAGGGAAAAAAAATCCGAAACTAAAAGTAAGAAAACCAACATGGAAGCAATCATACTTCTCATGTCTCTGATAAGAGAAGTATGGGGAACCTTTAACCAAAGGAAAATTTAAAAAAAATGCAAGTTAACTATCTAGTTCATTCACTGTTAGCTAGATTTGTTCAGTTAAGGCTTTAACCCCTTTCCAAACAATTTTATCTTAATCCAGCTATGCTTGCTAATAAATGAAATGCATGCACTTCCCGGAAATATACTTCACTGAGCCTCTGCATTCAGTACCTGGCAGTGAAAAAGTATGTTTCCCGAACAAGTCAGTACTGAAGACTGAGAACTCCAACTAAATAACTATACTCTCTCCCCAATAATATGTTATCCACATTTTCCCTACCCTCACATTAGAATAAAGATATCCTCCTAACTTTTCATCTCCTATCTCCTGTCTTTTCCTAGGAGATCTTATCTTTTGATCTTTTACTACAAGGGTAGAATTTAGGTTAAGATCATAAAAAACCAATTTCACATGTGACACTAAGAAAATGGAATGCTATAAAATCAATCCTCATCACCGTGGTAGGGATGCTGTTGCTTTTATCCTGAGTCTTTACTGCCAATAAGTGATGCTGCTTCCAAAGGAACAGCTCTACAGAAAGTTTTTGAGTTAGTGTTTCCCCCCAGCTTATTTCTACAATGGGGAAAGGCAATTTCATATTAAAAAAATCCACACAAACACACCTGGAAAAGCTACAGATGTTAACCTTTACTTTAAACACAGCAACGTAGATATCTAAGGAGATAAGATGTAAGACAAAGAGCTCAGGAAAAATCCAATAGAGACCAAATTCTGCAAATGGAAATTTTAAAGCCCAGTGAGTAAATTTTTCCTGCATTCAGACAAGTGCTACAATACATTTAAGTCCTCAACTCCCAGAATTAAGAGCCCTTAAGCTGTTAACTTTGTCCTGTCTTCCTATTCAGAAAAATTTTCCTCTAGAATCTGTGCAAAAGTAACTGACACACCTGCAGTATGTGACAACATAAGAGATGTTCTCAACTTTTTCATGAGGTGAAAGTTACTTTTTATAACTGAAAATGAAAAAGGAAGGTGCTATAGAGGGAAATAAAATTTCACCAAAGTATAAAAGTAAAGACTGGATGAAACCTATAACTTTATAAATAAGAATAATAACAGTAACTTACACTATAATTAACTGCTCAATAGTGAATGATCTGCTACACATTCCTTGAGAAGGAATGACCCTAGCTTACCACAGTGGAAACCTGCCGCAATTACAAGGCCAGGATTCTGCCCCTTTTCTGGTTCTCTGTTCACAAGGTAATGCCACCTTCTCCAAGGCAGTTAGAGAGACAGGTGAGCTCAGGGGAGCTTCTCTCACCAACCTGCTAACTCAGCAGGAGTGAGTTTACCCAAATGAGCTCTGGCCTCCAATGTGTATCTGTTCATAATTTTATGAAGTATCTAAATGTCATTCATTAGTTTAAAAAAGAATAGAAAACTCTGGACTAAGTAAATTTTGAACTCGAAAAGTTAGAAGGGGTATCAATTATATTAACAACACTTTCTTTAAAAATAGAATCACTTTCTTTTGAAATCAACCAGAGTGGTGAGATGTGTTTTTCTTTTCAGGTGCCCCATAATGGCACACAGCTTTACTCAGCAACCCCTGCCAGCTTCCAAGCCCCAGGATACTGACCTGCACCAGCACATGGGGCAGCATTACCTCCCCAACAGTGTGGAGAAGAGAACATTTCACCACTGGGTGATGAGAGTAGACAGTGACTCTTGGCTTCTCAATGCTAGACATGATTGGAGACCTTTCATTGTTCTATTAGAAAAGTCCATGAAGAAGCTGTGAACAGGATCAGTCCAGAGGAGAAAAACTCTTATTTTCTCTGTCCAAACATCAGTCAATACATTGGGAGAGCCAGCAGAATCCCTCGCCCTAGCCTTGCCTCTTGAGCACACTGCACATGAACACTTCAGTGGGGTGAGCGTTCAGCTCCTAAAGGGCCATGTTCCTCTTTCCTGTGGTCTGTCCAGAAAGCCCAAATATCTCAAAGAGTTTTTCTTCACTTATTGCATTGTTCTGTCTATTTTGTTACCCAATATAAGGATTGGCACATTGGATATTATTTCATCAGTCATTAAAGCATTAAGCTCAACTTTAGATTCCATGAGGCCAGAATGATCTGCAGAATCCACCAGAAAAACAATCTCATTAATTGCTTGGAGATAATTTTTTCAAACCTGACATGCTTGCTTGTGTCCACCAAGATCAAGAGTTGTAAAAGTCATTCCAGCAATTAATAGCTTTTCTGATGTCGGATGTAGTGTTGGAACATGTTGACCCAATCTGTCATCTTTGAGCATGTGAAGAAGAGTGGTTTTGCCTGCGTTGTCCAAACCGAAAAATACAAGTTTTCCAAATTTCTTGTAGAGTCCTAGGAACTGGAGCACACTGCTGAAGCCATTGTAGATCCACTCAAAGAGGAAAGACATTATTCATGCTTATTATGGCCTGAAGGGCTCCTCCAGCAAAGGTGGGTGGCCCAGGCCCTCCCTCAGAGCACACCCCAAATATTTTCAAATATGAAAACCTACTTACTCTTTAGAGGTAAGGAAGGTACTTTAAAAAATTTATTTTATTTTATTTAAGTTCTGGGATACATGTGTGGGATGTGCAGGTTTGTTACATAAGTAAACGTGTGCCATGGTGGTTTGCTGCATCTATCAACCCATCACGTATGTATTAAGCCCAGCATGCATTAGCTATTTTTCCTGATGTTCTCCCTCCCCTCTCCACCCCCAGACAGGCCCCACTGTGTGTTGTTCTCCTCCCTGTATCCATGTTTTCTCATTGCTCAGCTCATCATTCCATGAGTGAAAACATGCAGGGTTTGGTTTTCTGCATAATGGTTCCTGCATAATGGCTTCCAGCTCCATCCATGTCCCTGCAAAGGACACGATCTTGTTCTAAAGGTACTTTAAAAAAAGTACTTTATAGGGTTGCCACTCACTCTATAAAGCTGTGAAACTTTGTTCTCTGTACAGATAATAGAGTTGAAATTTCTTGGTAAGGGTCATTATAGCAATTCCTTAGTGGGTATGCTTCCCTCTAACTTCCTTGCCATAATAAAATGAAATGATAAATTTTGGCACCTGTTATTTATAATGGACTCAGGTCTGAGAGAAGCCAAGGAAACTGAATCTGCCTTAACAATTTTATAAAAATTTCCTTGGATCACAAGGAGGAAATTAAGATTATTATTTTAGGTGCCAAGATCTAATTTTCTTTTATTTATAGTTTTTCTCAAGATATTATTTCTTTAGATTTCTGCTACCATAGAGCCATCATAATCCTAGTTCCACATACAGACAAAAGAAGTCTTCAATAATTTCTTCCACAATAACCCAACACAGTATAGACTTTTTACCTTCCATTGACTACATTAAAGTTCCTCATTTTATTTAAACCATAAAAACATTGTGTCAAGAAGATATTAACATACATTAATGTTATTAAAACATGATTAAAAATCATGGAATCTGGAATTTTGAAAATATGGGTCCTGAAAACTTTTGGCCATGGGCTTGTTTTTAAAGTAATTGCTTTTTTCACCCATGGTTCACAATTAGCAGCAGATCTAGCAATCTGGAATCCTTCTAGCCAAGTTCACACTGATCATCTCAGGCTTGTTCTTTGCTCCCACTTTTGTTTTCATCATTTGCTGCATTCTATAACTATATTCAGCTTCTGGTCCTTTATTTTTTAAAACAATATTTAATTGACAATAAAGATTGTATATATTCAAGGTGTGCAGTGTGATGATTTGATATACGTATACCCTTTGTTTTTATTTCTTTTCTGTCTGAATCCACTCCCACCCAATTCATTATTGACATTAATGAATACATTTGACTTATTCTCGGTAACCCTCAGCTTTATGTAGGGATACAGTATATATATATATATTTTTTTTCCCTATTATAGCTTTAATTTTAAAACATGATCCTTTCTGATGGTATTAGTTTCCTTACATCATCCTGCTGGTGTGGAAGTGAAAAGTGAATGATAAATTCTTACTACACAGTTAATCTAGTTAATGAAACTATCATTCTCAGCAAACTAACCCAAGAACAGAAAACCAAACACTGCATGTTCTCACTCATAAGTGGGAGTTAAACAATGAGAACACATGGAACAGGGAGAGGAACATCCCACACTGGGGCCTGTCAGGGATGGAGGACTGGGGGAGGGATAGCATTAGGAGAAATACCTAATGTAGATGACAGGTTGGTGGGTGCAGCAAACCACCATGGCACATGTATACCTATGTAACAAACCTTCACATCCTGCACATGTACCCCAGAAAAACTGTAATAATAAAAAAAGGTAAAATAGCGATATAAAATAGAAATTTATGAGTATATACTGATAAAAATATAAAAAATGAATACATGAAGGGGGAAAAGGGAAAACTCTTAATGGCACATCAGTTAATAAATATAGAGGGCATACTAGGATTGGAGAATTATTAATAGATGTTAAAATTAGTGGGTGAAAGTTTAAGACATTTACATAGTTATGCTGTCTGCCACAAATTACTTATTAATTTCTCAGGAAAAAGGCATAATGAGATCTGGGGGACACCATGTTAGTCAAGTGACTAAAGTTAACAGCATCGATTTTAAGACAAACTATCCTTATACACTTTTCTGAAATGTTGCATCATTATTGGCTCCTGAATGGGAGAAAATATAAAGAACATTTTGGAGATAATTAACAAGATCTGAATATGAACTATTGATTACATAATAGTATTATATGACTGTAAAATGTCCCAGTTTTTATGATTGTACTGGCTATGTATGGAAGTTAATGTCCTTAGCAACTATACACTAAAGTGTATGTAGTAATAAAAAGGTTGGGAAAAATTTCATAGATATGAAAACTACATTTATATATTACATATGTGTAAAAGTAAGGCAAATGTAAATGAATGATGACTCTGGAAAAGGGTATTTAAAGTTCTGTATTATACTTGCAACTTTAAAAATTACATTAAAAATACATTATAAATGTAAAATGTAGTAAACTACATTAAATAAAAAGATGACAATAAAAAGAACACTTGTGGTTATGATACTTCCTGCCAGATCAAGGCCTTAGCATCTACTGTTTTGTCTACTCTGAAGAATTTACTACCTCACTTATAGATCTGAGCCTAAATGACACTTCCCTAGAAGAGCTTTCCTTGAACCTTTCCTGGTTTAAACTAATCACCCATCCATTTTATTCATGAAGCCTTGTCATTTTTACTTTATAGTACTTAGTACAACTTGTAATTACATGTTTAGTATTATTATTTGTTTTCTTTCTCCCACTAGACTATAAAGTTTGTGAGGGAAGGAATTGTGTCTGTCTTATTCACTAACAAATACTCGGCAAATAGCAAAATCTGTATGTATAGTAAGCGATTGAAAAACATTAGGCAAATTTATAACTATTTTAATATCTGTATATACTATATATCTATATATAATATCTTTGCTCTGGATGTGCACTTAGGAAGGCAGAGAAAATTTAAGTGTCTCTGATTTAGGTGGTATGTGATAATAATGTAGATACAAGTAATATAAAAATATTTTAGAACATTGATGGTGATTCAAATTTTAGAGCTCAACCCATCTTATTTTTGTTATTTAAGTTACTAATGCCCCCCAAAGTATAAATATTTATAAAATTATTTTTAAGAAGACTTTGGGAAATTATTAATGGTAAGCTTGAAGGTTGGAGTAGATATTTCTAAAATTAGTTGCCAAATTTATAAATACATTAATAAAAATTTCACTATCAATAATTTTTATTTCAAATAAAATTCAACTTTAGGTTATTATGGCTTTAAGATAGTGTCTAATGGGAAGCAAATAAACATTAATGCAAGACTTTTCAAGGTGAAATAGACTTAGAGCACCAGTTTTATGATGTTTAGACTTTTTCCTAATACTTAAGAAATTGTATGATGAAATCAGAAAATACAGAAAAATAAGAAGCCTGGAATAAAAATTTCCTGATATCCTGTCACTTACCTCACCACAGTTAGCTTGGTGAACTTATTTCTAGTGTTTTCTTACACATATAGGTATACATAAAATTAGGGTCATGTTCTAAGTGTAGAATCGTTTCTTGAGTTTTCTCCACCACTTAACAGTGAGTATTTCTCCATAATATTATTTTTTTTAAAAAAAATGGCCAATTAACATATGCTGGTAAACAAGTCCATCATAAAGGCTTAAACCAACAAATATTTCATTTTTGCTTATGTTTTGTGTTTATTGAATGTTGCTAGGGACTTGTCCATGTCATTGTGCATTAGGGATCCAAACTGATGAAGTAGACACTATCCAAAGTTCTCTAGATTGTTGTGATAGAGGGAAATAAAAGTTGCAAAACACACTCTGCCCTTAAAATGTCTTCCCAGAAGTTAAACAATCACTGTAACCACTGGGCAGTTCTTGTGAGGCGTTCCAAATGTGAGTTTGGAAATGTCCCTATATCCCACTCATTGAAAAGTAGCTCCTCCATCCATTGTTCTTCATAACCCTCGGGTTCCACTCAGTTGTTAGGTTCATTATCTGCCTTCTAAGTTATTGCAGGTGATAGTTTATGAAATGTTTCCTTATTGTATAACATGGATCACTTTATCTCCCTTCCTCCCTCCCTCCCTTCCTCCCTCCCTTCTCTTTTTCCTTCCTTCCTTCCTTCCTTCCTTCCCTTTTTCCTTCCTTCCTTCCCTTTTTTTTCTTCTTTCCCTTCCCTCCCTCCCTCTCTCTTTCTCTTTCTTTTCTTTCCTTTCTCTCTTTCTTTCTTTCTCTTTCTTTTCTTTCTTTTTTCTCCTCTTTCTTTCACCCTCCCTGTCTTTCTTTCTTCTTTCTTTCTTTTTCTTTCTTTCTCTCTTTCTTCTCTTTCTTTCTTTTTTTTGAGACAGGGTCTTCTCTGTCTGTACTCTGCAGTGGTGTGATCTTGGCTCCCTGCTGCCTTAACCTCCCAGGCTCAGGTGATCCTTCTGCCTCAGCATCCCCTAGTAGCTGGGACTACAAGTGTTTGCTCCTACACCCAATGAATTTTTGTATTTTTTTAGAGATGAGTTTTCACTACTTTGCTCAGGCTTGTCTTGAACTCCTGAGCTCAGGCAATCTGCCCACCTTGGCCTCCCAAAGTGCTGGGATTACAGGTGTGAGCCACCAAACCTGGCACCATAATTTCAATCTCTCTCATTTTTTATTAGACTTTTACTTTAGGTTCAGGGGTACATGTGCAGGTTTGTTACGTAGGTAAATCGTATTTCATAGGGTTTGTTGTATAGACTATTTCACCACCCAGGTGATAAGCATAGTATATGATAGGTAGTTTTTTAGTCCTTAAAAAACTAAACCACCCTCAAGTAGGCCTCAGAGTCTACTTTTCCCTTCTTTGTGTTCATGTGTACTCAGTGTTTAGTTCTCACTTATGAATGAGAGTGTGAGGTATTTGGTTTTCTGTGCCTACGTTACTTTGCTTAAGAAAATGGTCTTCAGCTCCATCCATGTTCCTGCAAAAGGCATCATCTAATTCTTTTTCTGTGGCTGCTTAGTATTCCATGGTGTATATGTAGCACATTTTCTTTAGCCAGTCTACCCCAGGAGAGGCCGGCAGACAAGGGAGCACTCAGATTAGACTGGTCCCATCCCACAGGTAAGATAGCCCTGCTCCGTTCAGGTCTGGCAGTTACCATAGGCTGAGACCACCTAGAGGAGCATGGTGAGCTTTGGGGGAATGGGCGTCTCTGGCCATGCTCCACTGCAGCCGTTCCTGTGTCAGACCCTCTGGGCTTTTCACAGGCTGAAGTCCTGTCCTTGCCACCTTTCCAAATAGCTCTCCCTGCCAGCTCAAGTGTCCGCGGGGTCATGGGGTCTCCTGCAGTTGGGATTCTGGAGGTCTGTGGCGAGAGTGGCCACTCCTCGTGTGTTCAACGGACCTCTTCCCCAGGAGTCACTGCGGGCCAAGAACATGGGCCAGAAACGAGTCCGGGTACTCTGCAACTCCGTGCAAAGTTCCGAGGTTTCTCACCCTCCAGCCCAGGTTCTATGTCCTCCCTCTGTCCACCCTCAATGCCTTCCCTCCGAAGATCGGCTCGGAGTATGCCAGTCTTCCTGATATCCTGGTCTGTTGTGGAAGATGTTCTTCCTGGCTGTGTCACTGACCATCTTGGCCCCTCTCAGTTTCAAGCTTTACTATCATATCCCTCATCATCTGCCATGTGATCCTTTTGCCAGTGCCTCATATTTTAATTTCCTAACATTTGTTTCAGGCTGATTGAGAACCTACCTGGAACATTGTTTTGATTGCCAGAGGGAAAGAGAACATGGCAGAGTATGTACTAGATTTTGAAGTCATCAAAAAATAACCCACATCATTTCTCTTCACATTTTATTGGCAAATCATATTAAACAGCCAGGTCTGCATTCGATAGGACAGGGATGTGCAATTTTACCATCTGCCTAGAAGGGGAGAAAAAATAAAATATTTATAAACATTCCTAATGTATTCAATTTATGAAAAATACTCTACTTTCAAAATACTCAAGGAAATAACAAATAGGAACTTGATAATGTTTCTGCTTCTAAAATTGGCATATTCATCAAAAGATGAAACTCTCAGAGTTTGCAAAAGCTCGTGAAGCAACCATTCTCATTTGCTATATACAGTGATCTATCTGGGAATGTGGAATGTTATAAAATTTCTACAGCACAATTTGACCATATCTATTAACTCTTAGATCTTCTAAGAAATTTATAATTAGAGCCAGTAATTCAGTTTTTCAGAATATAAACTGACATTTAGACACAAATTCATATTGAATTATTGGCAGTAGTAGTAACAATAATCAAAACAAGGAGTGTAAATATGCTCAACAATAGGAAAGTGGTTAAATAGATTTTAATACACTTCCTTGGTGAAATTAAATTTGCAGCTTTTTTTTTTTTTTTTTTTTTTTTGAGATGGAGTCTCGCTCTGTCGCCCAGGCTGGAGTGCAGTGGCGCAATCTCGGCTCACTGCAAACTCCGCCTCCTGGGTTCACGCCATTCTCCTGCCTCAGCCTCCCGAGTAGCTGGGACTACAGGCGCCTGCCACCATGCCCGGCTATTTTTTTGTATTTTTAGTAGAGACGGGGTTTCACCGTGTTATCCAGGATGATCTCGATCTCCTGACCTCGTGATCCACCCGCCTCGGCCTCCCAAAGTGCTGGGATTACAGGTGTGAGCCACCATGCCCGGCCCAATTTGCAGCTATTTCAATTATGTTTTAAATACCAGAAAACATAGGAATATTTTCTGATATAATGCACACGAAAAAACGCAAACTCCGCTGGTAGTGAGTTGGGAGAAGTGCATAAAGGTAGATTGGGTAACAACAGAGATCCAGGTAAAAGGTGGATCCCTTTGTGTTCTTTCATTTTTTGTGTTTTCTGAAGATATGATCGATATAGGAAAAATGATTCCCATTAACATTTCTATAATTAGCTCTATAATTAAGGGGTCATTCCACATGCCTGAGGTAGAACTTGGGACAAATATGGAATTTGACAAAAGGGAAAAACAAGGAGAAATGCTATCCAGGGGAATAAAGAGATGAATTGAAATAGAATTTGAAATAAAACTCAACAGACATTTCTTCAGTCTCTTCTTTTTCCACTTATTTGAAATGTCATCTAAATATTATTATAGTTATATATAATATAATTGTAATTGTATATAAGATAATTATAATTATATAATATAATTATATATAATATAATAATATATAATATAATAATATATAATATAATTATATATAATATATCATTATCATAATTATATGTGATATAGAACTATATATAATATATAATTATATTACATCGTCAACCTCATCTTGCCTGGTTTTGTATTGTTTAACTGCTAAATTACTTGTAATGATGAAATGCTTTGTTTTGTAAAGCTTTCTCTGTTGCCTGAAATGTTGCCTCATCTGTGTCCTTACATTACTAACTGTAAACCATCATTTAAATGTCTCAGTTTAAGAATCATTGCCTTCTGGAACTAGCACATTTCTTCAGCAGAGGAACTGTGATATTTCTCCTCTGGACTACTGCTGTCTTGTGAACAATAAATGTTTATTGAATGACTACCACAGATAAAGAGTAAGCTAATTCAGGTCAATATGAGAAAAAAGGATTCCCATTAACATTTCTATAATTAGCTCTATAATTTAGAAAAGATGCCACATACCTGAGGTAGAACTTGGGACAAATAAGGAATTTAACAAAAGGGAAGAAAGGATAAATGCTATCCGGAGGAATAAAGAGATGAATTGAAAATAGAATTTGAAATAAAACTCAACTGACATTTAAGGTTTCCAGATTGAGATGCACACACTTAGCTGGTTTAAAACCAGCTAGATTGGTTGGGTGCAGTGGCTCATGCCTGTAATCCCAGCAATTTAGGAGGCTGAGATGGGTGGAGCACCTGAGGTCAGGAGTTCGAGACCAGCCTGGCCAACACAAAGAAACCCCGTTTCTACTAAAAATACAAAAAATTAGCTGGGCATGGTGGCGGGCATCCGTAATCCCAGCTACTTGGAAGGCTGAAGCAGGAGAATCACTTGAACCCAGGAGGTGGAGGTTGCAGTGAGCTGAGATCGTGCCATTGCATTCCAGCCTGGGCAACAAGAGTAAAATTCATTCTCAAACAAAACAAAAACAAAGCCAGCTAGATTGAAGCCAAATTACATACCAAAAACAGTTCTGAAAAGGTGCATATGATGAATTTTATCAAGAGATCAGAGGGTTCAAAGTGTTTGAAGACTTTGATTCTGATGGAATAATTTTTGGCTTGGAATAACTGGTAATTTAATTATAAGGATATTAAAATCCCTAACTAAAGGCGTAGACAGGATGGTTATAGAATAATAGTATACAAGTGGAAGGCAATCCATCAAAGTCTCCTGACTACCCTGAAGTTGATAGGAAATTGACATGACTTGTCTCAAGGAACAGAGTACATTGGGGGAACTTCTGAAAAGAAAGGAGTTTCTAACTTTGAAGACATGTCATATGGGTTCAGCATTGCTTCCTAAACAGAAGAAGACTTTTCTTTCTTTCCTTTTTTTTTTTTTTTTTTTTTTTTTTTCCTGAGACAGATTCCTACTCTGTCACCCACGCTGGAGTGAGTGGCGCGATCTGGGCTAACTGCAACTTCTGACTCCTGGGTTCAAGCGATTCTCTTGCCCCAGCCTCCTGAGTATCTGGGATTACAGGCGTGTACCACCATGCCCTGCTAATTTTTTTGTACTTTTAGTAGAGATGGGGTTTCGCCATGTTGGCCAGGCTGGTCTCGAACTCCTGACCTCATGTGATCTGCCCACCTTGGCCCCCACAAAGTACTGGGATTACAGGCGTGAACCACCGCGCCCAGCCAACAGAGGAAGGATTTTCTAATTGTTGACAGAATTTAGTGAAATCACCAGAGCCTGGAAAATAGGAAAATGAGTTCAAAGGTCATTACCATCATTGAAGATAAGGAAAGACTAAGAAGATTCTCATCACAATGGAGTACTTCTTATTTCTTACAGAAAAAGATTCTTGGCATCAGCCTCTTGAAGGCCTCCTTCATATCTTTATTTCTAAGGCTGTAGATGAGGGAGTTCAACATGGATGTGATGATTCCATAGAAGAGGGAAACCATCTTTCCCCAGTCCTTAGAGGTGGATGAAGGTGGTTGAAGATACATATAAATGGCTGTTCCATAAAAGAGGGACACCACAATCATGTGGGACCCACATGTCCCAAATGCTTTTTGCCGTCCTTCTGCTGACCTGATTTTTAATACTGCTTGAGCTATGAAGCCATAGGAGATGAGGATCAATGTCACTGGAATTAGAAGAATTAGTACACTAAAGAAGAAGAGCTCAGCCTCAATAGGCTTTGTGTCAGCACATGACAACTTGAGAAGTGCAGGCACCTCACAGAAAAAGTGGTCCACTTCCTGGTGACCACAGCGTGGCATGTTAAGAGTCAAGGAAGACTGCAGCACTGAGTTGCCGAAACCAATGAGCCATGAGAAGGCTGCCATCCTTAGGCAGAACCAATAATTCATGATGACTACATAGTGGAGGGGTCTGCAAACAGCCACATATCTGTCAAAGGACATAACAGCCAGAAGGAGACACTCTGTAGCACCTAGGGCCAGGAAGATGATGAGGTGGGCCACACAGCCAGCATAGCTGATGGTCTTTTTGTTGCAACCAATATTTACCAACATATGAGGGACTGTAGTTGTGGTATAGCAGAGATCTAAGATGGAGAGATTAGTGAGAAAGAAATACATGGGAGTATGAAGTTTGGGATCCAGAATGCACACCATCATGATGGACACATTGCCAAATATGGTGATTGTGTATGATATTAACAGGACCACAAAAAGGGGCATTTGTAGCCAAGCCCTATCTGAGAAGCCAAGTAGTATAAACTCTTTTGGGGAGCTCTCATTTTCCCAATTCATGATGACTCACTTATTTCGCACTCCTAAAAAAATGTAAGATAGGAAAGCAATCAATGTTTGTTTATTGAATACTCTTACTGGAGCTGAATTAAATTTAATGAATAGCTCAGCATCAAATACAATTTACAGTCAAGTGGATAAAGCCCTTGTAAAGTATAATATGGTTATGTTTAAGCTTAAAAGTAGTTCCTGTGTTTTCAGTAGTGTTTAAATTACTTTAAAGAAAATCATTACATTTAAATGACATAAAGTATGTAACATATGCATAACACATGGAAAATTGTGAGTTCTCAATGCATTTTATGTTCTCTCCTCTTCTTACCTCCTAACCTATCTTAATAAACAGTTTAGAAAGAAATATTACTTTTACTCCAATTATTTTAAATTTGGCCTGAAAATGCTGAGTAATATAGAGGGTATAAGAGTTGAATCTAAATCTGCAATTGATCTAAAGAAATTTTGCTTCTTTTAGTAACATCTTTACGTGTTTTTTTGAGTTGTGTCTGTCTCCTAAATGCCATGCATGTAGGTCCATTTCCACAAAGAACTACCGTGGGTATTAGTAATAAAATTATGGCTACTTGTGATATATAGTAATGACCACAGATGTCATCTCCCCATCTGCAAATACCTTAATTAAAATAGCAAAACTGATAACATAATTGTTGCTTTACTTAACATGTGCCAGAAACTGCTCAGTGTGTGAAATACATTCTTTGTAATTCTCATCAAACCCCTCACAGTCATGGTTTGCATTTTATTGCTTCTGTGATTCAGTAAGAATAAATAATTTGCACACTCATTATTGGTGAGGTCAAGACTAACACCTAGGATTTAAAGATCATTCTTTCTTTTATACCGTATTTCCCCCTAAATACACAGATAGTACAATAAGAATGACTGCATACAGCACAAAAGTGGTCATAAATTAAAATAGAAACAAACCAAAAGTCATATATTCAAGTTGATTTTCTTCAGTCTGTAAAAGTCATCAGTTATTTAGTTATATTACCTAAGTGCACCTAAGTTTCTTCAGTCTACTTTGCATGTTTAAATGAAATGTCATCGAGGTGGTTTACACCATTTGAATTTGCAAGCATAAAAATAGAAAGATAGACTGAAGAGAGAAGAGAAAATAAGTATTGACACAATTTACCACAGAATAAGATAACTTTTCCAGAGTAAAAACACTGATATATAAAGTATAATTTGATAATGGAATGAATAAATGAAAATGAACAGAGATGACCTTGAGATTTTTAACTTCTTCCATTATATATGATTTTTTTTAGCTATAGATACACATTATTTTTTGGCAAATAACAGTAATACACCTTTGGTTGAAAAATAGAAGAGAATATGAGATTAGGCTTTTTTGAATGTCCATGTAAATTTACAAAATGATAAATATGTAAGGTAATACATACATTAGATAACTTGATTTAGCCACTTTATAATGTACACATATATCAAAACATCATGTTGTACACTATAAATATATACAATTTTTACTCATTAATACAATTTTTTATATCAGAAAAAGACTACACAGAAAGATAAAACATAAATGGCAAGATAGAAAAATATACAATGTTTATGGAAAAAATGGTTATTATATTAAAATATAAATAATTATTACATAATAAATAGAAAAAGATCAAAAGTCCAATGGAAAAAAATGAGCAATGGACATAAATAAGCAGTTTGGGGAAGAAAACAACATAAAATGACAGTGAAAGTATAAAAGATTATAACTTTTTCATTATTGAAGAAACACAAATAAAAACAAGAAGAAAGTATCACATTGTCTTCCTACTTAGTAGCATTAAAAAAAATCACTGTTAAAGGTTAGCTGTTAGGTACAGTGCCTCTGGAGCCAGAATCTGCCAGGGTTTTATTACTGGATTGTGTGATCCTGGGCAATGAATGAACATTCTTGTGCTACATTAAAAAACAATCTCTGACTTGATAAAAAGAGAGTATTGTGAAGCTCAAGTGAGACAATGTATACACATCTGAACTTAGGACCCTGTCCCAAGCATACTAAGCATTTAATGAATGTGAGCTTGATATCAATAGCAGTATCATTAATACTAATCACTAATAAGTCATTAATAGTAATACTATATCATTATCTCAGCTTGTCTTGTATATGAGAAAACAGAAAATTTACTATTGGTGGTTCAAGTGATTGTTATAATTTCATAATATTATAACATGAAATTATTGAATTTCATATTATCACTTTGTCTTTGTTTCTAGCATAATATACTGAGTACATAGTTTTCCAGTAAATGGAAGTTAAATCAATGTAGTAGGTGATATCTGGTTATCTAAAGGGCATGGAATAAAAGAGGACCCTATTCAGTAGCTGTTATTTTCTACTCCTATTTTTTCACGTCCTCTTCTCTTCACATTTTATATGGCACTGATAATTTCTCTTATTTTCTTCATATTTTATATGGCGCCAATTTCTCTTTTACGTTATCAGAAAATGAACTTACCTCTTGACAAGAACATGTTGATTCCACTGTCACGTTGACTTTTTGTCCTATTTCTATTTTCTACATGAATCAAAAGAAATCTTAAATCCCACTGACCGTTTTTATGTACGGAGATATAATGAGCAAACCATTCAAAAGGGTGAAAGGATACGAAGGATTTTTGGAATCACTGAAAATACTTCATATTAATTTCAAAGTTCCCAGGAAACAAATTGGGCATTCTGATTATTTAACATGATGCAACTCAGAGGCAGGGATGTAGGTGAGATGTTCTTGAGAGATCCTTCCCACTCATGGTAATATAATACACTGTATTAGACGCCACTCACCTTTTTTCTAAATGTCCAAGAGATATTCACGCCTTTCTTTGTGCTGTGTTTCAAAGGAAGTCTGGTTCAAAGACAGATTAATAAATGCAGTTGAGTTTTTGAATTTTCAATCTTTACGACATTCTAACTCAACTACCTTTTGCCCACTGACCAAGAATGAAATTAGCATGAAACCTGGACTGCATCAAGAACATGTGAGAAAAATACTTATGAGGAGAGGAAAATGTGTATAGTTAGTGTGTCTTCAGTCATTGGGGCATTTTTGACTGACATGGGCTCTCCTCACCAGGTTCCTAGTGGATTTCTACAACGAGAAGTTGACTTTATAGACATCAACAACATTGGAAGTGTCATGGAAAGAAAGTTATGCCTTTAAATAAAGCCAACCAATATTTATTAAGGGAGTACCACTCACACAATTCTGTGTCCTCTTTTTAGCCCTAGAGATTCTAGAGTCCCTCAAGTTTAATTGGTCATTATGTCCAGAGAGTCAATAAGTCAACTCTATTCCTAACTGGGCTGGTTGCATAATACTACCACATATGTCGTTCACAAATTCTAAAACTAGGGTGAAGATTAGAGTAACAAAAATAAACAATGAAAAATAAATTTAAAGTTGTTTAATTAGGAAAGCACAAGGTTTAATGAACTTATAGCCCCAAATTCCTTTTAAATAGTTGCAAGGTCAAATAGGGAGTCCTATGATGGCGTATAGGGAAAAATGATATTTCTATTTTCACTGATTTTAGTAATAAGTGTTTGTAAACTAAAGCTACCAGAGATCTGTAGGTTAAAAATTATGTCATACAAAGTCACTTAACATATTAATATACACATTGAAATTTAAGGTTAGCATTAATTCACTGGGTCAGAACACACAGAAATTACATGAAATTGCAATAGGGGGAATAGTTTTTGAAAGAAGCAGCTGAGGGCTGGGGCGGTGGCTCACGCCTGTAATCCCAGCACTTTGGGAGGCCGAAGCGGACGGATCACCTGAGGTCAGGAGTTCAAGACCAGCCTGGCCAACATGGTGAAACCTAGTGTCTACTAAAAATACAAAAAATTAGCTGGGCATGGTGGTGGGTGCTTGTAATCTCAGCTACTCGGGAGGCAGAGGCGGGACAGGAGAATCGCTAGAACCTGGGGAGACAAGATAAGTCATTGCCCTCCAGCCTGGGCAACAAAAGCGAAACTCCATCTCCAAAAAAAAAAAGCTGATTTATGCAAGTTATGACTTAATATGTGACTTAATAAGTGCTTATCCTAAGATCTTAGTAAAATAAAGAAGTTGTAATTGAATTGAGCATCAGCCTAGATATAATCTTAAGGAAACTAATGTGCTCGTATTTTAATGTATCTATTTTTCCTCATTTTTCTTTTTGTGTAGAATATGATCATTTTCTAAATTAGGACATTTTCTTAGCCTGTGATTTTTGTAACTATATGACATCTGTTGTAGCTAATAATTTATATATAAGTTTAATAGACATATATACATACTTTCTATATGTAATATATATTTGTAATTAGTTTTCAAATACAATTTGTTGTGCTTGGATTATAATAGAAAAGTTATTTTATTTTTTGTGGTTTTACTTTTTTAAAAAAATTTTACCTTAAGTTCTGGGATACATGTGCAGAACATGCAGTATTGTTACATAGGTATATATGTGCCATGGTGGTTTGCTGCACCTATCAACCTGTCATTTAGGTTTTAAGCCCCTCATGCATTAGGTATTTGTCCTAACGCTCTCCTCCCTGTGCCGCCACCCTTCAACAGGCCCCAGTGTGTGATGTTCCCCTTCCTGTGTCCACGTGTTCTTATTTTCAACTCCCACTTATGAGTGAGAACGTGTGGTGTTTGGATTTCTGTTCCCGTGTTAGTTTGCTGAGAATGATGGTTTCCAGCTTCATCCATGTCCCGGCAAAGGACATGAACTCATTCTTTTCTATGGCTACATGGTGTATATGTACCACATTTTCTTTATCCAGTCTGTCACTGATGGGCATTTGGGTTGGTTCCAAGTCTTAGCTGTTGTAAATGGTGCTGCAATAAACATATGTGTGCATGTGTCTTTATAGTAGAATTATTTATAATCCTTTGAGTATATACCCAGTAATGTGATTGCTGGGTTAAATAGTATTTCTGGCTCTAGATCTTTGAGAAATCGCCACACTGTCTTCCACAATGGCTGAACTAATTTACATTTCCACTAACAGTGTAAAAGTGTTCCTATTTCTCCCCAGCATTGCCAACATCTGTTGTTTCCTGACTTTTTTTTTCCCAATGAAATGATTTGAATGGACACTTAAAACTGTTCATGAGTATACAAGATGATAAAGAAAACATTTATTAAATGAATAAAAGCTAAAAAGTGAAATGTTACAAGCAAATATCAAATATCCCGAATCTCTAGAATTTTATTGTTGAATATGCCTTAGTTATTACAAGTGGTCTTTATTCTTGGTGACTTAGGGATTCCCAAGAAATGTGCAATCACTCCTGGCAACTCAAAGTAGTAATAAGTTAACCTCAAGAGAACAATCTTGGTTAAAAAAAAATTTTAAGTGTATTTTATAAATTATTATTATTTTTATTTTACTTTAAGTTCTGGGATATATGTGTAGAACGTGCAGGTTTGTTACATAGGTATACATGTGCCATAATGGTTTGCTGCACCTATCAACCTGTCATCTTTAAGCCCTGCATGCATTAGGTATTTGTCCTAATGCTCTCCCTCCCCTTGCCCCCCACCCCCTGACAGGCCCCGGTGTGTAAAGTTCCCCTCCCTGTGTCCATGTGTGCTCATTGTTCAACTCTCACTTATGAGTGAGAACATGAGGTGTTTGGTTTTCTGTTCCTGTGTTAGTTTGCTGAGAATGATGGCTTCCAGCTTCATCCGTATCCCTGCAAAGGACGTGAACTCATTCTTTTTTATGGCTACATAGTATTCCATGCTGTATAATTGTATTAATAGCACATCCAGGGGTGCAGCATTGCTACATGTCTTCTCTATCCAGGCACACTGATCGATCAGGGTAATTTATTTATTCATTGTTTGCAAGGTTCTATGCCAGCCAGCCAGTGCCAAGGACTTCAGAGATAAGCCACAATACCTGCCTATGTGTCTGGTTGGAACATGAACATGGAAACAAACCATTTAATCATTTACTCAATAAATCTTTATGTCATGGTGATAAGTGTCAGGCACTGTCATGTGCACAGGAGATATATTGATAATCAAAAGAAATAAAGTCTCTGTTCTAATGAAGCTTACATACTAGTAAGGAGATAGAAAACTAATAATAAGTAAATAGATATATAATACAATGTCAGATAGTGATAAATGCTATGAAGAAAAAGAAAGCAGGGTAAGAGAATCAAAATTAGCTGAGGCTGTTACTTTAGACAGCATGGTCAGTCAGTTTCTGTGAGGGGGCAACATTTGACCTGAACAGAGTTAGGGGTTCTCATTCACTTGGAAGATTCTAAACTGAGATTTCGAGTTTGAATTTTTTTTGAAATGTTGCCAGTTAATGCATCAATAATTTATCAGCCGGTGTTCATTATATAACGTTATACTTTAACAAGGACACTAAGCACTAAACTATTTAAAGATCTTCGTCTTTACAAAGGTACTACAAAGGAAACTACAAAGACTGTAGTTTCTGAAGTTAAGAAATGCAGACCGATCCTTTGTTTCTGCATTCATCCATTTGCATTGCTATAAAGGAATACCTAAGACTGGGTAATTTACAAAGAAAAAAGGTTTATTTTGGCTCACAGTTGTTTCCTGACTTTTTAATAATATATATATTTTATATATATTATATATATATATATATTTTTTTATCATTGGGATTAAATTTTGGCCTGGTGTTCACTTTCTTTATATATTTATGAACAATTTAATAATGAGGTGAAATAGCCTTAAGTCTGATATATGATGCACCCACATATAAATGGAAATGGCATGCACAAAGACACTTTACTATTGGAACTGTATTGGAAAATTTATGAAATTTTAGGTAAAATTGCACCTAAAATTGTGTTATTAGTGACTGTAAGTAGCAATGCTAAATTTATTGTACTTGATGAATGAATGTATTTAGGCTAGTCATGGTTACTTTGGTTTAAATGTCTAAATAACATCTTTAGTTTTAAAAATGTGTTTGTAATTTGTACTATTGACAGGAGGATATTCTTGGACTGCAGCGGTTATTGGCAATGTGTGATTTGTGTTTTCTTACTTTATAGAATTATCTAATGTGATATGCTGATTTTTACAGGTAATATTTAGATATTTCCAATAATTGTATATTTGACAACCTACTAAAATGATTTGCTTTGGGAAAAAACTGAAAAACAATACTCAAACATAGGCTGCCTGTAAGAGGCTAACTTTAACTTAAAGAACACACATTGACTGAAAAAAATATTTCATGCAAGTAGAAACCAAAAGACAGCAGGGGTAGCTCTACTTATATTAGACAGACTTTAAGTCCAAAACTGTAAAAAGAGACAGAGAAAGTCATTACATGATAAAAGGGTCAATTCATCAAAAGGACGTAACAATTGTAAATATATATACACCTAATACTAGATCATCTAAATGTATAAAGAAAGTATTAATAGACCTAAAAAGAAACAGACTGCAATACAGTAATAGCAGGGTTTTTCAACACTTCACTTTCAACAATGAACATGTCATCTAGACAGAAATCAATAAGGAAACACTGGACTTGAAACGCACATTAGATCAAATGGACCTAACAGACATATATAGAACATTCCATCCAACAGCAACAGAATACTCATTCTTCTCAAGTGCAAATGGGACATTATCCAGGATCAAATATTAGGGAACAAAATAAGTCTCCACAGTTTTAAGAAGATCGAAATCATATCAAGTATCTTTTCTGACCACAAAGTTATGAAAGTAGAAGTGAATAATAGGAGAAAATTTAAAATATTTACAAACGTGGAAATTAAACAACATGCTCCTGAATAAACAATGGGTTAAATAAAAAATCAAAAGCAAAATTAAAAAAAATCTTAAGACAGATGAAAATGAAAACACAACATACCACAACTTATGGCATGTAGCAAAAGAAGATATTAGCAAGAGGAATGTTTGTAGTAATAAATGCCTATATTAAAAAAGAAGAAAGATCCCAAACAACCTAATGTTACATTTCAAGAAACCAGAAAAAGAGAAGAGCAAACTAATCCCAAAGTTAGCAGAAGGAAGGAAATAACAAAGATCAGAGCAGAAATAAATAAGAAGCTAGAAAACAATAGAATGCATTCACAAAACTAAGACTTGAATTTTTGAAAAGATAAAAACAATTGGCAAAACTTGAGTAGACCAACTAAGAAGAAAAGAAGACTCTAATAAAGTCAAAAATGAAAGAGGAGACATTACAATTGATACTACAGAAGTACAAAAGCTCATAAAAGAATACTATGAACAATTTTACACCAACGAATAGGGTAACCTAGAAGAAATGGTTAAATTTCTAGAAACATAACAAAAATGAATCATGAAAAAAACAGAAAATCTGAACAGACTAATAATGAGTAAGGAGGTTGAATCAGTAATAAAAGTCTTCTACCAAACAAAAACCCAGAATATGATGGATTTTGCATTCATGGTTTGGAAGAATTAATATTATTAAAATATGTGTACTACCTAAAGTGATACACAGATTCAGTGCAATTTCTATAAAAGTTCAATGACTTTTTTGTTTCACAGAAATAGAAAAAGCAATTTAAAAATTCATATGGAATGACAAAAACCCCTAAGTAGCTGAAGCACTTTTGAGCAAAAAGAGCAAAGCTGGAGGCATCACACTACCTGTTTCAAAATATATTACACAGTTATAGTATTCAAAACAGAAAGGTAGTGGCATAACAACAGACACACGGACCAATGTAATGTGATAGAGAGCCCAGAGATAAACTCATGCATTTGTGGTTAACTGATTTTTGCCAAAGATGCCAAGAATGAACACACTATGGAGAAAGGGCAGTATCTTTAATAAATGATGCTGGGAAAATCAAATACCCAAATACAGAACAATGAAATTGAAACCTTATTTCACACCATATGCAAAAATCCTCTAAAAATGGTTTAAAGATTTAAATGTGTGACCAGAAAATGTAAAATTACTAGAAGAAAACATAGGGAAAAATGTTCTTGAAATTAATCTTGGCAATAATTTATTGGTGATGATCTCAATAGCACAGGAAACCAAAGCAGAAATAGACAAATGGGATTACCTCAAACCAAAAACCTTCTGTATAACAAAGTAAATAACGGATTGAAGAGACAACCCATGGACTGGGAGAAAATATTTACAAACCATACATGGCTAATATCCAAAATATGTAAGAAATGCAAACAACTTAAATTTGTTAGCAAGAAAACAAAGAACCCCTTTTAAAACTGAGCAAAACACTTAATGGACATCTTTCAAAAGATGACATAAAAGACTAACAGATACATAACAAAATTTCTCAACATCAAGGAAATACAAATTAAAACCACAATAAGATATCACCTCATACCTGTTAGAATGGCTATATCAATAAAATAAGAGTTAATAAGTATTAGCAAGGATGTGGAGAAGGGAATCCTTATATACTAATGGTAGTAATGTAAATTAATACAGCCATTATTGAAATCAGCATGGAGGTTCCTCAAAAAAAGATAGAATTACCATATGATCCAGCAACTATATTTCTGAGTACATAGCCAAAGAGATTGAAATTAATATGTTAAAAATATATTGGTAGATTTTCCTCTAATTTGGTCTTAACGTCTCTCTTTGAAGAGGAGCCAGAAACTCTAGCCCTGCTCTGATGGGCTCCAGTGGAGGTGGTTGTGGTTGTGGATGTTTTCAGTGTTTTTTTCGTGGAATACTTCTATATCCTGATGGAGAGCTAATGCCTAATTGTCCTATTTATGACCAGGTGTCCCTCTCACTGGAAACTCATTTTCACTGGCAGACACCCTTGTGGCTCTTGTCTGACTAGTGTGTCCAGTTCATTCCTACCAAGATAACCACTCTTTAAGAGAGCCTTGTCCAGAAAAGAAGTTAATTTCACGTATGTCAGTCACGCGAGACGCAAGTAAAAAAAAACACGTAATAGAAGTAGTTTTATTACTTAAAGATCCAGAGAGAAGAAGGAAACTTTCCTCACAGGCCTAACGGGAGAAGGGGCAGCCCTCAGAGACATGCATGCTCAACCAGTGGGTGGGTAGCAAGGGAGAGTGAGTGACAGCCGAGAAGGCCGAAGCCTTTACTGGGGTACACAGCATTTCCTAAGCAGGGAGTAACTGATTGCTGGGTTTAAAGCAAGCAGGCATGAGTTCTTGGGAGTTATGTTGTATTGAGAGGTGTTCACTACTGCAAGTCTGCAGTCCATGTGGGGTGTGGGGATCAGTGGGATAAGTCAAACAGGTTGTATCTAGGTGCTCCACAGGAAGGTGGAAACCAAGAGGCCAAATATCTGGATTGACCACCTGAAGAAACTGGGAGAGGAGAACTCGAAATTGTGTTAAGGGTGACTAAGCCCTGCTTCTGGTATGAGAAAGTTCAACTTATATTGAAAATAAACACTGAGGCAACATAAAATCATAAGAATTCACTACAGATATTTGCACTACCATGTTCATTGTAGCATTATTCACAATAGCTGAGATATGGAAGGAACTTAAATGCCCATCAATGGATAAACAGATAAATATATAAAAGGGATATAATGTGATATATATGAGCCACATTATCTATATAAAATGGAATACTATCCAGCCTTAAAGAAAAAAGGAAATTCTGTCTTTTCAACAACATTCATGAACCTGCAGGACATTATGCAAAGTGAAAGAAGCCAGACACAGAAAGACAAATACCACGTGATCTCACTCATATGTGGAATCTAAAAAAGATAAACTCATGCAAGTGGAGAGTAGAATATAGCTACCTTGGGGGTAGGGGATGGGGAAAGGGGAGATTTTAAACACAAGATATTTTTTAACCTTTTGCAGGAAAAATCTTGGAATTGAATTTAAAAGACAACTGGGATGGCATAAATAATATAGGTCAGTCTCAAAGAGCACGTCATTAGTAAGGAATAGATATACAGTTTAGTCTTTATGTATTCTAGTTTTTCAGTTGAATGGCTCTGAAATCACTCCTTTTTTCCAGTTGTCTTGTAAATTTTACCCTTAGCCCCATGGAAAACTGAAAAAAAATCACATGGCTCAGTAAAACCCATTCCCTTTATTGTAAATATAACTCACAGCATCTTTTCCCATATTTGTAAGTGATAAATTCACTGTCATCACAGTAAGACTATAACATCATACTGAAGATATTTCTGTGAAGAGTTTTGTACTGAGAACACCACACCAGGACAACTTGAAGGGCATTAATTGCAACTTTGGGATTTATACTCCCAAAGGCCCCAGTCAATGAAAGAGTATCCCATTATTCTTTTTGGTTCCATAAAGATTCCATTTACTCTGGGATAAAGGGTCCATCCCCTGATACCTTGAATGCTCTAAAGTATTCCCACATTCTGCTAAAAAGCAGATCTTTTGGACAAACTCAGGCTCTCTTTTCTGTAGCAATGACAATCACAGTTATTTCCAGACTCTGTTCTCCATAGTTAGATTTAAAACATTGGCAAAAATGTTATAAGAAGGCAATTAGGTTGATGTTTCTAGGTTGCATGGCAACCAGAGAGCCCCTTCATCAGTTTATACATGATGAGGTCGTAGGCCAGGTAGAGAGTGACAGGGAACAGGGACAAACACAGGAAGGTCAGTACTGAAAGAAGTTGGCGCACTTCTTAAGGGGTGTACAGCTTCTGTATTTCAAAATTGCAGGAAGTGTAGATTTTAAATGTTCTTACTACAAAAAAATGATGTGTGTGAGGTGATAGGTACATTAACTAGCTTAATATAATCATTCTATGATGTATATACATATCAAAACATTACAATGTACTCCATACATATATACAATTATTACTAGTCAATGAAAAAGTAAGAAAACAAACCAGATATAGTATAAAGGAATGAATATGACACGAATTGGGAAAATGTCTCTTAGTAATAATTGGGGAAAGAAGAGACACTCAGCCATCCATTTTCCCTACAGTGTTTGATTTAAAAGAAGAGAGAAGATATTTTATTCCATAGTTCATAAAAGCTACATTTGATAGGGTCTTCATTTCCCTCTTTTCCTCCAAGAAGAAAATCGAAGCTGCAAACTTTTCTCTACGTGAGTTCTGGGTTTTTTTTTTTTTTTGTCCCTTATTTCCTATCCTTTTTATCGACTCTGGAAGAATGCTGAAAGATGGTTTATACAACAGAAAAATATCAGATTTCACCTTTTAATTACTGTAGTAAGGAAGTCAGGCAGCTGCATTAGGAAAGAAAATTATACCTGCATTAGCAAAAGTATCCACAACATTTGAGTTCAAGTATCTTACAGAATATTACCTTTCAACCTAGCGAAATTTTTAAAAAAATTCTTGCAATTTTTCCATGATTTCTCAAAAGGTAATGATCATTTCATTATCAACAATATGGAAAAGTGTACAGATATCTTTGTACCTGTCTGGAGCATCTGCACAGACTTGGCCCAAGTTCAACGTTCCTAGCTCTCCAGCTGTAACTCAACTAATTAGGCAAACCCTTACATCTTTTTCAAGAGTCAAGATTAGAATATTTGAGTTGTTAAAAGTTTTTCAAAACACTGAAGGTGAGTTGGGTGTAAATAAATTTGTCTTTTGTCATATTTTATCAGAGAGTATGAGAGGAAGAGTTGGCTGTGGCAGGAGGGGAGCAGAAGGGGGATGGCAATGCTATTTAGGAATATTGAAGAAAACCCAGAAATACAAGTTGTGACTCAGAATTTAAAGTATAGTTCAGTTATTGGCCTAAAGCATATAAAATTTTTTAGAAACCACATTTAAGTCTTCTTGTCCCTGTCTAACAATCCTGTGTTATACATTCTTTCAATTTCAAATGCCACATTCTGACCTCCTCTTCACTGTTGTGCCTCAAAGCACTCTTCCTTTCTCTCTTACACCTCCCGGTGTTTTTGTTAGACTCTGTAATCTTTCTGTCTTCCAATAATAATTATACCCCCATGTAACTTTGGAAGCACTCTATCACTGATATCTCTACTCTATTTCACTTTATTAATCAGCTTTGCTTATATTGTGAATTTTTATAAGTTGGTGTGTGTGTGCATGTCTGTTTAAACCTTCATTTGCATGTTATTTTATTCGTCTAGAAATAAACTGCTAGCATAAATAAATGAATATCATTTAATTCTTTCTATAATCATATCCAATTATTTCTTTTCAGTTCATATTAATATTTTAAAGTGACTACCTAATTGCTCTTTAACATGGGAAGTTCCTATCTATAAGTAAGATTATTATGGCTGCAGTTATTCCTTTCTCTGTAACTGCAAAATTGGAAATAGTCTGAAAATGCAAAAAAAAATCAATTTAACTTTTTAAAATAAAAAATTATTTTCTTAAATATTGTCTTTCTGATTATGGAATATCTTAGTCTTCATTTATCCAAATGTTAACTCAAGGATGTATATAAAAGAACTCAGTAACTTGAAAAGCTATTACTTGTATCCACAGCTGGACAAATATCTCAATGAAGCATACAAAGGAAACTGTATAAAAATTCTACTGCCATAATGGTGCACACTATCTGGAATTGGGATACTTTTTTCTCCAATCTGTTTGCAAGTGAGCAGTTGGCAATGCATGGACAGACTTTGAGTTTATGCGATTCTTTCTTTAGGTACAGGAAAAATAAGAATGTTGATGAAAAAAAATGCAAGTTTTGAAGACTTCTTTCTTCTACTTGGATTTTCTAACTGGCCTCATCTGGAAGTAGTTCTCTTTGTGGTTATCTTGATCTTCTACTTGATAACACTGATAGGAAACCTGTTCATCATCATCCTGTCATACCTGGACTCCCATCTCCACACTCCCATGTACTTCTTCCTTTCAAATCTCTCATTTCTGGATCTCTGCTACACCACCAGCTCTATCCCTCAGTTGCTGGTGAATCTCTGGGGCCCGGAAAAGACCATCTCTTATGCTGGTTGTACGGTTCAACTTTACTTTGTTCTCGCACTGGGAACCGCAGAGTGTGTCCTACTGGTGGTGATGTCCTATGATCGTTATGCAGCTGTGTGTAGACCTTTGCATTACACTGTCCTCATGCACCCTCGTTTCTGCCGCTTGTTGGCTGCGGCTTCTTGGGTAAGTGGTTTTACAACCTCAGCACTTCATTCCTCCTTTACTTTCTGGATACCCCTATGTAGACATCGCCTAGTGGATCACTTCTTCTGTGAAGTTCCAGCACTTCTGCGATTATCATGTGTTGATACCCAGGCAAATGAGCTGACCCTCATGGTCATGAGCTCCATATTTGTTCTCATACCTCTCATCCTCATCCTCACTTCCTATGGTGCCATTGCCCGGGCTGTACTGAGCATGCAATCAACCACTGGGCTTCAGAAAGTGCTTAGGACATGTGGAGCCCATCTTATGGTTGTATCTCTCTTTTTCATTCCAGTCATGTGCATGTATCTCCAGCCACCATCAGAAAATTCTCAAGATCAAGGCAAGTTCATTGCCCTCTTTTACACTGTTGTCACACCTAGTCTTAACCCTCTAATCTACACTTTCAGAAACAAGGATGTAAGAGGGGCAGTGAAGAGACTAATGGGGTGGGAATGGGGGATGTGACAGGGAAATCATGTTGGCTGTTGTTTTTCCTAGGGTCTTATCCATTTTGAAAGGTTGTTTCCCTGCTTCTTTGTGATTTGTGTTTCATCTAACAGCTCACAAAACATGGAATAGTTCAGTTCCCCCATTTGTTGCTCTGTTTAATATTTAGTTCTGAAATATTATGTTGAGATAAAGGTTTTGATTAGTACCATTTTGTTCTTTTACAATTCTATATTTATTTCCATGAAAATTGTGGACTGTGGTTTCAACATAAATAAATGTGTGTGTGAATAATTATGAGGAGATTATTTAAAAAATATTGGCAATATTTCTGACAATGTGCTAAATTATGAACTGACCATTGATATGTATAGGAAGAGAAGGGCAATATTGCAAAGATGTAGGCTGAAGAAGTTTTTGGTTATTAAATAAACCTTAAATGAAGCTAAAAATAGTCACAGCAAAGAAAAATAGTAAACATAATGAATAACACCATTTATTATATGGTAAAGGATATGTCATAATTTTTTGGTTGAAGTTCACTTTTTAAAGACACTAAATTATATAATTTATCCTGTAGGTCTGCATTCTTGTCACATTGAACAGTAAACTAATATCTCTTTAAAATGGCTGATTCGTTCATCTGTCCATTTATTCATTAACTTATTCTTCATTAGCTAAATCTTACTGGACATGTACTCTCTCCCAGTTTGTGAAATTCTTGGTAACATGTATAAATATAACATACTTTGTCTGAACAGAATGCACTCTCTATCGGGAAAAATGGCAACATAAGATAAAAGATGAAGTATCTGTACATGGCTTAATTTGTCACTGGGGTTAATGCTAATAAATTAAGATAGCTTTTAAAAATCAGAAACAATATACTCTGATTACTCTTCAGATTGTATACATCTTTCACTTTTTAAAAATCGAAAGCAAAACAATAAGTTTGATAATAAACTCTGATAATAAATTCATAGCTCCTGTAGGAAGACAGTGCTATTAAATGAAACAAAGCAGAATATGTGCTTAATTTGCTTTAGTTGGCCTAGTTAATGACATATTAAAGATAGCTTAAAACTCTTAACATCCTTGTTCTTTGCTGAATAGCATTATTAAAAAAATTTCTTTATTTTGATTTTATTTTTTCCAGCTTTACTGAGGCACAAATAAAATAACATATATTTAATGTGCACAATGTGATTATATATAAATCAAACCAAATTGTGAAATTATTACCACAGTCAAATTAACACATCCATCATCTCACATCGTTACTGTGTGTAGGGGGAGCGGGGAGGGTCAGGACACTTAAGATCTAATCTCTAAGCAAATTTCAAGTATACAGTACAGTATTATTAACTATAGTCACCATAATCTACATTAGATCTCCAGAATGTATTCATCTTATGACAGAAAGTTTGTACCATTTGGCTGTCTCTCCACTTCCCACCCTCCAGCCCATGGCAACCACCATTCTATTCTCTGCTTCTATGGGTTCAGTTTTTTAATTTTTTTGATACACGGTCTCACTCTGTCACACAGGCTGGAGTGCAGTGGTGCGATCTTGGCTCACTGCAACCTCTGCCTCCCGGCTTCAAGCAACTCTCCTGCCTCAGCCTCCCCAGTAGCTGGGACTACAGGCACCCGCCACCACGCCCAGCTAATTTTTGTATTTTAGTAGAAACTAGTTCTCACCATGTTGGCCAGGCTGGTCTTGAACCCCTGACCTGAAATGATCCACCTGCCTTGGCCTCCCAAAGTGCTGGGATGACAGGCGTGAGCCACTGTTCCTATCCGAGTTCAATTTTTTTAGATTCCACATGTAAGTGTTATCATACATCTTTTGTCTTTCTGTGTGTGGTTTATTTCACTTAGCACAATATCCTCCAGTTCATCCATGTTATAACAAATGGCAGGATTTTCTTTTTATTGGCTGAATAATATTTCTCGCTGTGTGTGTGTGTGTGTGTGTGTGTATGAGATCACATTTTCTTTATCCATTCCTCCATCAATGGATGCTTAGGTTGTTTCTTCATCTTGGCTGTCATGAATAGTGCTGCAATGAACATGGGGGCATAGATACCTCTTCGGAATACTTACTTCATTTTTCTTGGATAAGTACCCAGTGGGATTATTGGGATCACATCACATCTCACACAGACTTCACAAAATATGAGAACATAGATTCCTCCTGCCTCCGTGGAAATCTTACCATTTGTAATATGTCATGTGTCACTCCAGCTTCTCAAGATCTACAAGACTCTTTTCTTTTCAAATTTATTGAAGTATAATTTATGTACAAAGAAATCTACACATTTTAAGTATATAGTTCAATGAATTTTTTTATATTTTCTTTTTATTGTATTTTTGTTAGACATCAAATATTGGATTTAATAAGCTATCGGAAAAAGTGTATAATTATAATCCTTTATACTGTAACAGTACTACACAACTTATAAAGCACATTAATATATTTTGTTTCATTAGAATTTTGGTCATCATAGAAACCCTAAAGCTTTGTTGACTATTAGCCTCTTGAAACAAAAGAAAAATAAGATATAAACATTATTGTTCCTATGTTAAAGATTAGGAAATTGAGTCTCAGAGAGATTAAGTAGTCTTGTCTAAATGCACGCACTAATAAATGGCAAATTTGAGTCTCAAAGACAGGTTTCTCAATATCAAATTGAAAGAATAGTTCAGTGAGTTTGACAAATGTATAATTGTGTAAATGCCACCACAATCAAGATTATAGGACATTTCTATTACTCCCCAAAGAACTTCCGTTTTGTAGTCAACTTTCCCCTTTTAGTCATAGCCTGAGGCAGCATTAATTTTCTCTAAATGTACTTGGTTTTTCCCACTTTTAGAATTTCAAATAATTGCAATCATGCAGTGTGTAATCTTTGGGTGTGGCTTGTTTCATTTAGCATGATGTTTTTGACATTTATTATGTTGCCACATGTATCAGTTACTTTTTCCTTTTTATTGCTTGTTAGAACTCCATTGTACGAATGTGCGACAATTTATCCATTTATCTGTGAAGGGCTTTGGGAGTATTTAAAATTTTTGGCTATTATGAATAATGCTGCTATGAAAATTTGTATACAAGTGTTTGTGTGGATGCATGTTTTCACTTAATTTGGGTAAATACCTTTTATTTGTACCTCTCCAGGAGGACCACATGCTTAGTGTATATTATCTTTATGAGATACTGCAAAAATGTTTTCAAGTGGCTGTTCTATTTTCACTTCAAACAGCAGTGTATGAGAGTTCCAAATGAACTCACATTCTTTCTAATACTTGGTATTGTCAGTTTTTATACTTTTCACCTCTCAAGTTAGGTTACCTGTGGCTATAATTTGCATTGAGGGGTGTTGACATTGACCATCCTCTTGTGTGCTTTTCATATGCTTCATATATGTTATTTTGTGTAGCTTCTGTTCAAATATTTTACTCACTTTAAAAATTGGGTCATTTGTCTTCTTATTGTTGAATTTGAAGTTCTTTGTATACTCTGAACTCAAGTCCTTGGTCAAACAAATCTTTTGCAAATAGAATACTGTCATATCTTTCAAAGAGAAAAATTTTAACTTTAATAAAATACAGTGTGTCATTTCCACAGAAAAAGCCTGGTGGCATTTTGATTGGGGATTGCATTGAATTTATAGACCAATTGGAGAAGAACTGGCAACTTGACAACATTGACTTTTCTGATCTGGGGACATGATATAGATCTCCATTTACTTACATCTTATTTTCTTTCAGAAGCATTTGAGGTTTTCATTGTATAGCTATTGTCCATATTTTGTTAAAGTCACCTCTATGTATTTCATGTTTTTAGATACCACTATAAATTGTATAGAAATATGACTGATTTTTTTCCATCGTCTGTTTTATTTTATTTTATTATTATTTAAGTTCTAGGGTACATGTGCACAACGTGCAGGTTTGTTACGTAGGTATACATGTGCCATGTTGGTTTGCTGCATCCATCAATTAATCATTTACATTAGGTATTTCTCCTAATGCTATCCCTCCCGCATCCCCCCCACCGCCCCCACAGGCCCTGGTGTATGATGTTTCCCCCCAGGTCCAACTGTTCTCATTGTTCAATGCCCACCTATGCGTGAGAACATGTGGTGTTTGGTTTTCTGTTCTTGTGATAGTTTGCTGAGAATGATGGCTTCCAGCTTCATCCATGTCCCTGCAAAGGACATGAACACATCCTTTTCGATGGCTGCATAGTACTCCATGTTGTATATGTGAATTTTCTAGGCCTTAACTCCAACTGAGCTTCCCATCTACAATGCTTTAATAGTTTGTGATCTACTCTAATTCACATTCCTCCCATACAAAGCACTCAAATTAACAGAAGCTCAACAGAGATCATTTAGTGTCTTTTATTCCTTTTGATTCCTCAGATGTGACTTTCAATGTGTTTTATTTATCTGAGTGTGTATTGTAGAGAAAAAAGTTGAGGGTTGCTTCCTTAGAAATACTTTGCTGTAATTAAATCATGTTATGCCAGCTGTATTTTCACAAGTTACTAACATCACACCTAAAAATGTTAACATTTGCTGGCACCCAGTAGATTGGCAGGGGCCAAAAACTCTCCTACAATTCTAGTTACCAAAACATGAAAAATATTGGAGCTTGGTACAATCTCCTACAGACCAGGATATCAGACATTTCCTGGATTTTGATAACTGATTGAATTCTGCTAGTCCCCACAGGTTGTAGGATCACTGGTCAAATTCCTCTCCAATAAGATAGAGAAGTTTAGACATATGATTATATGACTATTTAATCATATTTATCTTAAAAATAATATTTAATATATTTTAAAGTAAACTGGAATGATATATACCAAGCTCATGGTAGTTGTCTCTGGATTTAGTGTTGGGTCAGAGAGTGACAGTTGAAGGGGATATGAACTTTATCTGTGATACTTTATGTGCTAAAAATTCTGAAAATAAAAATGACAAAAGTTATGGTTGATGATTCTGAATGATGGGAACATAAGGGTTTATTTTTAATATTTTAAATATCTAAAATAAAGGATGAAGAAATAATATAGAATGACTTGTTAAAATATCACTTCAAATTAAAATTCACTATAATGGTAATAGCAGCTAACATGTATTGAATGATTATGCACTAGGCATCGAGGATAATGTTTACGTATTTTTCACATGGAGTTTTCACAACAATCAAGACTACTGAAGCCAAGACTGTTTTCAGTTGCTTCACATAAGTGGACAGGAAAATACCTGATCATGCTCTTAAAAGTACTGACTTTAAAATATAATTGTATTGTAAATGTGACTTGATTTTCATACCAAGACTTTGTCTGGTACACATGGAATATATCACCTAGACACAATGTAACAATTGAAAAATCTTCATTAGTTTATAAACTCACGATGTGCTTTTTTTTTTAAACATGGGATGTAGGCTAGCTATCACAGCTAATTTAGCTTTTTTATATATTTCTGCAAAGCTTTTAACAAGACATCAAAAGAAATTATTGATAACAATATTTTGGAAATATTAAATAATTTTGTTAAAAGTTTTCTGAGTTTGGTAGTGACCTTCTGAGTATAGTTTGAATGGTCTTCAAAGGTAATTTTTAACACTTTTGCAGGGCTGAACTTGGCCTTGAATTTTAGAGATGTTAGACACAATTAAAAATTCAAATTAATAAAACAAATATGTATAATGTAGTCATTATATTTCCTTTTAAAAAATGTTTCATGCCTTTTCCCATTCCCAAATTAGACTACCTAACAAGCTATATCTCAAATTTGGCCTCTAGCATACTGAAGAATTGGGGAAGAGGTTTCAGGTAACTCAAGATAACCCATTCCCTTCCCTGCAGATACAGCTCAAAGTATTTTTCTCTGCTATGGCTGGACTATAGATTCCTTGTCATCCTCGTACAACAATGTGGCATCATGCCAAGAACATCACTGAGAAACTGTTCTAACCAGGATAACTCCTTGAAGGGCATTAATTGCTACTTTGGGATTTACCCTCCCAGTGGCCCAAGTCAAGGAAAGCAAGTCACATTCTTTTGTTTCCAAAAAGGGCCCATTGACTCTAAGATAAAGACCCATCCCTTGATACACTGAAAGCTCTAATAAGTTTATCTTTTGGGTAAAACTAAATTTTTTTAGTAGACTCAGAGCTTTCTCTTCTGTAGCAATGATAGTCATAGCTACATTCAGACTGTTTTCCTAATTGATGTAGTAGATGAGGGAAGTGTAGGCATTTATGTTGGTGATTTCAAGGTGATCAAAATCAGAGATCAGATCAGTCTGTGCATGATGAGGGCATCAGCTAGGAAGACAATATACAGGGAATGTGGACAGATACAGGAAGGACAGAGTGAAAGGCATTGTTTGAGTACTGCTTAAGTACTAGGTAATATATAAAGAAATATTATGGTAAGAATAAAAAAACTTGGCCAGTGACATGGGGATGGGGAAAAGAGATTATTTTCTCCCTCCGTTATACCTGATTTCCAAAACTAGAGAGGATCACTTATTCCTAGTCCATGAAAGCAACTTTTAACTTTTAATTTTTGTGGGTACACAATAGGTGTATGCATTTATGGGGTACATGAGATTTTTTTTGATAATTTCTTTCTTTTTATTTTTTGTAGAGACATGGTCTCACTTCATTGCCCAGGCTAGTCTCGAACTTCTGGGCTCCAGAGATCCACCCACCTTGGCCTCCCAAAGTGTCAGGATTACAGGTGTGAGCCACGGCACCCGACCCAGGTATTTTTGATACAGGCATACAATGTGTAATAATCACAGCAGGCTAAATGGGGTATCCATCACCTCAAGCATTTATCCTTTCTTTGTGTTAAGGATAACTTAAACTTTTGATATGGCTTTTGATAAGGCTTTTAACTTTTGATAAGGCTTTTATTTTCTGCTCCACCAGGAAGAAGAAAATTAACCCAGAAAAATTCCTACCTTTTCCTTGCTTGCATCTGGTAAGTTTTTGTTTGTTTGCTTCTTATCTCATATCTCATTCTAACCTCTCTATGTAAGATTGCTCAAAGATGGGTCATGCAATTGGCAAAGGTATCTCACAGCTAAATGTTGTTTTAGTTAATGTAATAAATTATCGAGGCAACTGTACAAGAAAGAAGAAAATTTTATCTGCATGAGAGAAGGTAACTATAACATTTGTGTTCATATTTCTCATGATGTATTATCTCCTATTCTAGAGAAATTTTTAAAAATCTCTTGGAAAATTTTCATCTTCCCTCAAGGGCTGTGACCTCTAAGTCAAGTAATCTTCATGATTTACTCTTTGACTATTGCTGCTTTTTGATTCAGCTATAGCTTTTAAAATTTTCTTTTAAAACAATGTGCAGACTGATTTTCCTGGATGGTTGTTTAAGTTGTTGAAAGTAATCTAGATTAGTGTAACAACTGGCTAATGATTATTTACATTACCAAGTCTGTTAAAAGGTCTGAGGTCAATCTTTTAATCTTGGGACCAAACTGAATGTTCCAAACTTTTCTGCTGAAACTCAACCAATTAGCTACTCCTGACATTTCTTTCAGGCATTGAATTTATAAAACATGAGCGATTAAGAGACCCCTAAAAGAGGCAATCACAGGTGGCCCCACAATGATTTCTTTCTTCCTGTGCCATAGCCAATTGGGAGGTATAAGAAAAATAACTGACTGTGGAAGGAATGAAATAGAGGGCATGTGGCAAAGCTGGAAGAGGCAAAGAATTCAGAGAAAATGGGGTATTTAAATGGTGGGTTGCTATGCCTGACACAATAACTATATAACAAAAATAAGTATCATTTTTTTCTATGAAAGATTGAAAACTCACTGGAGAAAAAGCATCACCTAGGAGTCATAACTATTTGTAAGATATATTTTATTTTTAACAAAAAAAGTAACATGAGATTCACTGGGCACAATGTATTAAATGATGAACAGCCACTTAATGATTCATTAAATATTCAGAACTCTCTAACTTGGAGAATAAATATGTACTAATTATAGCTCATGCTCAGAATTTATATACTATCTAAATTATTGTCCTGGAGAAAAATACATCATGTAGAAACCTTCTTCAGGCCCTGTGGTTCAGCTTCTTGAACGCTGTGATAGACACACCTGCAACTCTAAGAACTACACTCAGGTTCTCCTCCATTTTCCTGCCCCTCCCACTTTTCCTTCCTTCTCTGTTCTCTCACTGAATTTTTATCTTCCTTTCCTTTCTGTAAAGTTTGAATCTTTTCAAATTCAGTTGTAGTCACACATCCTTTAGAAAGCATTCTATCACTGTTCTCCCCAGATTTTTAGCTTAGTTCGTATCATGAATACCCATATATTGATGAGCAAGTGTCTGTGTCTTCTCTACTTGTATTCAATTTTTCAGTTTAGAAATACATTTTGAGTCCAAGTAAACAAATCACAAGATAAGATTCTTATCTAATTGAAGCTAAACATTTTTTCTTTAGGCGAACATTTTGAAATGACTAAATTCAATATTTTCCACATATCTTTTCATCCATATGTAAGATTATTGTGATTGCAATGATTACGTTTTCCACAATCACATTTAAGAAAATAACCTGAAAATGCTGAAAAGAAAACTAAAGTTCCTTATTTATTAACAAAGAAAGATTTTGTGTTTTATGGAAATTATCTTCCTTAGCTAGGTTAGGAATTTCCTTCAATTACCATTTACCTAGATGTCACCCTAAAATGAATGAGAACTTGATAGTTATTTTTCTATAATAAGGCAAACATCTAAATAAAATATAAAATTAAAAAATTATTTTGTATTTTTGTGACTTTTTATTATGGTAAAATTTCAAACTTAGAGAAGAGTTGCAAAAAAGTAGTACAAAAGACTAACATTTACCCTTTTACCAGATTGAGTATTAGTTTACATTTTCCCCCAAAGCTTTGTTATATCATCTATCAACTATCTATCTATTTATCTATCTATCTATCTATCTATCTATCTATCTATCTATCTACCTATCTATCTCTTTTTCTGGGCTAGTTGAGAGTAAGTTGGAGATGACACGTTCCTTTATGCCAAATACTTTATTCAGTGTTTTTTGTCTAAGGAAAAGGATGTTACTTTACATAAGTCCAGCACAGTACCCAAATCAGCAAACTTAATATGGGCACAATATTATTATCTAATCCATAGTCCACACTGAGATTTCTTAAATTGTCTCAATAATTTTGTTAATAGCTAGTTTTTGAAAAAATCCAGGATTGTACACTGAGAAATCACATCTCACTAGTCTCTTTTCATCTGGACCAGTTCCTCACCCTTTGTTTTTCTACTTAAACTTGATACTTTTCTGAATTGTATAGGCAAGCTATTTCTCTCAATTTGAGTTTTTCTCATGTGTCTTCATTATTAGAATTAGTCTTCATTATTAGAATTTTTAACACAAATATCACTGAAGTGACAGCATGTCCTGTTCAGAGCATCATCACAGCAGGCTCATGATGTTGGTTTGTGCAAATACAGTTGATCTTAAGATCAATAAAATCACTGGTTATGGTGGTGTCTGACAGGTTTTTCTACTACAAACTTTACTGTTTTTCAGTTTGAAATTAACTAGAAAGTTGTGAGGAGATATTTTAGACTATTTTAGATATTTGTACATATTCTGTTCCCCATCAAATTTTTATCCACTAGTTTTTGCAATCATTTATGTTTTTCTTAACACCGTCACCCCTTCTATATTTGTTAATTAGGGATCTACTGTAAGGAATAGCTTTATCTTCACCATTCATTTATTTATTCTTTTACTTTTTATATCAGTATGAGCTTTATAATTCTTCTTTTGTTAAATTCATTACTACTAATGGTTAAATTGTCCTACAATTAAATGATGGCAAGCCCTTCAAACTGGCTTTTATTTTTTATTCATGTGTGCTGATATTTTTGGATCATTTGTTTACTCGTTTTTTGAGTTTACCTTTCTTTTTTTTCTCTCAGGTAATAGGAAATGAATGATGATGGAAAAGTCAATGCTAGCTCTGAGGGGTACTTTATTTTAGTTGGATTTTCTAATTGGCCTCATCTGGAAGTAGTTATCTTTGTGGTTGTCTTGATCTTCTACTTGATGACACTGATAGGAAACCTGTTCATCATCATCCTGTCATACCTGGACTCCCATCTGCACACACCAATGTACTTCTTCCTTTCAAACCTCTCATTTCTGGATCTCTGCTACACCACCAGCTCTATCCCTCAGTTGCTGGTCAATCTCTGGGGCCCGGAAAAGACCATCTCTTATGCTGGTTGCATGATTCAACTTTACTTTGTTCTCGCACTGGGAACCACAGAGTGTGTCCTACTGGTGGTGATGTCCTATGACCGTTATGCAGCTGTGTGTAGACCTTTGCATTACACTGTCCTCATGCACCCTCGTTTCTGCCACCTGCTGGCTGTGGCTTCTTGGGTAAGTGGTTTTACCAACTCAGCACTTCATTCCTCCTTCACCTTCTGGGTACCTCTGTGTGGACACCGCCAAGTAGATCACTTTTTCTGTGAAGTTCCAGCACTTCTGCGATTATCGTGTGTTGATACCCATGTCAATGAGCTGACCCTCATGATCACAAGCTCCATATTTGTTCTCATACCTCTCATCCTCATTCTCACTTCTTATGGTGCCATCGTCCGAGCTATACTGAGGATGCAGTCAACCACTGGGCTTCAGAAAGTGTTTGGAACATGTGGAGCTCATCTTATGGCTGTATCTCTCTTTTTCATTCCGGCCATGTGCATGTATCTCCAGCCACCATCAGGAAATTCTCAAGATCAAGGCAAGTTCATTGCCCTCTTTTATACTGTTGTCACACCTAGTCTTAACCCTCTAATCTACACCCTCAGAAACAAAGTTGTAAGAGGGGCAGTGAAGAGACTAATGGGGTGGGAATGAGCCTGTGTATGTGTCATATTAACAATATAACAGAGTCTCCCCTCACAATGATTCATCCTTCTATTTATTTATCAACCATTCTTTTATTCACTCACTCTGTTAGCACTTGCTGAGCATGTACTCTAACAAGGTCGTGGAGTTCCTGGTAACAGGTAGGAATAAAACACAGTCAGCCTAAATACCATTCACTTGTGGAGAAAACAGCTATGTAAAATCAAGATAAAACATCTATAGTGATGTTTTTCCATGGTACAAACCTAATGTATCCAAGACAGACATTTCTCGATTGAAAATAAGGCATGAAATTTGTTGTAAATCTTGATAAAAGCGAAGCTGTAAATCCTATGAAAAGATGATACTCTCAATTTAAAAATCTCTACAATATGTCTTTTAATTTCTTGCTTTTTGGGCAGAATACTTTTGTCTTCTATCTTTAGTTTAGTTAAATACACAGCAAAATACTTCAAATCCTTTTCTCCAACAATGCTTATTCTTTGTCGGATAGTAAATTTTGAGAGGAATTTTGGTCCATATTCTTTCATATCCAGTATCAATAGTAGAACAATAAGTTTTATGAATTGTAGTAAGAGAGGCTTTGAAACAGTATAGCAGAAGTCAGCATCTGAGATCCCTCTTTTTTGCAAGGCAGTGAGAAATATATAGGAAGTAAAAGGAGCTGGTAAAGCTGAGCTATGGAGCTTATAAACAAATGGTCATCATAGGCTAGGTATACTTAGGTGAGGTAAGTGCTTGGAGCAACTGCATTACCTAAGGAACTAAGGAAAACATTTGAGGCAAATAGAGAGGCTCTGAAAATGACTTGAAGCCAATGGGTGTATGAAAGAATTATGTGAAAATATATTGGAAAAATTTTATGATAGAAACTGTCATATGGAAAATGATAGCTTATTTTTATTTTAAAGCTTGATCTAATTTGAGTATTTATGGTTAATAAGTATATTATGTATGTCAATATATGTGTTTCAAATAAAGAAATCTATTTTATAGAAGTAATCATTTTGTTTTATATATTATTGTCAACCATCTTCGTTTGAAATAATTGCGCTATACCTAGAGCAATTTAAACTGACAGTCATAGTCAAATGAAGCGGAAAAATGGCTAAAGGAGAATTCAGTATAAAGTAACGTACTTGCAATGCCTGAGTTTTCTCTATAACTCAAATGTCAGCTGTAGCTTTTGAGGCCTGTGAGATTTAGATATGATTGATTCACACACTATTTCCTAAATTATTATAAAAATAAAAACGCATCTCAGAACTTCCCTCCAATTTCTAGTGTGACTTGCAATTGCATTGATTCTGCTGACTTTATCTTCCTTCTGCATCTCTGACTCTTCCTTTATTTCTAACTAGGCATGAAAAATATGAGGCATGTGCCCTTGTCCTTAACCTTACCCAAGAAGTGAAGAACCAAGAATAATGTATGTAAAATGACTTTTAGCAAGAATTGGGACCACATACGGTAAAACATCACATAAAAACACATTTTTAAAAACTTAAAGAACATAACTTCGCCCTTTGAACTGTTTTCTACTATGGAAATCTTACGATTTGGAGCACTTACGGTAGCATCCTGGTTTCTCACCTACTCAAATATCCCCCCCCTCCCCATCTTTATTAAGGATAAGTGAAAAAAATGTATTTATTTATAATATACAGCATAATGTTTTGACATATGCATAATTATGCAATTATTACTCAAGCTAATTAACAGATCATTAACTCACATACTTACCTGTTTTGTGGTGAGAACATTTAGGATCTATTATCTTAGCAGTTTTCAACTATGCAGTACAGTATTATTAGCTATAGTCACCATACCGTAGAATAGATCTCTTGAATTTGTTCCTTCCATCTGAAACTTTGTACCCTTTGACCAATATCTCCCCATTTTCCCTATTTCTCTCCACTGCTAACCCCTGACAAGCATCTTTCTGCTACTCTGTGCTTCTATGATTCATTTTATGTCGATTTCACATATGAGATCATGCAGTATTTGTTTTTCTGTGCCTGGCTTATTTTACTTAGCAAAATGTCTTCAGGTTTGCCATGTTGTTGAGAATATTAAGACTTCCTTCTTGTTTTCAGGCAGAATAGTATTCTATTATATATATACTACACTTTCTTTATTCACTCATTCATTGACAGACACTTAGATTGATTCAATACCTTGGCTATTATGAATTTGCTGTCATAAAGATGGGTGTATAGATAGCTTTTCAACATAGTGATTTAATTCTTTTGGATATATACCTAGAATATATACAAATGGATCATACGGTAGTTCTATTTTTATTCATTTATTTTTAATTTATATATTTATTTATTTATTTATTTTTTATTTATTTATTTATTTATTTTTATTATACTTTAAGTTTTAGGGTACATGTGCACATTGTGCAGGTTAGTTACATATGTATACATGTGCCATGCTGGTGCGCTGCACCCACTAACTCGTCATCTAGCATTAGGTATATCTCCCAATGCTATCCCTCCCCCCTCCCCCCACCCCACCACAGTCCCCAGAGTGTGATATTCCCCTTCCTGTGTCCATGTGATCTCATTGTTCAATTCCCACCTATGAGTGAGAATACACAGTGTTTGGTTTTTTGTTCTTGCGTTAGTTTACTGAGAATGATGATTTCCAATTTCATCCATGTCCCTACAAAGGACATGAACTCATCATTTTTTATGGCTGCATAGTATTCCATGGTGTATATGTGCCACATTTTCTTAATCCAGTCTATCATTGTTGGACATTTGGGTTGGTTCCAAGTCTTTGCTATTGTGAATAATGCTGCAATAAACATACGTGTGCATGTGTCTTTATAGCAGCATGATTTATAGTCCTTTGGGTATATACCCAGTAATGGGATGGCTGGGTCAAATGGTATTTCTAGTTCTAGATCCCTGAGGAATCGCCACACTGACTTCCACAATGGTTGAACTAGTTTACAGTCCCACCAACAGTGTAAAAGTGTTCCTATTTCTCCACATCCTCTCCAGCACCTGTTGTTTCCTGACTTTTTAATGATTGCCATTCTAACTGGTGTAAGATGGTATCTCATTGTGGTTTTGATTTGCATTTCTCTGATGGCCAGTGATGATGAGCATTTTATATATTTAATTTAACTTAATTTTTTGAGATGGAGTCTTGCTCTGTTTCCCAAGCTGGAGTGCAGTGGTGGGATCTCTGCTCACTGCAAACTTTGCCTCCCGGGTTCAAGCGATACTCCTGCCTCAGCCTTCTGAATAGCTGGGACTACAGGTGTGTGCCACTGCACCGAGGTAATTTTTGTATTTTTAGTAGATATGCGGTTTCACCATGTTGGCCAGGCTGGTCTCAAACTCCTGACCTCGGATGATCTGCCCGCCTCGGCTTCCAAAGTGCTGGGATTACAGTTGTGAGCCACCCTGTTTGGCAATATTTTTAATTTATTTAGGAACCTTCACAGTGGTTTTCATCATGGCTGTCCTAATTTACATTTCCAAAAACAGTGTATAAGGATTCCCTTTTCTGCATATTCTTCTCAACATCTGTTATCCTTTGTCTTTTTTCATAATAGACATTCTAACTGATGTAAGGTATGAGGTGATATCTACTGGTGTGGGCCTGGACTTTAGGTCCACTGGAGCCTAGAGCAGTGGGGACCATCCCCCTGAAGCCTGGAGCTGGTGTGGTGCTAGAGTGGAACTTACTGCCTTGGGGGCTGGTCTGGAGTCCGGGTTTATGGGGCCCAGCTTATATGTACTGGTCTGGAGGCTAGATCCTTGGGTACTGGCATGGGTCTTGGGGCTACAGAGTCTGACCTGGGGGGCCAACTGGCACTGGAAAGTCCTATTTTGCCATTTTATTGATACCACTTCTCACTATCTAAATTCTTTTTTTTTCTTTTTAACTTTCTGTGCTCTTTTCTCCTTTTTCTCTTACAAAACATATACATTTTCTTTTATATGTATAGACTTTTCATTTTCTTTTGGGAGGTTATAATTATAGTATATCTAATGTTGAATCCTAGCCATATTAGCCTGTGCTGTGTAATTTGTAATCTGAGAAATAGATCAGTTACCAAAAATTCCACCAAAGATTAACACTGGTATTACTGTTTTTATTGTTTTGTACTTTTCAAACCAGTCGAACAGACTTTATGCAGTATTATCACAGATAGGACAACAGGAATGAGTTTTCTCACTTTATCAAACTGAAGGGAAGAAAATAGGTGGCTTGTATAACTTCTGGCAACTTGTATGTGAAAAAATCAGGGTAAGGACAATACATTTTTAGCTCTGACAACCCATTCCTATGTCAACAACACTGAAGGCAAAATAGAAGCCCTGAGATGCTCCCCTTGTCAGCCCTAAACCTTATGAAAACATTTGTGAACTGGGATTTCCAAAGCACACATGAATTTGTATGGCAAGCAACTTTACTGAAGAACTAACAGTGAAGCCAGCTTTTTCCCAGATAGGAATGAAGGCTAACCTCATGGAAGCATCAGCTTCTTTTGCCCTGTAAATTTCTCCTCCCCATTCAGACAGATGTCTCCCAGTCTTTGTCCACTGTATCTTATACTTGTTGCTGTGCAGCATATTCTTATATACATGCTCAATTATCTTTTCTTATTTTAACTCTGCAGTACAGAATTGTTGGCACAAATATGTCATCCAGGTAATCACAGAAAGTAGCTCTGGCTTCCAGCCTAGGTACACTCCGTCTGTATTCTGCTATGTAGCTCAGGTTCATATCTCCTATTTTACATATGTGAGGCTGGAAAGGTGATTAGTGATCATATATTATGAAAACACTACATGATTTCAAACATAAGTTTCAAATACAAGTGATTATATACCAAGTATCATCCAACAATCACAAAAAAACTCATGGAAAAGTTATAAAAATAGTAGAAAGACTTACCATTGAGCTTCACCAGATTTAAAAAATCTTAGCATTTCAACATGTATGGTTTATCATTCTCACTTTATACTAATGTTAATATGCATTTAAATTTTTTTTCTAAACTATTACGCTGTAATGCACATGTTCCCCTAGGTTGTCACAAGAATATTTCCTAAAAAAGTATCTAATCCAGGATCATAAGGTGGCAGTGTGATGTCTCTTTTTTCTCTTTAATTGGGAACCATTCCTCAGTCTGTCTGTCTCTTCAATGCACCTTATAGTTTTGAAGAGTGCAGGCCGGCCATTTACTTTAACAAAATAATTGTTTTTAACAAATAAGGGGGATTTATTGCTTATAAAACCAAAAAGTTCAGCAGTAGTGTGGGCTTCAGGTATAGCTTGATCAGTGCTCTGGATCAATATCTCTGCAGTTTCCTCAGCTATGTCCTCTTCCATGTATTGGATTTGTCATCAAGTTGATTCCCCTCACAATCACGAAACATTGTCAGCAATAATCAGGCCTATATGCTTCCTTGTTCACATTCAAGAGGTTGAATATCATCCTATAATCAATGAACAAAAATGGCTCTTTATACAGAGCTTCATACTGACGCATAAGTTGTCTGCACATTCCTGGCAACATGTTTGGGACAAGGGGCGAAAATGCAATGATTGGCTGAGATTAATTGGGGGCCACTTCTGAAGCCAGGTTTTCAGTGAAAGGGCCATATATGCAAAGCCATCTCTCAAATGCACAAAGAGCAGATAAATCAAAGAAGGAGGCAGACAAATCTAGCTTGTTGGTTTGGGGTGATTTACTAAAGGAATTTACAGACATATATGTTGTCTTGGGTGGCCACAACATAGTTAGATTTTGCACTGCAGTCCTCCAGATCTAGGGCTTATCTTTTGAGGAAAGTATACTTGCTCTGAAAGAAACATGTAGGTAGCTACAGGTGCCATGGACTATGCTTCCTACAACAGCGTCAAGGGTTGTTTTGGAGGAAACTTACAGTGAATACATGTTCCTACATAAAGAGTAATATATCAACTTAACATCTTATAGGGACTCAGGGTTATTCAGAAGTTACACGGCAGATTAGCATTTAAAATAAAGTCACTCTTGCTCCTGCACTGGGGGTGGGGTTAATTTCATCCAAAGCACATGCTACACAGTGTAGGTGAGATGGGATAACTATTGGGAGGCAACAGTAATATCATAGTCTCTATTGTCTGCATGAGAAAACTGACCACAACAGAGCTAGTAAGTGATGAAGCTTGGATTCAAATGTGGGCTTTCTAACTTCATAGTTTGTTCTTAATCACTAGGCAATTGTTCCTCCCTATAGACATCTGAACTCTTTAAAACAAGAAGGTGAGGATTCAGTATGTACATTTCTTGGCTCTTTGCAACTTGTCATGGGAAGGTCTTCATTTTCTCCTATTCTTTGTTTTAACACCTAATATTTGAACCACACTGAATTTATCTTACTCTCTTACTGTCCTGAGGATGTTCACAAGAACTTTTCCTTCAAGGTTAAAATGTGTCACTCATACCTCAACCAAACATTTCATATTTGCAGCAATTATGCTTATTCACATAAGGTTGTAAATTCCTCAAGGCTCAACCAATGGCTGAGAAGTGTTTTGGGCCACTGTACCTTTAACAGGCCATTGGTGCATGAAGAACATCAGCGACAATGTCATTCTCCTAGACCACTGGGCAGTATCTGCCATATGTAGGCCAGTCGTTATTTTTTATTACCATTATTACTAATTTTTACTATTATTACTATAGTGGTTTCCAAATAATGATTCTTAAAGTTCCATCATTCCTTCTAAACTTATTAGTTTGTGTGGTAGGCTAAATACTTCCTCTCCTTGTCGCAAATGATCACACCCTAACCTCTGGGACTTGTTATTATATGTTACTTTACATGGCAAAAGGATTTTTATAGATGTGATTAAATTCAGAACCTTGAGTTGGGATTATTATCCTGAATTAGCCAGGTGGGCTGACATAGTCATATGTGTTCATATAAGAGGGAGGCCAGAGGTCAGAGAGAAGATAGTCTGCTGCTGACTTTAAAGAAACAGGAATGGGCCATGAGCCAAGGAAAACAGGTTGCTTCTAGAAGCTGGAGTAGTTGAGAAAACAGATTCTCTCTGAAAGCCTACAGAAGAAATGCAGCCCTGTAGACCCAATTTAGTATTCCTATCTCCAGATACATGATATTTTTGTTATTTTAAACACCAAATTTGTAGTAATTTGTTATAGCAACAATGGAAAACTAATAGAGTTGGCATTCTATATGAAGGAATAGCTTTCCTTTTTCCTGTGTGTGTGTGTGTGTGTACGTGTGGGTATCAGGTATTATTTATCTATGTGTCTACCTATATATCATAATATGGTCTTATGCATTATTATTTCATTCTGTCATTATTTTGATGCTGAAATGGTCACTGTTTTGGCTAGAGAGGACCCCTTCCAGTTGGCTCATATATCTTTTTTATATGTCTCCATACTTCTTAAGGCCAAGATGGGCAGATCACAAGGTCAGGAGGTCCACACCATCCTGGCTAACACGGTGAAACCCCATCTCTATTAAAAATACAAAAAAATTAGCTGGGCGTGTTGGCGGGCGCCTGTAGTCCCAGCTACTCGGGAGGCTAAGGCAGGAGAATGGTGTGAACCCGGGAGGCGGAGCTCGGTGCCACTGCACTCCAGCCTGGGCAACAGAGCGAGACTCCGTCTCAAAAAAAAAAAAAAGAATTTCTTACTGTTGGCAAACTGAGACGATCTTAACATATCTGACACTTTTCTTTGGGAGGAATAGATAACTTTGTTTATCTTAGGTCAAATGACAAAAACTTTGAATAAAGTACTGGGGTTTCCTAATGAACAATTCACTAGAAATGCATGGAATAGATAACACCAAGGCATGGTAATATTGTTGACAAATATTTATTTAGTTATAACATCACATTTCTTTACCCACTCAGGAAATGGAAAGTTTTTGTATTGTGCTTGAGAGTGAGGCAATGGTGAAGAACAGTGACTGGCTATGGGTTTGGGGAGTCATTTGGCAGGAGTGTAAATCCTTGAAATTTGAAAATCTTTCAAATTATCTTGATTCTCCTCAACAAAATACTAGCAAACCAAATCGAACAGCACATAAAAACCTAATTTCTTAGCTTTTTGATGAAATAGCTGTTTCCTCACCTTTTCTATCGTCTAGAGGTAACCTACATTCCTTGGCTCATGGCCCATTCCTCTATATTTAAAGTCAGCAGCGGAGTATCTTCCCTTTGACTTCTGGCCTCCCTCTTATATGGACACGTGTGATTGTGTCAGCTCACTTGCCTAATCCAGGATAATATCCCCATCTCAAGATTCTGAATTTCATCACATCTATAAAGTCCTTTTGCCATGTAAAGTAACGTATAATCACAGGCTCCACAGATTAGGGTGTGATCATTTGCATCCCAGGGAAAAAGCCTACCATGATCCCTTGTGTCCCAGGGATAAAGCCCACGATGATCAAGTAGGCTTTATCCCTGATAGGAAAGGTTGGTTCAACATATGCAAATCAATACATGTGATTCATCACATAAACAGAAATGAAAACAAAAACCACATGATTATCTCAATACACGCAGAAAAGGCTTTCAATAAAATTCAACATCCCTTCATGTTAAAAACCCTCAATAAACTAGGCATTGAAGGAACATACTTCAAAACAATAAGAGCAATCTGTAAAAAACCCACAGCCAACATCATACTGAATGGGCAAAAGCTGGAAGCATTCCCCTTGAAAACTGGCACAAGACATGGATGCCCTCTCTCACCACTCCTATTCAACATAGTACTGGAAGTCCTGGCCAGAGCAATCAGGCAAGAGAAAGAAATGAAAGGCATCCAAATAGAAAGAGAAGAAGTTAAACTATTCTTGGTAGCAAAAGACATGATTCTGTATAAAGAAAACCCCATAATCTTGGTCCAAAAGCTCCTTGATCTGATAAACAACTTTAGATAAGTTTCAGGATATAAAATAAATGTACAAAAATTTAGCATTCCCATACATCAACAACATCTAAGCTGAGGCCTAAATCAGGAATGCAATCCCATTCACAACTGCCACAAAAAGAATAAAATACCTAGAAATACTGCTAACCTAAAAGGTAAAACATCTCTACAATGACAATTACAAAACACTGCTAAAAGAAATCAGAAGTGACACAAGGAAATGGAAAAAACATCCCATGCTGATGGATACTAAGAATCAGTATCATTACAATGACCATACCGTCCAAAGCAATTTATAGATTCAATGCAATTTGCTATCAAACTACCAATGACATTGTTCACAGCATTAGAAAAAAACTATTTTAGAATTTGTATGGAATTAAAAAAGAGCCCTAATAGCCAAGGCAATCCTAAGAAAAAAGAACAAAGTTAGAGGCATCACCTTACTCAAATGATACCAGAGGGCTACAGTATCCAGAACAGCATGATACCGGTACAAAAACAGATATATACACCAATGGAATAGAATAGAGAACCCAGAAATAATGCCACACATCTACAAATATCTGATCTTCAACAAAGCTGACAAAAACAAGCAATGGGGAAAGGACTCCCCATTTTATAAAGGGTGCTGAGATAAGTGACTAGCTCCATGCAGAAGATTGAGACTGGATGCCAAACTTGCACCACATACAAAAATCAATTCAAGATGAATTAAAGACTTAAATGTAAAAATGAAAACTGTTAATATAAAAACTCTGAAGATAACCTAGGAAATATCATTCTGGACATAGGACTTGGCCAAGATTTCATGCCGAAGATGCCAAAAGCAATTGCAACAAAAACAAAAATTGACAAATGAGGCCTATTTAAACTAAAGAACTTCTCACAGTAAAAGAAACTATCAACAGTGGAAACAGACAGTCTACAAAATGAGAGAAAATATCTGCATACAATGCATTTGACAAAGGTCTAATATCTGGCATCTAGAAAGAACTTAAACAAATTTATAAGAAAGAAACAATGCCGTTTAAAAGTCAGCAAAAGACATAAACAGACACTTTCCAAAAGAAGATACACATGCGGCCAAGCATATGAAAAAATGCTCAATATCATTAATCATTAGAGAAATGCAAATCAAAACCGCAATGAGATACCATCTCGTACCAGGTGGAATGGCTATTATCAAAAAGTCAAATTATTAATAACAGATACATCAAGGTTATGGAGAAAAGGGAATGCTTATACACTGCTGGTGGGAATGTAAATTACCTTAGCTATTGTGGAAAATGGTGTAATGATTCCTCCAAGAACTTAAAACAGAACTACTCTTCCACCAAGCAATCCCATTAGCGGGTATATACCCAAAGGAATATAAATCATTCTACCATAAAGACATATGCACGAGTATGTTCATTGCAGCACTGTTCACAACAGCAAATACATGAAATCAACCTAAATGCCCATCAACAGTAGATTGGGTAAAGAAAATGTGGTACATAGACCCCATGGAATACTATGCAGTCATAAAAAGAATGAGGTCATTTCCTTTGCAGCACCATGGATGGAGCTGCAGGCCATCATCCTAAGCAAACTAAATGGAAAAGAGCCAAATACCACATGTTCTCACTTATAAGTGGGAGCTAAACATAAGAACACATGGATACTAGAAGGTGAACCACATGCACTGGGGTCTACTTGACGGTGGAGGGTGGGAGGAGGAAGAAGATCAGAAAAAATACCTATTGAGTACTATGCTTATTACCTGGATGATGAAATTATCTGTACTCCAAACCCCTGTGATGCGCAGTTTACCTGTATAACAAACCTGCACATATACCCATGAACCTAAAATAAAAGTTAAAAAAACCTAAACCCCAAATTACCTTCAACCTTCATGAGTTTTTACATTTGAAAGTTAAATCGATAACTTAATGACAATAATTCAACTCTCTCATGCTTATCCCCCTCATCTAACCCAAAACAAAACAAGATTGGATACTGAGGTGAGGAACCTTTGAATTTTTAAATAGTATTAGGTCTAGCAGAACCTCAGAAAGACACGTTTACATTAAGAGGACTTTGACTATTGATATGGGCATGTAAGTTCTTTACTGCCACGTTCCTAGTAATTCCTGAATTGCACATGTATGAAATGACATTAATTCTCTCATACTTTAGGGTTGCTTGTCAGTGCCTAGAAGGAATACAGTCTCTGTGGCCAGTCTTCCTGGATCAACAAGAGCCTTGTAGTTTCCCATTTTTCATGTGCTAATAGTGAAAATGTTTAGAAAGCCCCATCTATCCTCCCACATTGGCATCCCACTGATGTGCTGTCCTGGTTGCTAGGTGCAGATTTAGGTTCCAAGCAGAACACTGCTAGTGTTCTCTGCAGTTTGTTGTAGAATCATAGTGTCTTGGCAACCAAAGGCAGATCTGGTGCTATGGAGGACCTGCTTACTGCTATGAGGTGTTACTTTATAGAGGTCCTGGAGAAGCTGATTGAGGCCACGTCAATGTTGCAAGGAGACATGAGACTCACATCAGAGTTCTATGGCTTAACATGGGGGATGGTGGTAAGTGCGGCTCTATTTGGATTTTGTAATTATAAAAGCCCACTTTATGTAGAGAGAAAAAAAAGAGTTTACCAGAGAAGTTTCTTCTGTAGTTGAAGACAAATGTAATGTTTTAATAAATTAGGCTGATTAAAAAAGAATATGAGTTTGGCGTGCTGGCTCATGCCTGTAATCCCAGAACTTTGGGAGGCAGAGGCGGGTGGATCACCTGAGGTCAGGAGTTTGAGACCAGCCTGGCCAACACGGTGAAACCCCATCTTTACTAAAAATACAAAAAATTAGCCGGGCTTGGGGGTGTGTTCCTGTAATCCCAGCTACTTGGGAGGTGAGGCAGGAGAATCGCTTGAACTTGGAGGCAGAAGTTGCAGTGAGCCGAGATAGTGCAATTGCACTCCAGCCTGGGCAACAAGAGCAAAACTTTGCCTCTTGAAAAAAAAAAAAAAGTGTATGAAAAGCTAAATTATTTTTCATGGAGTCCTGCCCTGAGAACAAGGCATCAAATCCTCTAAGTGTATAGGAAATTTGAGTTCAAAATAGATGCTTTGAAAAAAATAAAGAAAATGTTTTTGAAAAATGCAAATTTTAACAGATTTAGGGTATAGAAGTGCAGTTGTGTTCCATGGATATATTTACATAGTGAAGTCTGAGATTTCAGTGTATCCATCATCCAAATAGGATACATTGTCCTCAATAGGTAGTCTTTCATCCCTCAACCCTTTCCCAACTTCCCACCTTTTGGAGTCTCCAATGTCATTATTTCATTCTGTATCCACATGTACCCATTGTTTAGCTCCCACTTATAATTGATAATATCTAGCATTTGGCTTTCTGTTTTTGAGTTATTTCACTTAAGCCAATGGCCTCCAGTTCCATCCAAGTTGTTATAAAAGACATGACTTCAGTCTTTTTATGGGGAAGTAGTATCACATTTTAGAAATCCAATAGTCCATTGATGGACACTCAGGTTGATTCTATTACTTTGCTATTGTGAATAGTGCTGCGATATACATAGACATGCAGGTTTCTTTCTGATATAATGATTTACCTTTAGGTTGATATCCAATAATGGGATTGCTGGGTCAAATGGTAGTTCCATTTTTAGTTCTTTGAAAAGTCTCCATACTGTTTTCCACAGGGCTTGTACTAATTTACATTCCCACCAACAGTGTATGTATTCTTTTTTTCTCTATACCCTTGGCAAAATTTGTTTTTTTTTTTTTTGTCTTGATTTTTTTAATCATGGCCATTTTGAATGGCATAAGGTAATATCTCATTGTGGTTTTAACTTGCAATTCTCTTATGATTAACATTTGTTCATATGTTTATTGGCCATTTATATGTGATCTTTGGAAAAAAAAAGAACATCTTAAAGTTCAGAATGGGGCCAGGTGCAGTGGCTCATGTTTGTAATCCCAGCACTTTGGGAGGCCGAGACAGGTGGATCACAAGGTCAGGAGTTCAAGACCATCCTGGCTAACACGGTGAAACCCCGTCTCTACTAAAAATAGAAAAAATTAGCCGGGCGTGGTGGGGGGCGCCTGTAGTCCCAGCTACTCGGCAGGCTGAGGCAGGAGAATCGCTTGAACCTGGGAGGCAGAGGTTGCAGTGAGCCGAGATTGCATCACTGCACTCCAGCCTGGGTGACAGAGCGAGACTCCGTCTAAAAAAACAAAACAAAACAAAACAAAACAAAAAACTTCAGAATGTATTACATTCATGGCTAGGTTTAGAATATGGGTTGAGTCACTGGAAGATGTGTTGAATGAAGTCTTTTAAATAGTGAGAACCTGATGCCAAAATGACCTTAAAACTATGTCAAAAGAGAAAAACCCCACTTAAGACAGCAATAAAATAGGGTTTGGATGAGCATTTCAATCTTGAGGAAAACCTAACCTGTTTGCAAAATAAGCCTAAGGATTGGATGACAAGTTTACCACTGGGCAAAAAGATATTTATATCCTTGGATTAAGTGCTAAATGATAAGAAATCAAACCAAATATTTGAGTGAACAATTGATGAATATTCACTACTATACTTGGAGAAGATAAAATGGATGTTGGGACTTAGAACTAGATCAAATCAGAATGAGTATCGATCAATGTTCAGTCAAAGGGGGTTGGAGGAAATTTGTTTATGCTTCTTAAAACGCTTTTTTTTTTCTTTTTTGAGACGGAGTCTTGCTCTGTTGCCCAGGATGGAGTGCAGTGGTGCCATCTCGACTACTGCAACCCCCATCTCCCGGTTTCAAGTGGTTCTCCTACCTCAGCATCCTGAGTAGCTGGGATTACAGGCATGCACCACCACTTCTGGCTAACTTTTGTATTTTTAGTAGAGACAGGGTTTCACCATGTTGCCAAGGCTGGTCTCGAATTCCTGACCTCAAGTAATCCTCCCAATTTGGCCTCCCAAAGTGCTGGGATTACAGGCATAAGCCACCGTGCCTGGCCTCTTAAAAGACTCTTCACGGACAGAGAAATAAAATATAAATTAGGTTATATGAAAAACATTGAATCGTGAAGCCTTTAAAAATCACACTGAACATATTCAGCATGAATTAAGCATTTTTCTAGCACGAAAATGTAGCTTGAAAGTAAGTAAGGTTCAGAACATTTAGCCAAATGTTTAAGTAATTTCTAAACTGTATTGAGAAAATGGAATAGTTTCATGGATTATATGTATTAGAAAAAGTTAATTAGAAAGTTTTCAAATACACATTAAGTGATAGATACAGAAAAAAAAAACAAAATTCTTAGAGAAAAAATGAAAAAACTGACCTGTTCTTATCAAAGACATGATTTCCCATATTTAAAAAAGCTTGTAATAATTGATTTACAATTAAGTTGACTGAAGAAAATCTCACTGATTTAAGAAAATCTATATGAAAGTCCAGATGCCAGTATTTTTTCCTATAAAAATCTTCATAGTCAATATTAAGGCTTTGTAAATTGAGATACAAAATTGAAGTATTATGAAAGTACTCATGTAACAAGATTGAAAGTAAATTCTCACAAATTCCTTTGTCACTAAAACAAAAGCACTGAAAATTTATGCTAGCAAGAATGCAAAGTGAGGGAAACTCTCTTTGATTGCTGGAAGAAATGCAAAGTGGTGCAACTAATTTGACCATTTGGCAATTTTTATAAAGTTTAATATAGTCTTGCCATATGACTTAACAATCACATTCCTAAGTATTTACACCAGTGAATTAAATCTTATGTCCATGTAAAAATTTGCATGCAAGTATTTATATCAGTGTTATTCATAATTACTCAAAACTGTAAGCAACCCATGCCCTTCAATAGGGGAAAAATAATCTTGGGTATTTCCATACAATGATCTATGATTTTGTGGAAATTGATTGATGAATGAATACTATTGATCAAAGGGATGGAATGAGCTACTGATACATGCAACAACATGAATATTTGTTAAGTGTATTTCACTAAATGAATGAAGCCAGACTTCAAAGTCTGAATATTGTATGAGTTCATTCATAAGACATCTGGAAAAAGAAAACCTGTTGGGATGGAAACACACCAGTGTTATCCAGGGCTTAGTGTAGGGGAGATTAGTTGATTACAAAGAATACACGCAGGGGACATTTTAAATGATAGAGTTGTCTTGTATGGTGCTGCACTAGTAATATGCAAGTCTATGATTTATTAATCCCCAAGAAGTGTATCACAAAATTGCACTCAAATGCATGCAAATAAACAAGCAAAAGTTTCACCAAGATGCAGGAAGATCCTAGAATGGTATGCAGACAGTGACAAATCAATCTCACGTTATATAAATGTGTAAGCTAACGACCCTGAAAAGGGTAGAGAAGAAGTAAATACTGACTTTGGTTATTTTGAGAAATAATATTTTGATTAAAAAATGTCAGGCTAAAGAGAAAAGTAACTGTGCATAAGTACTGTATTCTAAATGGTAATTTTTTTCTCATGTGGGTACAGCTAATTTTGTAATTGCTTCACAAGCATACTAGTGTTGAACAAAAATGTTAAAAGATGAACAGTGGCATCCAGGTTTCTCACTGTTGGTATGAGAAGTTATAGGTAAACAAGAAAGGAAGGCCAGAATGATCATGAGGGACTGTGCTAGAGTCAGAGTTACACTGTGACATCATGTTTAAACACAAGCACGAATACACACGGACACACACATAGATGGACAAATATAGAAGCAATGACAGATATGTGTGTATTCAGGGCTTACTGTGTGAACACACATTACCTAGCCCTTTCTGCTGAAATAATCTAGAAACAAAGTTACCCTCACAGCAGTGTGCGCATGTCTGCCATGTCCAGTGAAAAGAACCAGAGATCCTTGGGGAAATGTCTGATTCTAAGATATTTCTAAGGCTGGTGAAAAAATATATAAGATAAGCCTGGAGGAGAAGGACCAGTAATACCAGAAATCAAGGAGGGGCCTTGAAGAGAAAAGGATAGCAAAAGGATGAAGACCTGTCCAAGACCCAGCAGCCAGCATGAAAGAGCTCTCAATGGGGAAAGCTGGAACAATTTCAACAACAAAATAAATAACATATCACTGGATTATAATCTGAAGTATAAAAAGTATGAGTCCATACTGTTAAATGATTGAATAAATACATAAATGGAGAAGAAGAGAGAAATCTTCCTTACTGATCTATTAATAGTCTCCACTTTTGGGGGTGGAGCTCGTGATCTCCTTCATTAAGTATAGGCTGGATTCAGTGACTGTTTTCCAAGGAATAGAGTATGGAAAGGTAACAATTGTAAGTTTAAGTTTTATTTAGTGCAAACACTACCTTAAGCAAGTGATTAAAGTCAGCACCATCAGTAATGCCATGTAGATATTATGTAACCCCTGCTCTGATGGGATAAAAAGGGCACTTTACCTCTGTGGTCACCTCTTCAAAAATTCAAAGGCCCAGTGTAATTGATGGCAGCTGTGGCCTGTGTGCAGTGGCTGCTGCCATGACGTTGGCTGCAGTGGGAGAGGTGCGGGTGGGGCTGTGCGCTCGATGGAGCCCGAAGGAGCTGGGAACAGGCAAAAGCCCCCACCCCTTATGAGTTGGCAGGCAGGTGCCTTGTGCTCCCCAGGCTCAGTTGCAGCTGCCCAGCTGTGGCTGCAGACCCGGGTATCCCTGTGCTCTTGGGGTCCGGGAGCAGGCAGAAACCTCACCCTCCCGGGTGCAGCTGCAGCTGCTCAAGATGTGGCTACAAACCTGGGCATCCCTGTTCTCTTGGGTGCCAGGAGCCCTGCCCTTCTGGGTGCAGTTGCAGGTGCGCAAGCTGTGGCTGTGGATCTGGGCATCTCCACACTTTTGGGGACCCGGGAAAGAACCCTTGCCCCCGTGCAGACTCGGAGGTGCCTGCTCCTGCTGCCTGGCCTCTGCCTGCTCCTGGCACCAGCTCTGATCTCGGAGCGGAGTTGAGGCTGAGCCCTGGGGCTTTTGCAACCTGGCCTGGTGTGTGCATGCTTGGGGCATTGCTGACACACCAGCATCCTGCTGCCTGAGCCCCGCTCTGGACTTTGGGCACCAGTAAGCAAGGAAGGGAGGCTGGGGAGGTGCTGAAGGCAGCTTGGCCCTGGCCTGCAGGTGACCCTCGGCAGGAACAGCCTGGGTGCCATGAACAGTGGCAGGAGGCAGACAGGCTCCTGGACAGAGAGGGATGGGTCCCCAGTGAGGCCCCACCTTCAACCCAGGGAAGGCTTGAAGCCTGAGAGCCGGGCTGCCAGCCTCGCAGACTGGAGTGGGAATTTATGATGCTTTTTCTGGGCCTGCACATGGTTGCCCAAGGGCCAATCAGCACCTACTTCCTCTCCTCTGAAGCCCATAAAAACTCCCGGACTCAGCCAGATTGAAAAAGATGACAAGACAACCAGCTGCAGAGAGGAGGTACCCACCCTAGGGTCTCCTCTCTGCTGAGAGCTGAAAAGGCAATGGTACGGCCAGCTGTGAAAGGAGCTATCCACCTCAGGGTCTCCTCTCTGCTGAGAGTTGAACACTGGTCAGGACACCCTGGCTGTGGAGAGGAGCTACCCTCTATGTGTCTCCTCTGAGCTGTTCTGTTGCTCAGAAAAGCTCCTTTTCACCTAACTCACCCTCCACTTTCTGCATATCTCATTCTTCCTGGGTGCAGGACAAGAACTTGGGACCCACCGAATGGCATGGCTGAAAGAGCAGTCACACAAACAGGGCTAAAACATACCCTTTCCTCACTCACCACATTGCAGGCGACAAAAAGGAGTGAAGAGCTGCTGCCCTTCGGGGAGCCCAGACCTAAGAGCTCCCTGAGTCAGGGCTGTGACAGCCTCTTTGGCTCTGTGGTTCCTGGTGTCTCTTAGCTTCTGGGCACCACTGCATTCTGCAGCATCAGCCATGGAAACTGCTTGCAGTACACCTGCTCCAGCTGCAGCCTTGCAGGGAGCTGGTGCCTGTGTTGGTGCCTGGAACTGCCTGCCCTGCCACAGCAAGCATGCCTGGCTGTGTGCAGTAGGTGGACCCCACACTTTCTCGCTCATACACGCCTCGCTGCTCTGCTTGCCCTTGGCAGGTATGGGATCCAGGCTGGTATTGTGAGCTGAGCACAGCCTGCTAGGCTGAGTGGGCCAGTGGGCCTGAGGAAAACTTGGGCATAGGTGCCACTAGGGACAGAGGTTTTCGCTGGTGAAGTGATACCCCAAGGATCCCATAACATAATCATGAGAAAACATCGGACAAACCATGATTGAAGTGCATTTTATAACATACCTGAGCAGTACTCAAAATTATCAATATCAAGAAAAACAAGGAAACAGATTCAGGAAACTGAAACATGACAACTAAATGCAATGGGGTGTTCTGGATTGAATTTTGCAACAAAAAAAGAACATTAAAGAAAATCCTGCTGAAATCCAAAGATAGTCTGGAGTTTCAGTGATAGTAACATACCAATGTTAGTTTCCTAATTTTGAAAAATAAACCAGAGAAATGTAACATTAAGGGAAAGTGAAACTGGGTAAGGGGTATTTGGGAATTCTCCATGCCATCTTTGCAACTTTTCTGTAAAGCTAAAATTATGTCAAAATAAAGCATGTATGAAAAATGTATTACACAGATGGGAAGGAACAAGATGTCCAACTAGATGCAGCCAGGAAGCACCGCTTTCACTGAGAGAGACCAAATTATCGAGTAAATCAACATAAATTGGACAGATCTTAGGAAAGAAAATGCTGAGCGTGAAGAGGCAAAGCTAAAGCTGAGGCTGTAGAGACAGAAAGCTGGGGACCCTGCTGTTGGGATGGCTTCTGGGAAATTGGCGAATGAGGGAACTGAGGGAATGCTCACTCTTGTCATGGACCTCTGGGATCCTAGCTACAAGAGACTGAATGCCCCCCATAAAGGTGTTAGCTGACAGGGGGATCTCCCTGGCGAAGGTTAACACCGCTTCCTCAACCCCTTCACACACAGACACTTACAGATCATGTAAATGGAAACTCTTCAGGGGATGAGGGAGAATGCAACTCTCTGAGTGTCTTGGTATCAGCAACAGCACAGGTTAGTAATAAGCCCTGAGGCAGGGAAAGTGATCTCATATCAGGAGTAATTGAATGTGAATCATGGGGAAAATTGAGAGATGTATTGGGATCAAGTGGTACTTCAGTTTTCCCCTTAGCCAAAATACATCCCAGAACTTTCTAAATCAACTAGTGCAATGAACTATACTGAATTTTTATTCATGACTTCATTACACTACTAAAAGATAAAGTCTCTACTCCGGCTTCTAGGTTAATAGTAGCAAAGTATAATATGCCTATTTAAAATGGTCCTATTACCTAAAAAAGTTGATCTCATGGAAGTAGAGAGTAGAAGAGTGGTTACTAGAGGAGCTGGATAGGGTAGGGTGAAGAGGGGAATGAGGAGAGTATGATCAATAGGTACAAAGTTAGAGTTAGCATGAATAAGTTGTAGTGTTTCACTGTACCATAGCGTGACTGTTGTTAACAATAATATACCGTATATTTCAAAATAGGTAGAAAAGAGGATTTTGAATGATCTCGTCACAAAGAATTGATAAATGTTCAAGGAGATGAATATGCTAATTACCCTAATTTGGTCTCTATACATTGTATATCTATATCAAAACATCATATCTCATAAGCATGTACAATTATATGTGAACTAAAAGGAAAATGGAACTAAATAAAGTAAAATAAAATGGTCCTGCAACATTTTAGCCAGAAAGAAAGGAAAACATATTTTAGGCAGAAGGACAGTGGAAAAGAGAAGACAATATTTGATGTTTAATTTTCACAGTTAATGCAAAACAAAAGCGATAGAACAAAAGTTTATGCCATTTTCACCAATAGAACCATTTTGGAATAGGATCATAAAAAATCAGGTTATAAATTACTGCTAATAATAGCTGACAATTGACTACAGCCAAATAATGAGTTCAAAAGCATTTTATCATGTTCCATTTTCAGATTTTTTAGATAGTAATTAAAACAATGAATAATTTAGTAGCAACTTTATGTTAAAGGCATAGTTAAATGCATAGATAGAACTATTCACAGGAGTTTCACAGACAATAGACCATGTGTCAGTCCTTTATTATAAATATTTTAAAAGGAATGCATCTCAAATTTTTTCCTTCAGCCATAAAATCTTTGTTTCAAGTGAGATGTTTGTTAAAGTACTTGGTATACCGACTGTCATTTAAAAATCTAAAGACATTTTTTTCAGATAGTTTTCTCAAATAGAAAAGACAACCTGGCCATTTCTTGCCAATTATGAATTTTAAAATACAGTCTTAATTATAATATGATATAATGTTCATACTAAGAATTGTGCTCATGCAAATTGAACGTATTAATCAGAAAATAATTTATGTTAACATATTCCTTAGTTCATATAGAAAAGCCACATAATACCTATATACTAACAAAGCTATTGATGTACATAGATGACCAGTCAAAATTACTTATTAATAGCCTTATAATGTGACTTGTCAGATGTGCCCATTTGCCTAAGAGTCACATAGTGAATTCAGATTCAGTCATTAGTTGGTACTCTTTCTAGCAAAATAGCTTCTATGGATTCAAGAAAGAAATGATTAGAGGATTTGCTGCACTTAAGAATTTGAGATCTGAGATAATGAATCCCCTGAGATAGAAGAAGATGATGTCCCCATGGTGCAGTTAACTCTACTGTTTGCTCAGTGGAAGGATATTGGAATCATAGCAAGGGGAGAAATTCCAGAAGCAAATTTTAAAGCAGTTTCTCTGCAAAAACATTTGAATCCTCTCTATTGCCCACTGAGCCCTGCCTCCTCACTATCCTAATGCAGACAGCATATCACATATCACATATATTAAAACAACCTTAAGTTGGACACTTATCAGTGTTTCTTATAAATACTATTATTTTACTTTGAAGAGTTTTTCTGGGGAAAGGGGATTACAGACTCTAAGACTTAGAAGTGTCTGCAGAAACTACTGTTGTCCACTTCCCAATATTAATTCTTGTTAAAATGTATATTATATATCATACTAAGTATGGTATGCATAAACCCTTTATCTTAATATAACATCATGTTAAATTGTTGGATATCTTTAATGTCTCCAAAAAAGAAATGCTAAAATTTCATTTAGATTTATCCTTTATAAATAAAATTTTTGATAACAATTAATTCTCTTTTTGCAAGTAATGTCTTTTTTTTTTTTTTTTTTTTTTTGAGATGGGAGTCTCACTCTGTTGCCCAGGCTGGAGTGCAGTGGCACAATCTCCACTCACTTTAACCTGTGCCTCCCAGGTTGAAACCATTCTTGTGCCTTAGCCTCTCAAGTAGCTGGGACCACAGGCACATGCCAACACACCTGGCTAATTTTTATAATTTTAGTAGAGATGGGGTTTCACCATGTTGGCCAAGCTGGTCTTGAACTCCTGACCTCAGGTGGTCTGCTCATTTTGGCCTCCAAAAATTCTGGGATTATAGGCGTGGGCCACTGCTCCCGGCCAACTGATGTCTATTTCTTCTTGTAGATAATTAGTAACATCTTCCGCGGAATTTGACTTCAGTTTTTCTAGAGTCCTTTTAACTTCTGTTTCAAAAACTACTTTCCTTGATATTAAAGTCGTTGAAATAATCTACACCTTCTGCTCAATCCTGCAGACTTAAAACATCATCACCACTGTCTTTGGCTCATCTCTTTCCCAGAGGACACACATTTAACAAAATTTCCAAGTTAACCTCCTATGTTAATCTCTCACACTTCCCCCATCTTTTTCATTTTTACTTCTCTTATCCTACTAGAGAGCCTCATTATCTATTGCAAAGATTGTTGCAGTACATTTAACTAATTTCCTATGTTTTTGTACTCCAAGTGGTTTTTTACTTTGCTAAATGTAGTCATAAAATAAAGGTCTTACATTGTCTCAGGGTTTAAAATCCTTCAAGTTCTCATCTCCTATAGAAACACACATTCTTTAATATCAGCCTTGGTTCTGGTTCCTGGTTCTCATTCAACATAGATCCTCCTTTCAGTCTCCCATATTGCCCCATGGAATTTCAGATGGAAACATTGAATTCTTCATGATTTTGAATGTATAATTTTAAATTTCCATCATTTTTGCAAGTAGTTTGTTATAAGGTGGAAAAAGCATGAATTTTTGGTAATTGAAAGCTTTCAAATTCTAGTTCTGACGTACACTATGCAAGCTCAAGAATTAGTGAACCACATTTTCATTATCTATCAAATGTGGCTAATACATACCTTAAAGGGTTATTGAAAGATTAAATAAGACCATACATACAATATGTTTAACACTTTTACTAGCTCATGGCAGCTTTTCAATAGTTGTGAGTTCTCCTTTTTAACATGACTTTTTGATTATGATTATGATATTTCCTCAGCCAGTGATGTATTACTATATACTCCTATTAAATATTACAATTTTTATTTGCCTTTTGAAAATATTTTTAATTCTTCTTTGAGTACTTTAATTAGTCTTCTTTTTTCATTCCAAAGGCACATTCTTTTTTTTTTTTTTTTTTTGCTTCTGTGTCTATATTATTATTATTTTTATTATACTTTAAGTTCTAGGGTACACTTGCACAAAGTGCAGGTTTGTTACATAGGTATACATGTGCCATGTTGGTTTGTTGCACCCATTAACTCATCATTTACATTAGGTATTTCTCCTAGTGTTATCCCTCCCCCTGCCCCCCAACCCATGACAGGCACCCGTGTGTGATGTTCCTCGCCCTGTGTCCAAGTGTTTTCATTGTTCAATTCCCACCTATGAGTGAGAACATGTGGTGTTTGGTTTTCTGTCCTTGTGATAGTTTGCTCAGAATGATGGTTTCCAGCTTCATCTATGTCCCTGCAAAGGACATGAACTCATCCCAAAGGCACATTCTTGAAGGTGCATGTTAGCACTTCTTGCCTTGCAGTTATTATGCTATGCAGATCTTAGGACATCTCTAATATGGAGAAAGCCACTGTTAAACCTTCTTGAGTTCTACCTTAAATATTTTTCCAAATACATTTTTAGTGACTTTAAATCTAGGGTTAAAATGCTTTGTTTTCTTCCATTTGTTATTTAGGAAAGGCCTACTTGCTTGGGGAAATAAGAACTTTAGATCACTTTCCTTGAAAGGCAATCTCAGAATTGCTCATGCTTTACACAAAAGGTAGAGCACGCTTTCTCTTTCAAGTATAATGCGTCCCTTCTCTTCTACAGAATTTTTCAAAAGTTGACTGAAGTATCCTTCATGCTGTAGCATACTGAGCAGTATATATTCCCTGGAAATGCAAAGTCCAAATAAAACCTTTCTGTGGGTTTTCCAGTCCACTGTTCTGAGTATTCTTTATTCTGAGATTTTTGCATATAATTCTTAGGAAATCCTGATTTTTCACTGTGTCTAGATTTCACTCATGCCTCTGAAATGAATGTTTTTTACAGGACTTGAAGGTAGTATATACATTAGCCAAGGACGGAGGATAATTTGAGAGAGTCAGATGAACTGTAATGGGTTTTTATAGCAAAGCTTTTGACAAAAATCGTTCTGTGTTTTGCCTTCAAAACTAGAAATTACTATATACTTCTGTATATAAGACTAAGTTAGACAAACTATACCTTAACTAATAAAAATGATCAAAGCTATTGTCTAACACCACAGAATTAGGTCATGTGTTTGTGTGTGCATGTGTATAAAATTTGAAAACATTTTTCTGGCAATCAACCAGAAATATGCCAATTTTTAAAGTTACTTAAATTTTTTTCCAAACTAGATATATAAAAGTTCAATGATTTGAGGATCTGTATCAGCACCAGATGATCTGTTATTTTTCAGCAAGTGTATCTGGTTTGCAGTTGATTCTTGTTTGAACTAACATGAGGTTTTCCTTCCAATTATTGGCTTAGATCTTGATCATACCAGAAGTTATGCCAGAAAAGTCCAAATGACCTTTTGTTTTTCTTACAAGTATTTACTTCTTCACTACACAACACCGTGTTGAACTCTCAACATATTAATTCAACACCAAGTAAATATAAAATCTATTCATTTGCTCTCATAAATTGTAACTAATTTCGTGACAAAGTTTTAAGTTTTGGGGTGTGAGTCCTAGAACTAAGTTTTAGCACTTCCAACTTTTAATGATACAGGTTTTGTACATCATTTGCATTTAACATTTACATCAGTAAAAAGACATATTGTTTGTTGAGGTAATCAAGTTGCTTTTTGTTCCAGAAATGCAAATTATTTTTTTCTCATACTGATTCTGATTCTAACACAGTTAGTTCCAAAAGGCATTCCTGGCTGTTCCAAATTGTGCACGGAAATGCTTCCAGGTTGTGTTTCATTATTAATATCACTTCCTTGTTATCTCACTGATTCGAAGACTCATTATTATAGTATGTAAAAGGAAAGTATCAGAAACTTTTTCATACTTTTTGTCCCACTATTCCACTCATTTCAAAATTTAATAATAAATTATTTAATTAAAAATACAAAATCACTGCATACTTATTTGTTAAAAAAGAATTACACTGAATTTTTAAGAAGCAATAGTATCTACATAAATTGGGGTTGATAAGCTTATGAGACTCATGATTATTCCAAAGTATAATGTGCTTCACATTGAATGCCCAGTGTAGCCACACTGCCCATTTAGACTTGGGACAACATGCAGAGAGTGATGGAATGTTTCTCAGGTGACTCTGACAGGAGGCTCATTGATGAGTGGTTGCTATACTATTTTTACAATTAGCTTGAACTAATAAATTCATTTTACTAATTTTTTTACTACTTAACACAGTTACTATCTCTGTATGTACCAACCAGTATAGAACTATTTTAATATATTTCCATAATATAATGTGCCTACTAGCCAAGTATAATCCTTGCTGAACATGTTTACAAAGAGTCTCGGAGACATAACATATTTTGCAAGAACATGTAAAGCGATATTTGATTATGAGACAAGAATTTGTTAGATAAAACCATAGCAACCTACTCTAACTGTTCAATAACTTCATTTTATGTCTACCCACTATCACTTAAAGCTGAAAATGCTCCTCACCAAGTTGCGTAATGCCCCCTTTACATTCTTATTCCGCAGGGTGTAGATAAAAGGGTTGAGTGAGGGAGTCACCACTCCATAGAAGAGGGCCATGAACTTGGGTTGATCCCTTGAGATGGAGGAGGGGGGCTGAAGGTACATGCTGATGGCTGGGCCATAAAATAAGAAAACTACAATAAGATGGGAGGAGCATGTCCCAAAGGCCTTTTTCCTTCCCTTGGAAGATTTGATCTTAAATACAGCACTTCCAATACTAGCATAGGAAGCAAGAATTAAGCATAGTGGGACAGCTAACATAAAAATGCATACCACAGAGAGTGTGAGCTCGTTAGAACCCTTTTCACCACAGGCAATCTTTATCAGAACAGGAATCTCACACACCAAGTGGTCCAGTTTATTGAGACCACACAGTGGCAATTGTAATGTGGCAGTGGCCTCTGAGACAGCATAGATTATTCCAATTAGCCACACGGTGGAAACTAAGGATACAGACGCGCTGATTCATGATGAGGGTGTAGTGAAGAGGTCTGCAGATGGCCACATAGCGATCAAAGGACATAATAGCCAAAAGCAAACATTCTGTTCCCCCCATTATGTGAAAGAAATAAAGCTGAACCGCACACCCCATATAGCTGATGGTCTTCTTAGAGCTTCCCAGGTTAAACAGCATCTGAGGGACAATGCTTGTGGTATAACACATGTCCAAAAAGGAGAGGTTGGTGAGGAAGAAATACATGGGGCTATGAAGACGAGAGTCTAACCTGGACATGAGAATGATTGTGATGTTTCCCATCACGGCTATAGGGTACATTATAAGAAGACTAGTGAACAGAGGAAGCTCTAGCCAAGGGCGGTCTGCAAAGCCTAGCAGAATAAATTCTTCAGGGTGGCTTTCATTAGTTAGTGGCATTATCTTCAATTTGTTTCACCTGTAGTAGGGATATGCCAAAGAAGGTAGAGCTATGGGTATCGACAAAACATGGTGATGCATTGATTGTCTACTTATAGATGACAGGGTGCAGTAACCTGGGGTCAGAATAACATAAAACATCTGGTATCAGGTGATCTTATTTTCCTATGGGACACTACAAATTAAAGGCAGATATCTTAATCCAGTAACCCAACCATTCTGAAATGGAATTTCTTCTTCTGTGTAAGAAGGTTGACAATAACTACCATTCTTGAGTGAGGTGAGGATTAAATACAAAGTAAAAGTGACCGTATAGTTTTCAAACTTTGAGTTGCATAAAAATCAGCTGAGAAGGTTGCTAGAATGAAATTTATTGTTTCCTATCTTTAGGTGTCTGATAGAGTAAATGTGGCCTGGGGCTGAGGAACAGGATGGTTCATTTTCAGAAACAGTGCTGCAAGGCATTACTGAAATGCTAAGAAGAATAAACATATTGAGGTAGCAATGGTAGGAGAAAAAGGAGGAGAAAACCTGGAGTCATAAGAATCATCAAGATAGCATTGTCCAGCTCCAACTAGTTAGTTAAATAATCATATCATCTCCAAGGGAGGCAAGAAGACTTTTGGATTTAAATCTATCTCAGCGATTTGAAATTGAACAAGAAAATTAAATACTTTTATTGTCTGTTTTCTCAAGTATAAATTGAGAGAGTTAACCTACAATGACAAAGTTTCCCTATGCTCAGGAATTCGATTTTGCATTCTTGGGCTTTTATTCATTACGATTTAGTTCAACCTTTGGGCATTTGATATTTTATGTTAAATTTTAGCTAACATCCATTTTGAAAAAAATTTTTTTATTCAATGAGATTATCATCTTGCTTTAATATAAGAGTTTGGATAGTTGTCATGACCCACTGATTGCACATAACTACAAATATGTCTTTTAGTTCTGAGTGACTGCAGTCAGGACAAAAGTTGATGTCCCAATTTAGGCTTAGAGACAGTCAAATCTGAAATTATTTTACATTTTCAAGACCTTTCCTTTTTTTTCAGCTAGAAAGTACATTGATATACCAACCTCAACTAGTTTAGTGAAGCAGTATTTTGAGAAAGATTAATTTTTTGCTCATATGCTTTTCTTTTAGTGGTGACATGTGTTTTATGAATATCACAATTTTCTGCAGGATGAGAAATATTCGGTTGAAAAGTTAAGATAGCATCTCAGTGACAACATTCTGAGTAACTCTGCCAGTCAATTAGTTGTTTAATGGTAACAGATTACATTTATAAGTTTATAAAGCACAGCTTCCACATTCTCTGTTTCATTACATCTTCAAAGTCATCCTGTGAGGTGTCATACAAAGCTCCTCAGGGCTAACATGTGAATGTTGCCCTTTGATTATATGCTATCTCACGCCGGAAGTGTGCAAAACAATAATAACACTCTTTCCAACTAGTCCTTAGTGAACCCTCTGTGTCAAACACCCCCATATGCTTTCTACACCATTAAATCATTTAGTATCCATCCCCAAACGCTATGACAAAGAAAATTTTACTATCCATATTTTAAGATATTGTTAATCATTTGTTTCCATACTCTGCTAATGACTAAGAACATCCTAAAGATTGAAAAGTAATTGCTGCTTTAAATGAGGTAATAAAATATTGAGACTATAAACTCAGAGTTTCAAGAGCCCCAGAAAGCATCTGTACTCGAGGGTTGTTCCTGAATGAGTGTGACCCCCTTCACATTATTTGACCTTGATTTAATCAAGATGTTATATGAGTGCATCAAATTTAGAAATATGTCTTGGCCTGAGTGCTTTTTCAGATGAAAATCCGTATTGGAAATGAAAGATGAAATAAAGGCATGATATAAACTAATTTGATGTCAAAATAAATACAGTCATACATAGCTTAACAAGAGGAATATAGTCTGAGAAATGTATTGTTAAGTGATTTTGTCATTGTGTGAATAGAGTGCACTTACACAAACTTAGATGGTATGGCCTAGTACACACTTATGCTATGTGATATAGCCTATTGCTCCTAGGCTACAAACTTGTGCAGCATGTTACCTTACTGAATACTGTGGACAATCATAATTCAATGGTAAGTATTTATGTATTAAGCATATATAAAAATAGAAAAGGTACAATAAAATATGGTATAAAAGATAAAAAATGGTATACCTATATTGGGCACTTACCATAAATGGATCTTGCAGGACTTGAAGTTGCTCTGGGTGAGTCAGTGAGTGAATGGTGAGGGAATGTGAAGGCCTAGACCACTACTGTACACTACTATAGACTTTGTAAACACTGTCTATAGCCTACACTAAATTTACTAAAAAACACTTTTCTCTGTTTAATAATAAATTCATTTTAGCTAACTGTAACATTTTTACTTCATAAACTTCTTAATTTCTTTAACTTTTTGATTATTGAATAACACTTAAACCCATCATACAGCTGTACAAAAGTATGTTCTTTGTTTATATCCTTATTCTATAAATTATTTCTATTTTTTTAAGTTTTTTAACTTTTTTGTTAAAAATGAAGACACAAACACACACATTAGCCCAGGCCTACACAGGGTCAGGATCATCAATATCATTGTCTTCCAGCTCCTTGTCCCACTGGAAGGTTTTCAGGGGCAATAACATGCATGGAGCTGTCATCTCCTATGATTATAATAACAATATCTTCTTCTGGTATACTTGCTGAAAGACTTGTGTGAGGCTGTTTTACAGTTAACTTTTTAAAAATAAGTAGGAGTATAAAAAATCATAAAAAGTATAGTATAGCAAAAATATAAACCAGTAACATATTTATTTATCATCATCAAGTATTATGTACTGCACACAATTTTATGTGTTATTCTTTTATATGACTGGCAGTGCAGGTTTGATTATACCGTCATCACTGCAAACACTTGAGTAATGTGTTACATTATAACATTATCATGGATACAGTGTCACTAGGCAACAGGAATTTTTTAGCTCCATTGTAATCTTATGGGACCACTGTTGAACACATGCATGGTCAGTCATTGATGAAAATGTCATTATGTGGTGCATGCCTGTATTCTGAGAATTGCAAATTACATTATTAAATAATTTCACTATTAGATACCTGCTATCTTTATTTAACATTGTTATGTTCACCTTTTATATTTTTTCTACCAGGGACCATCCTTGAATTTTTTAAAAAGCAATTTTAGATTTGATCCTCCATGAATTCTTCCATAATTATAACTAATTATAACTACCTTTAATGACAATATTCACTCCAGTATGTCTTCCGCAATTTTATTAAATTTATATTATTTGGGATTTTGTTATTAACTTTATTAAGTATATTTTGTCTGTGAGTGGTGGTCACCCAGAGCTCCTCCATTTCTCTGGACATTTCCCTGAAGACATCAGACTAGGAATGACTAATCAATGTGATTTAATTTTGAAGTATATTTAAGCTCTGTAATTCTATTCTTAGATCTCATATTTTTTTCTCATGTCATTCTTGTATTTTATTTCTTTTAGCTTTGGGATTTTATCTGTCTTTTGGATCTTATACTTCAAGAAATGTTTCATCACTATTTTACTACATGGGGATTTACTTAATCACAAATGTTTAAAGCCACTTTATTAAAGTGCCAGACCCATGAGTTGAGTAAATTCCTCTCCTCATGGGGTCCCAAGATAAAGCAGGAATCCTTGGAATGTTAGAAAATGACATTCTTTACTTACCACAGGCCAGAAACCCTGTATAGGGACTGTGTAGGCAAGGTAGAAGGTCAGTTCCCCAAGGGGTTTTTATTGGCTCTATAAGTCAAGTTTCATTCCTTAAAGGAAAACACACCATTCCAGTCAAAGCCTTGGTAAAATAACCAATTTCTCCAACTGTGTCCTGCTACAAAAAAAAAAAAACAGATTCTTATTGCACTTATGCAAATAAATATATTGCCATCAGTTAAGAATACTCACAAACAGTCTCCAAATTCTGGAGAAATCAGGTAGAGAGAAACAAATATGGTCCATTTTTTTTTTCCACAGAAGTATACTTTACTCAATTGCTAAAGGCTGTAAATAGCTCAAAGTAAAAGTTTTCTTAACTCTGGAAAACAAAACAAAGGGTTAGCAACGTTTTAAGCAAAGTCAAAAAGATTAGTTTATTCTTTTAGTTTAGTTTATGCAGTTAACTCCTGTTCTGTTTGATATTCATGAACATTCCTGTTCTTCACGAGAGTTGCAAAAGTTGTTTCCTCTATTCTAATGTCACAATTTCCAAAGTTATCAGAAACCTGCATTTAAGAACATCCGTTAGAGTTGTATAGCTGACTATAAACCACCTTTTGAAGAGGATTAAAACAAGACAATTGTCTGTGTATGACAAAACTCGTTACCACAGCCACTGGCAAAAACGTGATTGACAAAGAAATTTTGGTAATGTATAAAATAATTATTCTTGTTCCACTTTATACAAATAATCAGGCCAAGTGCAATAAAGTAAATCAGTCTTATCATAATTTGTCTTCAGTAAAAATGAGAAACTGAAGTGAGAAAAATTATGTTTCAAGAAGTATGGTACACTTGTTATTAAATTCTAGTCTCATGAGTTGTTTTTAAGTTTGTTTCTACAATTTAGGCTAAACCTGCTTATTCCTGTGAACCAACCAGTGATCTTAGACTGTTACTCAGAAGATACAAGAGGTTTGGGTAATGTAAAAATCTGGACCAATATTCTAATCATGGGCACATATTGGAATCATCTGGCAACCCTGTATCAGCTTGGTTTTAACAGTTGCTCAGTTCATGGGAAGCCTTTAAATTTAGTTTACCTGGAATAATTTTACTTATTTTGCTTTGCTGCTGTGGAATACATTGCATTTGTACTCTTTGCATACGGATGCAGAATATGCTTAGTGAATGTTTTCTTAAATGGAACACTTATCAATCTTTCAGATAGCACCTCTTGTTGAAACTCAGAGTTATGAATGGCTCTCATCATACCAATGCTTTTTGACGAGCTCCTCTCTACCCCAAATACGAGAGACTCTAATTGTTAGGCAGGAATATCATTGCTCCTCTTAAGCCTGAAGAAGCTACAGAAGGAGATGGATCTTTGTCCCTCTCCAACCCTTAGGATTAAGGGTTCTCTTGTAAAGGGGAGGGAGGAAATGTCAGAGGCATGTGAGCCAGAGCAGCTCCATCTTGAATAGCAGCTGGGTAAAATGAGGTTGAAACCTACTGGGCTGCATTCCCAGATGGTTAAGGCATTCTAAGTCACAGGATGAGACAGAAAGTCAGTACAAGATACAGGTCATAAAGACCTTGCTGATAAAACAGATTACTCTAAAGAAGATGGCCAAAACCCACCAAAAACAAGATGGCGATGAGAGTAACCACTGGTCATCCTCGCTGCTACACTCCCATCAGTGCCATGACAACGTCAGGAAGTTGCCCTATATGGTAGAGTACATTTGTTTACAAATGCCATGGTAACATCAGGAAGCTACCCTGTATGTTCTAGAAAGGGGAGGCATGAATAATCCACCCCTTGTTTAACATATCATCAAGAAATAACCATAAAAATGGGCAACCAGCAGCCCTTGGGGCTGCTCTGTCTATGGAGTAGCCAGCCATTCTTTTACTCCTTTACTTTCTGAATAAACTTGCTTTCACTTAAAAAAGATAAATAAAGTACCAGACCCTATTCCTGTTGATGTCTCCTGTTTTATCTCCACTTCCATCTTCATTCTAGTGTAGCTTATACTTCATTTTTACCATACACAATATTTTCTTTATATGTACTGCACTTGTAGACTTTCTATATAGTAAAAGATCATAAGAAGAAATAAAAGTTATTTTTATCTGACATTAGGAATCTGCATGAAACACACAGACAAATCAATCCATCCAATTTTGAACATATATTCTAAAAATCCACCTGATTGAAAGAAGGCTTCATATTTGTTTTGGGCATTTAATATTTCTCAGATATAGTGTATAAATCTCCCTCTCAGTCTCTCACTGAAACCAAATTTAAAATCATAATGATTTTAAATGGGTTTAATGTTTTTAAATTTGGTTTCAGTGAGAGATTGAGAGATAGATTAATTACAAAGAGAAATCTAGTTGCTTCTTAGAACCACTGAGCAGCTGTTTCCAAAGGTTAGAAAAGGCTCCCTGAAATGAAATGCTCTCTGCCTTTCAGATGTATATTAGGCAGTGGCAGTATGATCTACACATATTTCAATTTCCCTAAGAATGCATGGACTTGAAAACGTGCCTTTTTACTCACCTTTTGATAAATATCTTTCAATAAAAAGGAATTATGAAGGAATACACTTGAATTTTTCAAACGTTCAGAGGATGGATAAACTGTAGTATACATGAGTATTTAAGAATTAGCTTCACAACTTAGGTTTTCAATTGTTACAGGGTTCCAAAGAGAAGAAAACATGGGTTAGGAAGACAATAGTAGAAAATATCAGAATGCTTTGTGGATGTGTTATTTGTAAGCTCTTCCTGAGACCTCTTGGGCATTGTTTTCCAACAGGCCATTAATCCTTATCCCAGATGAGGAGTTAGCAGAGAAAATTCCTTGGGACAGAGATCTCTATGGAAATGCTACTTATGTACAATTAGTTTCCTACTGAACTGAGGTTGGTAGGAAGTCTCTTCTGTTGTCAGATGTGTTTTAAAATACATTTACTCAATTTCCCAAAACAGTAGACACTAATTTTAAATGAGATGCAATTAGAGATGAGCTAGTTTGAATAAATGATTCTGGGGAACTTAAATGAGAATTCCCTGAATACCTTACCTCATTAACTTCTAGACTACCTCACATAAAATTTAATCATTTCTAGTTGTAAGAATAAAGGGGCACAAAAATGAGTTGAAAAGGAAGAAAGATAATAAAAAGATATTTCCAATGAGAAGGAATCAAGTGATAGTTTAAAACATTTCATAATATTTAATGCTTTCATATTAAAATGATGAAATGATAATTTCTTCACTCTCACCAAGCACATACCACATAACATTAGGCAGATACACAGATAACTTTGAGATTTTAAAAATTACATACAAAATGCATAAATACATTATGTTGAAAAACAAATTCAAGTGCATGGGATAGCAAATACAAATTTAAAGGGTTTTTTTTTTAAGATGGAGTCTTGCTGTGTTGCCCAGTCTGGAGTGCAGTGGTATGATCTCAGCTCACTGCAACCTCTGCTGTACAGTTCAAGCGATTCTCCTGCCGCAGCCTCCCAAGTGGCTGGGATTACAGGCATTCCCTTTGATGACCTACTGTCATGGTCTGTTGTCCCTCTCCTTTCTTTAAAGGTAACCGTTAGTGTCATAAGGGTGTGCATCTTTCCACATTACATATGTGCTGGATATTTTCCACTCCCCCTTCCTTCCCCTGCCCCAGATTCACTCTCTATCCAACCATGTTTGTTTCTACCCTGTGTTGTGCCTCTAGAGGCGAAATCAAGAGAATTCCATGATATTTGACTTCTGGTTGTGTTCAGCCAATGAGTCACCAGCTGAGGATTAGAGTGAGGCAGCAGCTAGTTTGAAGTATTTTCCCCTACCCTCTCCTTCAGATGGGACAAATGAGGCTACTTGTATTGCTCAACCAAAGATCACAGGTCATGGATGTAGCCACGTACAGGTTCTCTCTCTTTCTGCTTTGTAATAGTACTTTCTCCCTTTGCTACTTCAGGCCTTGTGTTGGTTGCTAAGCCTCCCAACTGTTGCTAGATTCAGAGTAGTCCATATATAATACATATACAGAAATCCCTTGTTGATGTTCCTAAATCCTTCTCACAACTTTGTATTTACTTCTTTTGTTAAACCTCTTTCAGTTCCCATAGGAGCATGCCATCTATTTTCTGCTGGGACCATAGGTGACTGTAACTTTCCATTACAAACAAAGGTCATTTCCTGCTTTAGGACTTTTGAATTAGATGTTTTTAGGTCTAAAATGCTCTTTCTTTGATTTTATCACGACTGGCTCCTTTCTGTGTTTCAGGTTGATCTCAAATGTCACCTAAGAAGGAATATCTAATATGAATATACTACACAGTATCTCTATATCATATTCTCTTTTAATTTTCTGCAAAAGAATGAAAGCTTTCTTAGTTATTTTGCTTTTGAAGTCTCCCCCTCTAGTATGCATAGTTTTTGACAATAGCAACTTAAATAATACAATTAAATCATCTTGAACATATTGTTACTTGATTTTTACATACATATGTACACGCACACACACGCACACACACTTTTTGTCATTTCAGAAACAATGACTGATAAAGGAATTTTTTTCTTTTAAACACATCTCTAGCTTATCTACTTTTGCTGAATTCCATAAACTTTGGTATGTTGTGTTTCTATTTTCATTCTTTGCAAATTATTTGCTATTTTCCCTTGTGATTTCCTCTGAGCCATTCATTATTTAGGAATGTGTTGTTTCATCGCCACTTACTTGTGTATTTCACAATATTTTGCCTGATATTGATTTCTAATTTTATTCCATTGTGGTTAGAGGACATCCTTTACATTATTTTAATCTTTTAAATGTATTGTGATTTGCTTTATGACCTTATAGACTAATCTGTAGAATGTTTCATGTGCCCTGAGTAATATATGTATTCTACTACTATTGGGTGGAGTTTTCTGTAGAGGTCAATTAGCTGTAGTTAGTTTATAATGCTGTTCACATCTTCTATTTCCTTGTGGACCTTTATCTAATTGTTCTATTGTTATTGAAAGTGGGATGCTGACATTGAACTATAATTATGGAATTATCTATTGCTCCAAACAGTTCTGTTAGTCTTTGTTTTATGTAGTTTGGAGATCTGCTGCAAGGTGCATATGTACTTATAATTGATGTATCTTCTTGATGGACCAGCGATTTTATCATCATAAATTGTCCTTCTTTGTTTCCAGTAATAATTCTTGTCTTTTTGTTGATATTGTGTAATATCAGTATAGCCATCCATTAGCACTCTATCTTGCTTACTCTTTGAATGGAATACTTTTTTCATCTTTTCAGTTTCAACCTATTTGCATTTTTGAATCTAAAGTGAATATATTGTTGACAGTATATCATTGGATTGTCTTTTTAAATAAACCTTGTCAATCTCTTCCATTTTTTAAATGAATAGACTATTTTTCAGAAGCTTTAGGTTTACAAAAAATTGAATGGAAGGTGTAGAGAACTCACATGTAACCCCTTTTACTCCCTCCCCCAGAGTTTCTTTTATTATTAACAACTTGCATTCATGTGGTACATTTGTTATAATTGATAAGCCAATATTAATACATTATTAGTAACCAAATTCCATAGTTTACATTAGGGTTGATGGTGTGTGTTTTACATTCTATGGGTTTTGACAAATGTTTAATAACATGTATTCCCCCATTCAGTATCATAAAGAATGGTTTCACTGCCTTAAAAATTCCCTGTTCTCCTTCCATTCATCATTTCCTCCCCTCCTCCCCGGGAGCCCCTGACAACCACTGATTTTTTATTGTTTCCATAACTGTGCTTTTTCCAGAATATCATACAATTGAAATCATATATAATGTAGACTTTTCTGACTGGCTTCTTTGACTTAGTAATATGCATTTAAATTTCTTCCAGGTCTGGGCTTTACAACTCATTTTTTATAATTGAATAATATTCCATTCTATGAATGTACCACAGTCTGCTTATTCATTCATTTATTAAAGGACTTTTTTTTTTTTTTTGCTTCCAAGCTTTGGAAATTAGGAATAAAGCTACTGCAAACATTTGTGTACAGGTTCTGTGTGGACATAACGTTTCAGATTATTTGGGTTAATACCAGGACACGTGAGTGCTGGATTCTATGGTTAAGATGTTTAGTGTTGTATGAAACTGTCCAGTTGTCCTCTAGAGTGGTTGTACACTTTTGGATTTCTGTAATCAGTGAATGAGAGTTCCTGTTATTTATCTCTTTGTCAACATCTGATGTTTTCAGTGGTTTGCTATGGTTGATAATGTCTCAGATTTCTTTAGGCTGTTTTATTTTTCTTCATTCTTTTTTCTTTTTATTACTCTGACTAGATAATCTCAATTGACCTATCTTGTAGTTTGTTGATTCTTCCTTCTGCTTGTTAAAATCTGGTGTTCAGGTCTTCTGCTGCATTTTTTATTTCCATCACTGTACTTTTTCATCTCTAGAATTTGACTTGGTTCTTTAACAACAAATAATGTCTATCTCTTTAATAATTTTCTCTATTTAGTGAGAAATAGTTGTCATATCTTCCTTTAGTTCTTTAAACATGGTTTATTTCAGCTCTTTGACCCTATTTTTAAAGTAGCTGATGTAAGCCTTTGTCCAACAAGTTCAACACCTAGATTTGCTGCTATTGATTGCATTTCCCCCTCCTTTTATGACCCATACTTCCTGTGTCTTTCTTCACTTGTATTATAATTTTATGTTGAAAACTAGATACTTCATTTCATTTATTTTTATTTTTAAAACTTTTATCTTAAGTTCAAAGGTACATACGCAGGTCATGGGGGTTTGTTGTAGAGATTATTTCATCACCCAGGTATTAAGCATAGCATCCATTAGTTATTTTTCCTGATCCTCTCTGTCCTCCCATCCTCCACCCTCCACCAGGCCACAGTATGTATTGTTTCCCTCTATGTGTCCATATGTTTTCATCATTTAGCTCCCAGTTACAAGTGAGAACATGTGGTATTCAATTTTCTGTTACTGTGTTAGTTTGCTAAGGATAATGGCCTCCAACTCCATCTATGTTCCTGAAAGGGACATGATCTCGTTCTTTTTTATGGCTGCATAGTATTCCACGGTGTGTATGTACCACATTTTCTTTATCGAGTCTATCATTGATGGGCATTTAGGTTGATTCCATGTCTTTGCTATTGTGAGTAGTGCTCCAATGAACATATGTATGCATGTGTTTTCACAATTGAACAACTTATATTCCTTTGGGTGCTTACCCAGTAATGAGATTGGTGGGTCAAATGGTATTACTGTCTTTAGAACTTTGAGGAATTGCCACAATGCCTTCCACAATGGTTGAACTAATTTACACTCCCACCAACAGTGTATACATGTTTGTTTTTCTCCATAACCTTCCCAGCATCTGTTCTTCTCTGACTTTTTAATAATAGCCATTCTGACTGGTGTGATAAGGTATCTCCTTGTGGTTTTGATTTGCATTTCTCTAATGATCAGTGATGTTGAGCTTTTTTCATATGATTGTTGGCTGCATGTATGTCTTCTTTTGAAAACTGTCGGCTCATGTTCTTTGCTCACTTTTTAATGGGGTTGTTTTTCTTTCTTATAAATTTGGAAAACTAAATATTTTAAATACTAGAAATGGCAACTGTGGAAACCAGATTCTCCCTGTCTCACTAGAATTTGTTGTTGCTGCTTATTAATGTAGTTGTTGCTGCTTATTAATGTAGTTGTTGCTTGCTTGTTTAGTGAATACTCCCAAATAATTCTCTAAAGTCTGCCTTCTTTGTGGTGTAGGGCCATTAAAATCTGTACTCAGGTAGTCTAGTGGCCAGCAAATAATTGGACAGAAATTTCTTTCAATGCCTGGGACTAATAAATCTTCCAGTTTCTGTCAAAGACCTCTATGTTCATATTGAGGCATGACTCTGACACCTAGTCAGGCAGTTCACATCTCTACCTTAGCCTCCACTTACTTCTTCCTGAAATACTGAAGGTCAGCCAGAGACAAGAGTTTAGAATCTTCTCAGTTCTTGCTTGAGCATTTATAGAGTCCTGAATCTGAACACAGCCATATGCATATACATGAAATTCCTGGCATATGGCAAAGATTTTCAAAATCCCTATAGACATCCCATTCCTTACATTTTTTAAGCTCTTTTATTGCTTTATGGTCTGCCCCAACTTTTATCAATTGCTTTAGTCAGAAGTGAAGTTAAAGCAGTCACTTGAAATTATTTTCAACAAATACCTGCTGAGAAAATGCTTTTTGCATTGGTCGAGGTCTGAGTCATGGTCAAATACAGACAGACTCATGAATGAAGTCTTCCAAAAAGCCCCA